>NC_000002.12:114459314-114762345 GCF_000001405.40 Homo sapiens
TTTGTTCTAGGGTCCTAAATTGGTACTACCTTCATCACTGATTATATCAGTCAGTGGTCCATGCTATTAATACAAGCAGCATGACAATCTTAGGGGTAAGAAACATGTTACAGTTTAGAAAGATCTGTACAAGGTCTACTTACAGAGACTGGTGTCAAAAATTTTTATGAGACTTGGGAAAATCATATATATTTTTTCCTTTCCTCTTCCCTGGGTTTTCCTTATTCCTTAATACATGCAAAGCTGATGGGGTCAGTTTGGGATCTCGAAGGGAATTATCCCCTCTGTATTACAAGAGGCCTCATGGTGAGCTATGCTTTGTTCAAAAAGGATGAAAGCAATTTAAATTAAATAACAATGGATAATCATCTAGTTTATTGTAAGGTATTGCCACTTGAATACTACAGTTTTACTATGGAATCTTTGTTTCAATAGTTGTTTTTTATTTTATATGTGACTTACTACAAGAACTTACTCTGTTATTTTAATGTAGCTATGTTTTTAATATTTCTTGAGTAGTAGTAAAGAGGGTTATGTCCTGTTATCATGGTGACTTACCCCTGCCATCCATTCCTGGGGAACTTGCTTGGCTGCTATGGTCCGTGTGGTGACAGGTTATTCCTTGGTAGACATGAAGTGCAGAGGGTACAGTGACATTAAAGACCTTTTCATTACCTGAAATCTTCTTACAAACCATCTACCAAGGTATGTTAGACCAAGAAAAATGTCTTCTATTTTCTTCTACAGATTATAACCAGCAATACGCTGAGATGATAATGGGGCTGGATATGAAAATAAATAGAGTACTTTACTTTCTGAAAATCATTCCATAGCAACCGAATGCATTTGGGATGATATCTATCTATCTATCTATCTATCTATCTATCTATCTATCTATCTATCTATCTATTCTAAGAGCATATGTTTGTGTTCAAATGTCTGCTTTTCTAAAAAAGTATTTTTGGAAACTGACATATAAAATGATCAGTACTAGTAATGCTCAATCCTTTCTTGTGTTTTGGTATAGTACTGACTTTTTATAATCTATAGACATTTTGCATATAATTTCAGATTAGCTGATATAGCTAGGGTTTAATTACAATTACTTCCTAGAGAAAAAGCTCCTTTGTCTGAACGGTGATAATTCTGAGTATATGATTTAGATGTGCCTATTATAACTGGGTGATTGAAAAAAACTACTGAGTAAATTCACAATTTAAACAGGATGACACAAGGTGTACATTTAACTTATTTATGACACAAATTTTTTCAAGCCTCCATTTTATGGAAAATATAGAATACTGTGTGTTACTTTTATTTATTCATTATAGGACTATTTTCTTTTGGGTCCTTCTTTACCTACTGTAAGCTTTGTAGCTTAGTTTGCGTTACTTTCTGTATATAAACTAATAAAGAGGCATATTTTTCAATAGACATGAGCCTTTCACTAATTCAGAATGCCTATTTCTTTCATTAGGACAAATTAGAGATTATGTTTTTCTCTGAACAAAATGCATTTTTATGTCAATTAAATGAGAGTTTTTGATGAAATGTTTCCTAACAGAGAGTAAGTAATTGTGATATAATTGTTTGTAGATGAAAAATAACTGCCACATTCATGGCAAATGTGAGTTTAATGCAGATGATTTTCATGACTATGATGTGTTTTATGCGGCTTTTTATACCCACTGTTTTGGAAGCATTCATAGTACCAGTTAAGGCAAAACCAGCTTAATGTTTGTTTTAGTGCTTGGCAACAAATACAGTCTATAAAATATGTAGTAGTTAATATTAAAAGCACATGCCAGATTGTAACATAAAGAGTTTATTCAATCTCTTTAAAGTCATCAATTTGAAGCTTCATCTGAATGAGTTAGCATTTGAGTTCCATATGATTTTCAGCAGGTGAGATCTTGTGAAGTTAGGAATTGGCTACCCCTGCGAGCCCCCATTGGCACAGCCCCCAGTTTCTTAATGAGCTTGCCTCATTGCTGAGTGAGCAAAACACTCTTAACAATGTTCCTTTTGAGCCATCTTTGTTGCAGGGGGAAATAAAGAGAGGCGCCAAGCCTGCAAATTCTTTCCTGATCCCATTGGTTCACCAGGAGAGAACAATTTTGTTTTCCATGGTTGCGGTCTTTCAAGGTTGCCTTTACTTAGGATTTGATTACCTGTCTCCCTCAACCAATTAGCCTCTCCCACACACTCTCTTGCCTCCAATAATGATCAACCTCCTTTTCTAAGACCAGCCTCCTCTTTATCATATTGCATTAAACACTTGATGAAAGAAGACCTAGAAGGCTTTAAGAAAGACAGGGTAATATTTTGCTGGTGTAGAGGGCCTGCTCTTCGGAGACAAATACTTGCTTTTCATTTTGATCAGCCGTCTGCACTTAAAAGCCTCCTAGCCAGGGACATGTTAATTAAACAGTCTGGGGCTCAGTGCTGCCATCCGTAAATTGGAGGATTAGAGAAATAATATACACAAGTACCTGGTACATACCAAATATGATAGAAGATATCTTCAACCTTTAGCTATAAGAAGAATGGAAAATGAAAAAGAGACAGGTGGAGAGAGGGAGGGAGATGAGAGCTGCGTGGAGCTGGTATGCTGGTTAGGAGGTAGGAAATAATGAGGCCTCGACCATCTAAGATACAGAAGTCTCCCTGCTGAATCGAAAGGAAGTGCTACAATATTCTTTCAAATTCATCGCAGTTGAGAGAAAACTGGAGCAGAGTGTGATATCAAGAAAGGGCTTCACCAGGATGATCAATGCAAATGGATATGGAGCTTTCTTGGAATGAAACATTATCCCGTAACACCAGGTAATTTTCTTTATTAAAAAATACACATTAAAGTCTTAGAATAGTTTGATATTTACCGACAAGTTGCGAAGATTTTACAGAGCCGTATATACCACCCTATTGCTAATATTTTACACTACTATAGTACATTTGTCACAATGAGGAATAAACGTTGTGGCACATTACTATTAACTAAACTCCATACTTTATTTAACTTTATTACTTTTCCCCTAACCTCCTGTTCCAGGATCCCCTCTAACACATGACATTTAGTCATTATTTCTCCTTAGCCTTCTCTGAACTGTGACAATTTTTCAGACTTTCTTTTCGACAACCTTGGCAGTTTTGAGAAGTACTGGTCCCTGATTTTGTAGGATGTGACTCAAGTCGATTTTGTCTGATGTTTTTCTCATAATTAGACTGGGGTTATGGGCTTTGGGGAGGAAAACTTCAGAAGGGATATACTATTCAATTCATATCCTAACAAGGGTCTATGCTATCAACGTGACTTATCACTGATGCTGTTAACCTAGCTCACTTGGCTAAGACAGTGTTTCAGGTGTCTCCACTATAAAACGCTCTTCCCCCTGCTTCGCACACCATACTCTCTGGCAGCAATAGTTGGCACCGCCTACCCTTACGTGGTGGGGAATTATTCTCTATCTCCTTGAGACAGGGCAAGTATCAACATAAATTATTTAAAATTCTTCTATTCGGATATCTGTCTCTTCCTCTTCTCCCACCCCCTGTTGACTTTATTCAATCACATATTTATTCAATCACTTAGCTCCTGCATACTTTTAGCCTACACCTATCATTTTTGTTTTGTAAGCATTTCCTTACTTTCTGATACCATCATAAGCTCCAGGATGATCTTGTATATTCCCTGCCTTGGCCCTAGAATCAGCAATTTCCCCGAGGACTCTGGTTTCTTTCATTGGAGAATGGTTTTTGAAACCAAGATCTTGGTGCTGGGTGTGCTGGTCACTACAGGGGATTCATCGCTTCTAGGCCCTCTCAGTGGACAGAGCTAGGAAATCTATATGTGCATACTAACCCATGTATGTATACATATCTATAATTATTTCAATAGCCATCCATCTGTGTCCATATTAAATATTTAAGCATGAGTTCACAATGATGTTTCCTACTCTAGTACTGTACCACATGGATCATTCTAGTCTTCCTCCTTTGCTTGTCTGTAACCTCCCATTTGAAAACTGAGAAAATTGGATCTAACTCTTATTGGTTCATTTACTTACTTTTTCCATCCAGGTATACATACATGAAGAGTGGCTTCAGGACTGGTAAGTTATGTTCCTTTGAAAAATAGCTTTACCAACTAGAGGACAGTGCTCATGTGCAGTTCCTTTGCCCTTTTATCTTCTACTTTCCAATAATTTCCAAAGTTACTTAGGTCAACAGTCTTTAACCCACCCTCTTCAGTGAAGTTATGTTATATACTTAGCATACAGTTACATCTTTTTGTCGAAGTGTGCATTTCATCCCAGGATCTCTTAATCTACTAGTTATTTTAAATTTGCCTATGTTAAATTTATTCTCTGCTCTGTAAAGTTCTATGAATTTTGACAAATACACAGTGTCATATATTCATCACTATGGTACTGTGTGGAATACTCTCGCCACCCTAAAAGAATCTCCTGTGCTTCACCTAGTCAACTGTCTCCCTCCCCAAACCCCTTCAAATCTCTGATCAGTTTTCTGTCCATGTATTTCTGCCTTTTCCAGAATGTCGTGTGAATAAGATCATAGATTATGTTGCCTTTTCAGATAGGCTTTTTTTCATTTAGTAATATGCATTTAAGATTCATCCACATTGTAGCATGGATTAATAGCTCATTCTACTTTATTGCTAAGTAATATTATCTGTGGATGTGTCCGTTTGTTTATCCATTCACCTTCTGGAGAACTCGGTTGCTTTCAGTTTTGGGTGATTATAAATAAAACTTCTAGAAACATTCAGGTGCAGGTTTTTGTGTGGACATAAATTCAAGTCAATTGGGTAAATACCTAAAATTGCAACTTATGGGGGATATGGTAAGTCTAAACTGTCTTTCGAAGTGGCTATACCATTTTGCATTCTGACCAGCAGTGTGCTTCACCAGCAGTATGGATATTGTCTTTTTATTTTTTTAAGATTTCAGTCATTCTAATAGGCACGTAATGGTATCTTCTTGTTTTAATTTGCAGTTCTCTAATGACAAATAATGCTGAGTATCTCTTTATATACTTATTTGCTACCTGTATATCTTCTTTGGTGGGGAGTCTGTTCAGTTATTTTGCCCATTTTTAACTGGGTTATTTATTTTCTTATTGTTGATTTGTAAGAGGTTTTCTAAAGAAATATTTCAGATACATATCGTTTATTAGATATGGTTGTTGAAAATATTTTCTCCTAGTCTGTGGCTTATCTTTTCATTTTCTTAACAGTGTCCTTCACAGAACAAAGGTTTTTAATTTTTTATTGTATTTCTATCCTCTTTTTGTCCATGGTTATATCCTCTACTATACAGAGCTGTTCCACTTACTGTTAGAGCAAATCGTATTAATTTCTGTTGCCCTAAATAATTGTCCATTGGCCGAGAGCTGTGGCTCATGCCTGTAGTCCCAGCTACTTGTGAGTCTGAGGCGGGAGAATCGCTTGAACCCAGGAGGCAGAGATTGACGTGAGCCGAGATCGTGCCACTGCACTCCACCCTGGATGACAGAGTGAGACTCCATCTCAAAAAAATAATAAATAATAAATAAATAATTATCCATTATATTGTATTGAAAAGAGCTGCTATATATGGCATGATACCACTCATTATGTTAGTTTTCCCCGTTCTCCATAAAATGACCACTGTGTCTGTCAGAGTTGTCACACAGAAGTCTCTAACCATCTTAACACCTGAGCATGCCCAGGACTGGAGGGGAACTATTGCGTTCTGTATAGAGTACAACAATCATGGGCGTTGGACTCAGAGACCTCGGTTCAGATTTTGCTCTTAACATTTCCTGGTTGTGTGAACGTAGAAAAGTAACTTAAGTTTTCTGAACTTTGGCCTTCTCACCTATAAAATGAAGATAATATCGTCCACGTGTCTTAGGTGCTATTAGAAGGACACATACGAAGTGTTTAGCACAGGGCCTGACGGAGTGTAGCACTCAGTAAATGTTAGTGCTTACTTGCTTTTCCCCCTTGTGCTCCACATTTTCTTTCAGCCTCCTGATTTTTCCCAGTGGAACTCTTTACCTTGCATCCATCATTTCTATTGCAATGCATTTCTATGCCTTTTCGAGGAGCTTTTCTATTCCATCTACACTGAAAATGGCTCATCCTATTGATACAATTTCCCTGCTCCCAGCCAATGGCTGCTGCAGCACTTCCTGATATCTAGATCACAAAGTCCCTGAACAGGTTAGGGTAGCACATGTTAAAAAAACAATATTCCTGCAAGTTCACCTTTCTCTTACTTCTCATTTCCAACCTAAGATCTTTTCAATGAGCTTACTCTGATTGAATATAAAAACAATTTTTAAATAATTCAACCTAAAATAATAGAAGTATTTTTTGCTTTTATTATTTGTAATTAAGTTATAATAATTGTACACATTTATGGAGCACAGTGTGATATTCTGATACATGTATGCAATGTGTAATGATCAAATCAGAGTAATTAGCGTCTCCATCACTTCAAACATTTGCCATTTCTTTGAGTTGGGAACATTCAAAATCTGTTTTTCTAGGCATTTGAAAACATACAAGAAATGTTGTTAATTATAGTCACCTACAGTGGTATAGAATGTTAAAATGTATTCCTTTCATCTAGCTGTGCGTTGTGTTGTTAACCAACCTTTGGCTGTGCTTCCCCCCACCCCTACCTGCCTCTGGAATCACTATTCCACTCTCTACTTCTGTGAGATAAACTTGGAAAGAAATAATACTATTAGGATGATAATTTCCCACAAATTCATCTATAAATTTATTGCAATTCTAATTAAAAATCCCATATGATTTATTATGGACCTGTCATACTAAAACTTGTTTGGGAGAGAATATGCTGGAGAATTGCCAAGAAATGTATCAGAACATTCTATAAAGCCACAATAACTAAGGCAATCTGATATTGACAATGTGTATTTTATCAATGGAAAATAATAACATAAACATATATGTATTTATGTGGTTTGTTCATATATATGTATTGTGTATGCATAGTTGTGTGTATATATAGTATTTATATGCATATATTTAAGCATAACAATTCAAATCATCATGGAAAGGATGGACCATAGCAAAGGGTCTTTATTACACAATAGTTGTGAGCACTGGCCCTGGCACCAGACTGCTTGCTTTGAATCTCGACTCTGTTTCCGGGATTTGAATCTGTCAGAGCTATGTGACCTTAGGCAGGTTGTTTAATTTCTTGGAGCATGGCCTCAGCTTTCTTTTGTGCTGAATAAGAAAATAATAGTACCTAACTCCAAAAGTACTTAGAAGGGTTAAATGAATTAATGTAGGTAAGGAGCATAGAATAGGTGCTGGCACTAAGCACCAGCGAATGTGAACCATTCTTATTATTATCATCCATAATATAGAACGTAAGCAATTGTCTGTTCGCTTTGAAAAGTAACCCTTGGCAGGGCGCGATGGCTCATGCCTGTAATCCCAGCACTTTGGGAGGCTGAGGTGGGTGGGTCGCTTGAGGTCAAGAGTTCAAGACCAACATGGCCAACATGATGAAACTGCATCTCTACTAAAAATATAGAAAACTATTAGCTGGGCATGGTGGCAGATGCCTATAGTCCCAGCTACTCCGGAAGCACAAAAATTGCTTGAACCCGGAAGGCGGAAGTCACAGTGAGCAAGATAGAGCCACTGCCTCCCAGGGCGAGAGAGGAAGACTCCATATCCAAAAAAAAAAAAAAAGGAAACCTTTAGTGACTAGTTTAGAGCCCTACACTGACAGGTGCCTATCCAGTTGCTGATTTCTTGTGATGTGGATTTATTTTTACTTCATAAAATAAAGAGGCAACCTTACACTTTGTTATTAAAATAGTAAGTGGTAAGGAACCCTTTAAGGGATATGGTTTTAACATATTATTCAAAATAGGAATTGCAAACTCAATTGCTTAGAGAGGTCAGCAAGTAAATCAATGTACTAGACTGGGTAGAGCGTGTGGTGAAATGAAGGCCTTCTAGACGCTTAAGAAGACAACCAGTTTTCAACACCACCCAATTATTGCCAGGCAGAAACATGCGTGCACATTTTTTAAGATTTTTATTTTCATGCAATATTTTCTGGCTTCTAAATGTTGACAACAAATTCAAAGTTTGAAGCATTGTGTGGATCAAACAAAATAGATGTCTAGAGATCAGAGTTGGTTCATATTGTTTGTTGCAATCTGAGACTTAGAACCTCCTTTAGGTTACACTACCCAGTCTTTCTCCCAACCTGTGTACCCCAATTGTACCTTGCACAGTGCTGCCCAGGTGATAAGGAATCAATGCTTGTTTTTTGTTGAATTAACTTGATTTTAATTCTGAATCTTTCTGATTCCAATCAATGCTTTGAATTAATAATACTAGCTCCTGGCCAGGCACGGCGGCTCACGCTTGTAATCCCAGCACTTTAGGAGGTTTAGGTGGGTGGATAGCTTGAGCCCAGAATTTGAGACCAGCCTTGGCAACACAGAGAGACCCCATCTCTACAAAACAAAACAAAACAAAACACCACAAAAAAACATTAGCCAGGCATGGTGGTGAAGTGCTGTAGTCCCAGCTACTTGAGACGCTGAGGTGGGAGAATCACATGAGCCCGGGAAGGTTGAGGTAGCAGTGAGCTGTGATTGCAGCCACTGCACTTCAGTTGGTGCCACAGAGTGATACACCATCTTAGTAATAATAATAATGGTAATAGTAATAAAAGTGATAGCTCCCTCTGTTAGCCATTTATTTTAAATATCAGGTGCTGGTAGGGTCTTTACACATATCCCTCTGATCATTACAATACTCCGTAAAGGTTGCTTTTCTCACTTTATAGATGGGAAAACTAAGAGGTTCAGTTACCTTTCTAAGGTCCAAGGCTAGTAGAATTAGTGATATGACATTGTCTAGGTCTGCCTTTTTGAGGGAGTGAGATGTCAAAAGTAGTAGCAAGAGGTCCAGATCCCTCTAGGGTGTAGTGTTTCCTGGCATCAGCTAACTGGGAATACTGATCACGTCTTGTCCTGGAAACACATTTCATTGGATGACCTTGTCAGGCTTACAATGCAAAAAAAAAAAAAAAAAAAAAAAATTACAGGATAAAAGATGAAAGATGTCTTCCACTTACAAATGGCAAGCGATAGCTATCCAAAGGTTCATTTGTAAATCAGTTGTTTGAAACTCGGAATTCATTTTCCTGCAGAAACAGTTACAAATGGTGGTTATGTTTCCCCTGAGGCTCATCCACAAAAGACCATTTAGCCTTAATGTATCTGAAATAGTGTACATTTGCTGTGAAAATGTGTAGAAAATAGAACTCTTGTAATTCTAGTAATTAAATAAAAGAAAAAGTAAAATTGAATGAGAACTTTAAACTGCATCTTGAATGCTGCTTCGAAAGAAAAGCAGATTTACCCAGAAGAGGATGCAGAACTTTGAAAATAATTTTGTGGGGATTTTAAAGGGGGCTTCTGAATACTTTCACAGCACTTGAGAAGTTAATGAAATCATATCATTGAAATATCGCATTTCATTTCGTGATTTCTAGATTTTTAACATAATCTTTCCATGATTAATGCTATTTCTAGTGTTCTCTTTAGAACAAGAAGAAGAAGGGAAAAAAGGGTGGAAAAGGAAAAGACAAATGAAAATGGGCTTCCTAATGATGCAGAAGTTGACAGAGATAGCATGTGAAAGAAAATTAAAGATCATGTTTGTTTTTCGATAGGCATGCAAGAAGCAAAATTAGCCATGAATTATGAACAGTGGAAGGAGGAAAACATAGATTCTGATTTCACTTGAGAGAGACAAAACAATGCTGGTGGCAGAGATCTTTTCTCTGAGAAATTCCAGAAACTGTTACTGTTTTATTCCATCATCTTAGGGCATCATACTTCATGGCAAATGTAGGATGGGTACAGGATTGAGATCAAGAGTGCAAAAGTTGCTCAAATGGACTAAATGTTGAGAATACTAAGTACTTATTAAACAAGAGAGGATTTGTTCTCAAACAAAAGTAATTATCATTTTTTATTGTCTAGGTTTTATCATTCATCTTGTTTAACCTTCAGCCAGGAGAATGAAAGACAGAAGTTTTTAAAAAATATATATATATTGTGGGCGGGGTGTGGTGGCTCATGCCTGTAATCCCAGCATTTTGGGAGGTGGAGGCAGGCAGATAACCATACAGGAGTTTCAGACCAGGTTGGCCAACATGGCAAAACCCCGTGTCTACTAAAAATACAAAAATTAGCTGGGAGTGGTGGTGCATGCCTGTAATCCTAGCTAGTCAGGAGGCTGAGGCAGGAGAATGCCTTGAACCCAGGAGGCCAAGGTTGCAGTGAGCTGAGATTGCACCACTGCACTCCAGCCTGGGTGACAGAGTGAGACTCCATCTCAAAAAAAACAAAAATACCAAATATATGTATATTGAATGGCCAAATGGTTGAACAGGAAATTGAGGAAGAATGAACAACCTCCCAGACACTTCCACAGTGAGTTTGCAAGGAGCCTAAAAGCTAGCTGCACAGAGCAGAGGCCCTTCCTGCCAAATGTAACCTTCTTTAGAAATAGAGAAGAGAAAGACAGTTGGGGGACAGGGGTTATTATGGATACAGGACAAAAACAAACCAGGGTAAAGAAACCAAAAACCAACAAGGCCAAACCAATGGACACCTTGAGGTGATGTGGGCAGACACAGAGTGTTTCCCTTTGTTGTTCTTTGGAGAGTAAGATAGGCTTCCACCACGGACCCTCTTGTCAATAAATCTTCCTGGGTTAAGTGGTTAGTTAGACTAAATTGCTCTTCCACCAATTTGAGCTGACAGCAGCACAGAACCGTCAAAACCATTGCTGTGTTGTCTCCATAGCCAAAGAGTGTTGTTGATTTATTTCTGTTAGAGGAAAATTTTAACTTGCCTACCTTTATTTTTTTTAATCATTTGAATTTAAGACACTAGTTCCCAGTAGGATTCACTATGACAATTTTCAGTGATGAGAAAAAGCATCAAGGGTTTCTGGTCTCTGAAGAATTGTGTTCTTTTTGGCCAATAAAATTAAAATGAAATAGATTTAAATTGTATTAATTCCTAATTTAAAGCTGAAGTTTCAAGTCACCTTCCATTACTATTGTATAGGATTTCTACATAAACCTATTGGGACCTGAGACAGGCTAAGCCTTACTAAATTTCCTGGCTACAGGGATATTTCTTTTGGGGATTGGAGATGAGAAGGGGTAATATCGACAATCTCATTTTCTCCTTAATTTTTCCTTGATTGAACTGGTGTCCATTTGCTTAACTTATTCACTGTGTGTTATAGAAATTTACAAGTTACTTTGCAAGTGTAGCTATATTCATGTATGTGCTATCTTTTCTTTCTTCAATTAAATTGTGAGCTCTTTTAAGTAAGGAATTATATTTTATCTTCTCCCACAATGACCAAAGCCAGAGTATCTTACTTAAGACACTTGAAAGTGGAATACAAAAAGTATTTTCATGCAGTCCATACTGCCTTGTTTGCTAATTGCTGTACACATGCAGACATCATCTCACCAACTATGCCCTAAGCACCTCATTGGTGGAGTCTTGTTTTGAGGTAGTGGTTGTAACAGTTTGGGTCTTTTATTAGTGCATTGTAGGGACAGAGTAGCCTCTCAACAAATAGTTGTTTGTTAAATAGTCAAGTTTGGAGGGCAGTAGATGAGACAAAGTAGAAAATGAGAGCTTTTGCATTAAACTATGACAACTAAAATCTATATTTAAAGTTTACAACCTAACTGTATGTTCTTTTTAGTACATACCACATCATTAAAACTTGATAAATAATGTTTCCTCAATACTGTTACTTAATAAGTAATAAAAATATGATGCTGGCAATAAAAGCTGTTATATTGTTACTGCCTTACCTCCTGGTTGGTGAGCAAATGCTAGAAAGAAAAAATGGGAAATAGTTTAAATTTGAGAGTTTTGGATCATTTTCTTGGCAAAGTCAAGAGACCATTTGCTTCTTTTAAGCAGTCTAAAAGGTGTCAAAGGATTAGAAGCAAAGGAAATATCAGCATTGCTGTGCTGTTAGACAGATTCCTAGAGAATCAAATAGGGATGGTAACAAGATTGAGCAACCCATCTCCTTAGAATTTTGCTTCCCTTTACACCGACAACCTCCCTATTTTATTTTTAATTACCCATAGAAATAAACAGGAATGCTAAAATATTTTTTGAAGATAAATTCTATAATCATTTCAAGTTTGATTGTTGATAAATATGATATGGATGAATATAAAGAGTAGATTTTCAATATGAAAAAAGAGTCTCCTAAAATGACGTGGGTTGTAAATTGGAGATGAATTTCTTATTAGTTTTAGTGCCTTTTGTGTCTCCTATTGTCAACTTAAATGGTCTCACACAACACATCTGTTGCTAGGCTCATGAGATGGAGCAGAGTTCAACAGGTACATTTCAAGGCCAGGAAGGCTGATAAACTGAAGGTTCAGTAGGTAAGAGAAGCACTAGAAACATAATGATCAGTGAAATTTAGTACTATCAAGAGGCTAGAAATCCGGTTAGAAAACAAACCACAGGATTGGTAGGATCTGAAAGTTGTCACAGCTTCAACAGTCAGTATTGCCAAAGAAAATAAAATGGGGCACTTTTTAAAAGCAGTAAACTTCGATTTCACTCAGGAATAACTATTGCAATGTGGGAGAGACCTCAGCATAACAGCTCAGTCCAACGAAAGGCAGGAGACTGTTTAAATGCTGGGGTGTACCCAAAGAAAGGCATTAAGGGAGAGATTGGTCCATGTGATTAGGCTATCTGGGTTTGCTAACTAGTGTTCACCTAGAGGAGCAAACTTCTCATATCTTTTTGACAGAAATTAGTGGTGCAAGTTGGAGCAAGGCATCCACTGAAGTTAGGTCCTTACTGTCCTACAGGGACTGGGAATGAGAACTATTGCCTTGAATGTTTGTATTTCAAGGAGATGGCTCTCATGTCCTTGAGGAGCCACTTCTGGATGGTAAAAGATTTATTTCAATGGGGGCAGAGAAAGGATTTATAATTGCAAGCTTTCTAAAATAAGTGCTTTAAGAGGGATTCAAGGGCCTATTGGCCTATCACCAGGTTTTGGCTGGAACAAACAGTAAATTCTCCTGGCAGCATTGAGCTTTCTCAGAAAGTCATTTTAAGGGGGGTTAGTGCGAGAAAGACTGAAAAAGAAGTAGTCCCAGAACTGTTCTCACCTTCGATGCAGGCTGCGTCTCAGCCTAATATTTGTCCTGATATTATTATCTCAGGGGACTCACAGTCAGGAAGAGTTGGTAAAGAGGTTGTCAGACTTTAATCTCCCCCAACTTCTAGTAACTTACCAGAAGATGCCACAAAGTTTAGTGGTGATGGAGACCCCTCTAGCTAGAAGAAACTTTTGGTATTTGTTTTTATTCTATTTGTGATGTGTTCTAGCATTGTGAAATGAGGCAAAAAGAAATGCTGAAGCTGGTTCACAGAAGTAAGTTGGTGTAAAATCCTATGTGGTCCAGGTTTATCTCAACAATACAATCTCCTCATGCCGTTCTACCTTAGCCAATCTCCTCCCATCACCATAGCAACCACATCTTATAATATGTGATTCCAACTTAGAGTGCCTCATCACTGCCCTTTGTACATGCAGATTGGGAAAGATGGAAGAGACTGTTCTTGGGAATAGCACACAGCAATCTGGGCCAAATCTGGGTGGTGTGTGCCCCACTATTTGCCAAGCTTATTATCATTTTTTTTCTCCTTTGGCCTTATTCAACTAGAAGTCCTCTGCATCTACTAGAATTCACTACATATATAGCCCCAATCTTCTTTCTTTTATCTCTGGCAGTGAACAATAGAAGGCATTTAAGAGCATGAAAAAATAAATAATAAGTGCAGTATGAGGTGTATGGTAGCCATTGCTATTAAAATTACTCATTCACTTTTCTATGATGAATGAAACTCTAGTGATAAATAATAATGGTGCCCCTGAAAAAATTAGGTTTGCAATTAGGACAATTTCTGCCTTGTAGACAAACTGCCTAATATTATGCTTCAAGACAGTTATTTACCATAGTTATAACCCAATGTGTCCTGCTGAAATGGCTTGTTTTTCCTACAATGTTAAAGATTTAATTTTTTGAAGATCAGTTTGTTTGAAACAGCAGCTGTACTTTTAGGAACATAACCTGAAGAAATGTAGATGTAGATGTAGGTTAAAGTGAGTTCATCACAGGCAATCGAAGATGTAGTTTAAAGATGTAGAATTGTTGATAGTAGTAAAAATTGTGAACAGTCCCAGATATTGAACCTTAGAGGACTCATGAAGTTACATAAGGTAAACACGTGCAATAGATACAATGTAACCTTTAAATTGATGGTAACTGTATAATATTTTTGAAATGGAAAGATTTTTATGATACATTTTTAGTGAAAGAAGTAGCTTGCAAGTAATGTAAACACTGACATTTAGTTATTAAAAGATACATATACATATTTGTATATATTTATACTTACATACATACATACATACATACACACACTTATATACATTTGGCTAAACAAAAGCTTAAAAGAATGATTTGTAATTTTGTGAATGCTTTTGTTATTTTTCGTTGTTGTTTTTCTGAGATAGAGTCTCTCTCTGTCGCCCAGGCTGGAGTGCAGTGGCACAATCTCGGCTCACTGCAACCTCCGCCTCCCAGGTTCAAGCTATTCTCCCGCCTCAGCCTCCCGAGTAGCTGGGATTACAGGCGTGCACCACCAGGCCCGGCTAATATTTTATATCTTCAGTAGAGATAGTTTGCACCATGTTAGACAGTCTGGTCTCAAACTCCTTACCTAGTGATCCACCCGCCTTGGCCTCCCAAAGTGCTGGGACTGTAGGCATGAGCCATTGCGCCCAGCCGCTTTTGCTATTTGATAATTATTTTCCTAATAAAATCCTATACTAATGGTGTAACAACCAAAATAAAAAAGAATGAGGAACGTAAAATTGCAGTTTGCTTTTCTTATTCATTATGTCAACAAAACCTTAGCCAACCACACTGGCCCTTCTTCTTTTTCCTGGCCAAGTCAACCCTATTCCTATGAATGATAACTGGAGAAAATGTGCCCAGTGTGGGGAACAAGGATATGTTGGTGTATACCTACCATGGTATCTTTCTCAGGGGACTGAGTAAATACAGGGCTCTGTGCAACACAGGAAGAATTCTTAAGGGGCACCTCAAATTCCAAAATTCAGATCCTTTAAAGAGAGAGGGAAAATCAGTACTGCCCTCTGACTTGGAGTGAGAATATACCCTGCTGTGAAGGGAAGAAGGTCATCCTAAGGTGGGAAAAACTAAAGGTAAGTACTGTACATATGTCTGGGACACAACTTTGACCTTGGGGGAGAAACACACCCATTACTGAGTAGCTTTGTCCTCCACTTATAAGGCATTGGATAGATGTTCAAAATGGGGAGCTGTACCTATGAAACTTTTGAAAGTCATGGTAGGGGCTATATTCCAGAAGGGCTGCAAACCCTAAGAGATGGGTCATCTGCATTCTGAGCCTTGACAGTGAACTGAAAGAGTGGTCACCCTCTGAGGAACCTGGAGGCCTTGCCATGCATGGCGCAGGGGCTTCTGTGCATCAGCTATTTGTTCTTGAAGCAATCTGGTCAGCTTGAAGAATCTGAATATCATAGAGGGAGAAAGGCTTCTATAGAGCATTAAAGCTTGTGACCTGAATTCCCAATGTATGCATTTGTTGGTTTATCCTGAAGAAGAGAACTTAAATAAGATCATCCGCACGGCACAGTTTACACACAAGCATGTTATTTTTCTGTTTTCTCTGTTGCACTCCCAGATTTTTAAAAAACACTTACCATGATATCCTTCAGGACTCACCTTTCCTGGCACAGAGGTTTTTATAATAAATAGTAATGGAATGAATGAGTGAGGGTGCTATATAATATTTACCGATATCCTACTTTTATATATCAGGCCTCATATTATGGTGCAGGGCAGCACAATTTATACCCAGTTGTTATTGCCATTTATATTCAAAAGTATCAAGCTTTGTCATTTTGCAAAAATGCTTTTCAGTCTTGGAATTTTTATTTATTTAGACTGGTTTTCTCTCTCTCTCTGCCCCTCTCTCTCTGTCTCTGTTCTTCTCTTTTCTCCCAGGTCTAATGTATCAGAATCACCTGGGATGATTGTTAAAAATGCAGAATTCAGGGATCCAGTGCCCAGTCATAATCTCTAGGGCTGGGATCTGAATATTAACATTTTTTAAAGACTGCAGCTCATTCTCATGGACACTAAATTTTGAGAACCATTTGTAGTTAATCTATTTAAAGAATCACAGTTTTATACATCGTCCGTCTGAAAATGCAAGGTATCACCTAGAAACTTTTAAGACAACTTTTCCTCTCCTAGGAACTGTAAAATAACAAAGTAGACAAGTGGAGAGTAAGGGTGATAGAGGTGGGTGGATCAATAGGAACTCTCTTTCCTGTGAGGGTAACTTGATAGTGACTAGGCGGTGCAGTTGGAGTGAATTGATTTTGTTCAAACAAGTTTTCCTGTTTCTCAGAGTTCACAGTGAACATTTTTTTGCAGGCTTCTTGCAGTGTGCTGTTTCACAAACCATCAGAGGCATTTAGAAGGGCCAGGGTTTTTCTTCTAAGGCTTAAGAACTTTAAATCTCTTGGGTGGAAGTAGTTTTCAGTGACTTGTTTGTTCTTGTGATATAAGACATAGTACCACTAACCCCTTGAATCTATCATTCCTACTTATTGCTTTAAAGCCAGGATAGTATCAAGTTCTTGATGTACTTTACTAATCATGGCTTTCATTTTCTAATGTGTATTTAATGGATATCTATTCATTTATCATTCTTAAGTACAGAACACTAAAGAAAGCATACTGTAATCAGAGATGTTATCAGGCTCAATTATTTTAGATTAACTGGGTATTGTTATGACAATACTCTGTGATATCCCTATCTTCAAGTACAAAGTAGGCAAGGAAAAAAATGCACATCAAATAAAAAGTAGTTGGCAAAACTACCTTTTGATCCATTTTCTCTCTATTAGAAATATGAATGGCTCTCAAATGTTTTACAAAGATTGTACATTGGACACCAATGAAGCTGTTCAACACTAAGGCCCAAAAAAGAAACAAAAAAATATGGTGGCTCTTTTTGAGAAACAATGAATTTCATGTCTTTCTAGTAAAACACACTATAAAATAGTTCTTCTTGTGTTTACATTTATATAATCATTGAATCATATGCCACAGTCCTGGAAAGTTCAAACAGGAAATAGTGCGTATGTGTGAGTGGGGAGCTACTCTGTGGGACTGGTGATGGCTTGGTGGATATTATTTTTCTTTTTTAATCAAAGTTTAGCAATCATACAGAAATATGTAGGCAATTACCAAACTCAGTGAAATGTACACAGATACCCATGCCTGTATAGTCAGCACCCAGCTAAAGAAACAGAACATGAAAAGCACCCCAGAAAACTATCCTTATGCTCCCTTTCAGGAACTAATTCTTAAAACCATTGTCTTGACTTCTGACATCATAGATTAGTTTGCCCTTAAGTTCTTTATAAAAATTGATTCTTTTTTTTTTTGAGTCAGAGTTTCACTCTGTTGCCCAGGCTGGAGTGCAGTGGCATGATTTCGGCTCACTGCACCCTCTGCCTCCCCAGCTTCAAGCAATTCTACTGCTTCAGCTTCCCAAGTAGCTGGGATTATAGGTGCGCACCACCACACTGGCTAATTTTTGTATTTTTAGTAGAGGCATGGTTTCACCATGTTGGACAGGCAGGTCTTGAACTCCTGACCTCAAATGATCCAAGGCCAAGGACTCCCAAAGTGCTGGGATTACAGGTGTGAGCCACTGCACCCAGCCAAAAATGGATTCTTATATGCACTCTTTTGTGACTGGCTTCTTTGCAACATGTTTGTGAGATCCATACGTACTTTTGGGTGTACTTGTGGTTTGTTTATTCCCATTGCAGTATATTATTGAATTTTATGAAATACTACATATATATTTATACACACACATATATACACATATATGTATATATGAAATACTGCATATATATTTATGCACACATATACACATACATACACATATACATACGTATATACACATTTATGTGTGTGTATATATGTATATATATATATGTATATTGGAGGCCTTGGCCTTGGATCATTTGAGGTCAGGAGTTCAAGACCTGCCTGGCCAACATGGTGAAACCATGCCTCTACTAAAAATACAAAAATTAGCCAGTGTGGTGGTGCGCACCTGTAATCCCAGATACTCGGGAGGCTGAGGCAGTAGAGTATGTGTGTGTGTATATATATATATACATATATACACATACATATATGTACATAAACATGTATGGGTATATTTATACATACATATGTATATATGTATATGCACATATACATACATATGTGTGTATATATGTATGTACATAAATATATGCATGTATAAATATATGTATATATGTACATATATGTGTATATATGTACATATGTGTATATATGTACATATATGTGTATATATGTACATATGTGTATATATGTACATATATGTGTGTATATGTATATATGTGTATATATGTACATATATGTGTATATATGTATGTATTTCTATTGATGATAGATTATTGAGTAACATCTAAATTTAGGCAGCTAAAAATACTGCTGCTACTCAATTCATTTCATACAGCTAATATTACCCTGAAAACAAAACCACACAGACAGTATAAAAAAGCTACGGATAAATACTTCTTATGACCTAAATTTTCAACAATATGTTAGCAAATTGAATAAAAATGTATAAGAAGAATTATACAGTGTGATCAAGTGAGATTTATTCCAGGTATGAAAAGCTGGCTTAACATTCAAAAATCAATGCAATTCCTCTTATCAACAGGGTAGGGTAGGAAAAAATAGAAGATTATATCAGTTTACCTAGAAAAATAATTTAACAGAATCTGATATTTATTTACTGCAAACATGCACCACAAGTTAAGAATAGAGAGAAATTTCCTTAACTTGACAAAAAGCATCTACAAAAAACCTAAAATTAACATCTTAGATGATGAAAGACTCATTATTTTCCTCCTAAGGTTTGTAATAAAGCAAGAATGTATTCTCACCATTCTTATTGGATGCAGCATTGGAAGTTCTAGCCATTGCTACAAGGAAAAAATAAATAAGGAAGGAAGGAAGGAATGAAGGATGAAAGGAGAAGGCATACAAATTGTAAAGAAAATTATCTCCATTTACAAATTTCATAATTACATAGAAAATCTGGAGAGATCTACAAAAAAACTTACATAACAAGTGGATGAGTTCAAAAAATCATAGGATGCAAGATCAGCATGCAAAATTTTATTTTTTATACCAACTGTGAACATACAACAATCAAAATTTGAAATACCATGCAAGCTAAAATTTTTCCAAAGAAATTGCAATCTATTTGTGTATACTTAATAAAGCATGTACAGAATCTGTATGCTGAAAATGACAAAATGCTGATGAAAGAAATCAAATAAAATGTAAATGATAGAAATATATTCTTAATTTCTTAATAAATTAAGCATGTACAGAATCTGTATGCTGAAAATGACAAAATGCTGATGAAAGAAATCAAATAAAATGTAAATGATAGAAATATATTCTTAATTTCTTAATAAATTAAGCATGTACAGAATCTGTATGCTGAAAATGACAAAATGCTGATGAAAGAAATCAAATAAAATGTAAATGATAGAAATATATTCCATGTTCATGGATTGAGAAGCTCAAAATAGGGAAGATGTCAATTATTCCCAAGTTTCTGTTTTGTTTTGTTTTTACACATAGACAAGCTTATTCTCAAATTTATATAGAAAGGCATAAATCTTGAATTAGCTAAAACCATCTTGAAAAAGAAAAATGAAATATGAGGAATCATTCTACCTGTTTTAAGGCTTACTGTATAACTACAAAAATAAAATTATTGTGGTATTGATAGAGAGATACATAGATCAATGAAAAAATGAAAAAAAAACAGAACTATTCAAATATGCCAAACTGATTGTTGATAAAGGTGCAAATGTAGTTCAATGTAGAAAAGATAGCCTTTTCAACAAATGGTTTTGCAGAGATATAGACCAATGGATCAGAACAGAGCCCTCAGAAATAATGCCGCATATCTACAACTATCTGATCTTTGACACACCTGACAAAAACAAGCAATGGGGAAAGGATTCCCTATTTAATAAATGGTGCTGGGAAAACTGGCTAGCCATATATAGAAAGCTGAAACTGAACCCCTTCCTTACACCTTATACAAAAGTTAATTCAAGATGGTTAAAGACTTAAATGTTAGACCCAAAACCATCAAAACCCTAGAAGAAAACCTAGGCAATACCATTCAGGACATAGGCATGGGCAAGGACTTCATGTCTAAAACACCAAAAGCAATGGCAACAAAAGCCAAAATTGACAAATGGGATCTAATTAAACTAAAGAGCTTATGCACAGCAAAAGAAACCACCATCAGAGTGAACAGGCAACCTACAGAATGGGAGAAAATTTTTGCAACCTACTCATCTGACAAAGGGCTAATATCCAGAATCTACAATGAACTCAAACAAATTTACAAGAAAAAAACAACTCCATCAAAAAGTGGGCGAAGGATATGAACAGACATTTCTCAAGACATTTATGCAGCCAAAACACAAATGAAAGAATGCTCATCATCACTGGCCATCAGAGAAATGCAAATCAAAACCACAATGAGATACCATCTCACACCAGTTAGAATGGCAATCATTAAAAAGTCAGGAAACAACAGGTGCTGGAGAGGATGTGGAGAAATAGGAACACTTTTACACTGTTAGTGGGACTGTAAACTAGTTCAACCCTTGTGGAAGTCAGTGTGGTGATTCCTCAGGGATCTAGAACTAGAAATACCATTTGACCCAGCCATCCCGTTACTGGGTATATACCCAAAGGATTATAAATCATGCTACTATAAAGACACATGCACACGTATGTTTATTGTGGTAGTATTCACAATAGCAAAGACTTGGAACCGACCCAAATGTCCAACAATGATAGACTGGATTAAGAAAATGTGACACACATACACCATGGAATACTATGCAGCCATAAAAAAAGGATGAGTTCATGTCCTTTGTAGGAACATGGATGAAGCTGGAAACCATCATTCTCAGCAAACTATCGCAAGGACAAAAAACCAAACACCACATGTTCTCACTCATAGGTGGGAATTGAGCAAAGAGAACACATGGACACAGGAAGGGGAACATCACACACCGGGGACTGTTGTGGGGTGGGGGGAGGGGGGAGGGATAGCATTGGGAGATATACCTAATGTTAAATGACGAGTTAATGGGTGCAGCACACCAACATGGCACATGTATACATACGTAACAAACCTTCACGTTGTGCACATGTACCCTAGAACTTAAAGTATAATAATAATAATAAAAAGTACACCCCCCAAAAAACAAAAAAAACAAAAAGTTTTGCAGCAAGTGGACATCTATAGACAAAAAAGGAGCCTCTACTTAAACTTCTTACTGTTTATAAAAATCAACTTAAAATGAATAATGAACTTACATATAAAACATATAAAGCAGTTAGGGGAAAAAAAAACAGGAGAAAATCTTCAAGATTTACCATGAGACAAATGGTTTTTAGATTTGACACCGAAAGCATGATCCAAAAAAGGAACAAATGAGAAATGTACTACATCAAACTAAAAAAAAAGTAGTAGAAGTATTTGCAAACTACGTATTCAATGAAGGACTAGTGTCTAGTATATACATAGAGCTCTCTAACCTCAAAGGAAAAAGAAAACTTCAAATGAACAGAAGACATAAAGAAATATTTCACCCAGGACTATATACAGATAACAAATAAATAAATGAAAAAATCTTTAACATCATTAGCTATTAGTTAAATGCAAATTAAAACCACAATAAAATATCATGATACCCCTATCACAAAGCCTAAAATAAAAATAGAGACAACACCAAATGCTAACAAGAATGTTGAGAAATGGAATCATTCATAGATTGATAATCAAAATGTTAAGAGGTACAGCCACCATATAACTAGCAATTGTACTCTTTGGCATTTATCCCAGAGAAATCAAAACTCATGTTCACACAAAAACCTGTACACAATAGCTTTACTTAAATAATTGTGGTATAAACTTATCATGGAATACTATTCAACAATGGAAAGAGATGGACAAGCAACAACTTAGATGAGTCTTCAGAGAATTATTCTGAGTGAAATAAGCCAACCCAAAAGGTTACTGTATTAGTCCGTTTTCACACTGCTATAAAGATACTACCTGAGACTGGGTAATTTATTTAAAAGAAGGAGGTCCAATTGATTCTCAGTTCTGTATAGCTGAGAGACCCCTGGAAACTTATAATCAGGCAGAAGGCAAAGGGGAAGCAAGCATGTTCTTCACAAGGAGAGAGAGAGAGAGAGAAGAAGGAGAAGAGAGGAGAAGGGAGAAGGAGGAGAAGGAAGAGAAAGAGAAGAAGGAGAAGAGAGGAGGAGAGGAGAGAGAGAGAGAGGAGAGAAAGAAAGAGAGAGAGAGAGAAAGAGAAAGACAACCTAGGGGAAACTGCCACTTTTAAACCACCAGATCTCATGAGAACTCTAGCATGAGAACAGCATGGCATGATCCAGTCACCTCCCACCAGGTCCCTTCCTCAATATGTGGAGATTACAATTTGGGATGATATTTGGGTGAGAACACAGAACCAAACCATATTAGTTACAGACTGTATAATTCCATTAATATAACATTTAAAAAATGCCAATGTTTTAGAAATGGAGAACACATTAGAGCTTGCTAGGGGTTAGCTGTGGGGGACAGAGAAAGTGAATGTGGTGATAGAAGCCTTTTATTATATGGAATTGATTGAATCTATTTTTGCCTATTTATTAAAACATCATAAAGATAGAATGTTTTGAGCTATATGCCTTGTAAATTCCATCTTAAGTGGAAATAACAATTATGAGAATCAAACGTATCAGTTATCTATTGCTAAGTAACCACCTTAAATCTTGGTTGCTTAAAACAGACATCGTTTATTACTTTCCGTAAGCAAAAGTCAGTCGGGTGGTTCTGATCTGGACCAAAGTCAGCAGATTTTGGCTGGGTTCATTTACATCTGCAGTCATATTTAAACAGAGGTAGACTGAAGATAAAAGTATGTCAAGAAAAGAACACAAAACAGCCAACAGTAATTTTAGTCAGATTTTCTTTTATGGAAAAGTCTTGTTTATTGCTATTTCTTTTCTTGTTGACAAGCTTCAGATAGAGACTCTTCAGCTTTATTTTGTCAGAGATTGCTTATTAGCCAATGCGTATCTTGTACTTTATATGATTACTGATAAATGTCTTGTTGAGTTGTATTTGAAGTCCTGGAAAAATAAACCTCTTGCTCAGTCACCTGGATCCACAATAACTTCAGTCACCAAGTTCACTCCTTGAGTAAGCAAAGTCTCCACAACATCTGCATATTTGTGGCCACACAAGATTGATTATTTTAATTTAGTCTGACAACTTAGCAAGTGTAAACAAGTTAATGAAACAAATTATTGTGCCTATGGGTCAGTTAAACAATGTTTGGACTCGTTTTTCCATTTTCTCAAGTAGCTGTTTAGTAAACGTGACCCAGGAGTTGAATAAATGATGTAAATGATATCTTAACAGAATTGGTTGAATATTTTGTTGTCACCAGAGCCAGTCAAAACCCCAAAATAATTAACTGGAAATTAGTAAGACCCTCTGACAGGGCCAGTATCAGTTTACTTTTTTTTTTCTCAATATTCTTCAGAATACTGAACTTGGCAACGGGGTGGAAGATCAAGGAGAGGTGAGTTTGTTTCTGTGAAAAAGAAGAAAACACAGTGTACATCTGTTCCACTAGGTTTTCTTCCTCTACCATGTAGACAGTTTGAAAATGTTCAATGGCCATAGCATTCAGCTTCCCTGTTAAAACAAGTACCATAAAGTATTCATGAATAACAAAATAATCGTATTCTTTTTTTTTTAATGTAAGAGAACAAGATGCTAACCAGGAACCACATCGATCCTGAAAGCGCTTTTTGGACAAATCACAAGCCTGTGATTAACTACAAAGAGCTTATAGAAAGCCAGAACTTTCAAAATAAAAATAAAAATGTTGACAAAGATTATCAAAGAATACTGTGCAATATATATATTTTTGTCATTAAAAAAGGAGTGCTCACGCTAGCTGATCCTTGAATTTCATTAGAAGCCAGGATGGCTGCCTGTGGAATGCAGTCCTTTTTCTGGGGCTTACAAACTGGAGGACCTCGCTCAGGCCTTGTTAACCAGCACATGCTGTATATTAAATAAGATTCACATTTTTAAAAATCTTGATTTCTACTTCTTCTGAAAAATCTGAATATCTGCTTCTGTGCAGTCAACAGGCCTGCATTTGTGTATCGTAGAATCATCTGGAGCTGAGCGGTGGCACTGTCATTTTGTCATACTCCCCATCAGTCCCTTTGAACACTGGGGACAACTTTACTCATTTACATGAGCTTCCAAGTCACTGTAGACTTTTGAGTCCGAGCCCTTTGTGTCACTCTGAGACTGGACCTTATTTCTTTTGACCAAGGCAGATACCACTGAGGGTAATAGTGTT
The DNA here is from genome assembly GCF_000001405.40 of Homo sapiens. NCBI lineage: Eukaryota > Metazoa > Chordata > Mammalia > Primates > Hominidae > Homo > Homo sapiens. The sequence continues at coordinate 114,484,084 of NC_000002.12, forward strand.
TGTGGAACTCAAGGGAGTGACTCCAACTTTGGAGCCGCTGAACTCCAATAATGGCATGCAGAGGCTGTGAGCCTGTTCAATACCTAAGCCAGGTTCATGTCCTGGATCGAACTTGAGGTATCTCCGACAACTCTGAATCTCCTGGGATCCACTCTAGACTTGCGAGACTTGCAATTAGATTTAAGAGCACGTTGCCTTTAGAATCATGGAGCTCAAAGAATCAGAATGTAAGTGGAAACTGAGGTTGAGAGAGCTTGAGGACTTTCCTGACCTTCTTGACATTACCGAGTTCTGAATGGGGAATTCATTTAATTAGGTGAGAAGTTTTGTACCTCATTAATCAGTTCTTACTATTATTTTAATTTTTGAGGTCTTAATAACAGCAAGTAAAAACATACTTTGTTTTATCTGCCACGAGTTAGCCCACAGTAACCCAGTACTGTGCTACCCAATGTGTTAACTATGTTGTTTTGTGGTTTTTTAATGTAATGTTTTGTATTCATTCACTGTCCTATGATTGTATGTATGTCAGGGCCAAGGTCTAGCAGCAGTGGCTTCATCTAGGAGTTTGCTAGAAATACAGCCTCTCTCATCCCACACCAGAACTCTTCAACAGGAATCTCGAACAATATCCCTGGGTGATTCATATAGTGTTCATTAGACTTTGAAAGACATTGACATATATACAATCATATAATACTTAAATGAATATATAGCATAATATAAAAGGACTACAAAATAACATAGTTAACAATTCAAATGTCTTCAGGTATAGAGGTTTTTGCAGCTACTTCCATGCTTCAGCACAGAATGGTATGGTATTTTTCTGTTTATTTCATTGGGCTGCTTCTAAGATTTTTTTTTTTTTTGAAGAACGGGTTTCAAAGGTTAAAAAATACAAAACAAGTTAAAAACAACCTGTTATTTTACTAGCACAAACTGAGGAGAGAAACTAGAGGAATAAGGTTGAATTAGCTAGACAAAGCTCTGTGGAGTGGGTTGGTAAATTTGAATGGCCTTTGTTGATATTGAGAGGCACAAGCTGGCCATGAGGTCTAATTGGAATTATAACTTGAATCCTAAAGAGCTTGCATTGTTGTCGTTGTCAAAAGACAAAATTACAACAAACTTAGTTATAGTTCTTTCTTACTCACAGTTCATGAATCAGGACAGCTGCCGTTCTACAAAATAGAATGAGAGCTCCCACTGGGCACTGGCAGAGCGGTGGGTTTTGTAAGGTGGGGACAAAGAAATGAAGCAACAGTAAAAAGCTGACTGGTTAATGTTAAGTTAATTTTTAAATGAAGGTTAAATCAGAGAGGATCCACTTATTACACTGACTCAGGGAGCCTGAAATCTCCTATTTTCAGGAAAAACTGTTTTTTTTTTTTTTGCGGGGAGGGGATCTATCTGCTTCCTTAATGTTTCAGTTTGATTATGTGTCATTCAGCATGAGTCACTCCATTTTGGTTTGCACTAGTGTTGTGCACTAGTGTTGCACTAGTGTTGTGGCCTAATGTAGGAACTCAGTCCAAAGCAATAGCCTCTCATGATCTTTGATTAACAGGTCTTTATTGTGTCTCTTCTGGCGTGTCTGGGCTCCTCTCTTCTTCAGCTATCTCCTCCCCTATCTCCTCCTCCTTTTCTTTTCCCTTGCCTTATTCTTCTGTGTTGTCCTGCCTTGCATTACTAAACTCTCAATCCTACGTGCCTGACCAAAGAGCTGATCATGTTAACCCACAATTATCTGAACTTCCACCAAGGGAAAGCATATATACCCTAGGATTAGAGATGGGAAACGTGCCTGAGATGAAAATATTTAAGTAAGGAAGAAGGGTTGGGGCTAGGGTTCTCCTACTTTGTTCCGCACTACCCACACACATGTAGTTAAAGTTAAAAAGGTTGCTTGTACTCTCTGATACAATTTGGGAGAACATTGAACTTACTGGAAGATTCGTTAGTGCCACATTCAGTCACCAGGTTAGGCATAGAAGGAACAGGGCCTTAATATTAATACATTGATTATTTCCTATGTTAAGAAATTCTGGAAATTCAACGCTGTAGTACTGCCATCCTGTGTAGATCAGACTGACTAGGCCGGGATTTCCAAAAGTATACTTTTATGAGTGCGTGTGATGTTGATACAGCATGGTATTGTACACTGCATTTCAATTTCTTTTCATATCATTTGGGGACATCCATATGGGTCTTGTTGAAAAAAAAATTACATTTCCTTGTGGCCAAATTACAAGAAAAATAAAATACAAAGTTTTAGGTAAGATATTAAATAGATATTAAATATTGAGTTTATATAAAACATCCAAATAATTTTTTAATAATATTTTAATAAGCTTCATTTTATGAGAATACTGTTTTGTATAAGGTTTTCTTGCTTGAACAGCTACAAGTAATTTTTGAAGAAGGCAATTTAATGGTGATCCCTTTTAATTCTTTATTATCACAAATAGCATTGGATATAAGGAGTGTGTATATTACTGTTTTCTTCATTTGACTGCTTCTTTCTTGCTAGCAACCAGAATTTAGTTTCTATAAATTATAGGTCAAAGGACTTGTAGTTCTGTAACTCTCATGATTTTGATTTGTTTTTTTTCTTTTCAGTGAAACTATAATGTTGAAAATATTTGTGATAATGCATGCATATGGATTTATCAGTTTTTTATATTGTTTTCCAAAAATAATGATGATGCTTTTCTTCAATTATAGTCAGATATTGTTCTTCTAGTGTTAAAAATTTTCTTTCAGAATTCAAATAAAATGCTGGTTTAACATAACCAATCAACCATTTCAATCTCCCTTTTTAAAGTTGAGTTTTTCTGAATCCATAAATTTGGTCATTAAATATTAACATAATTTTACATGTTGCAATTTACATTTTGCATAATTCACATTCTTGCAAATTTCAGCTAAGTTCATTCCAGTGCTAAAAAAATGAGAAGTCGATTTTTGAAAGCAAAGTTGAAAAGTACTTTGGATCTAGTGATAGTGTTGTGCTTTCATAACTAGCCTCTTGAACTCCAGCTAATACTGTTGTAAATACCTTATAGAAAATTTTTGTTCCATATCTTGCCCTTGCACACATTTAAAGTTCAAATATTTCCTGTACGGATAGTTGCTTTTGACAAGGTACCAGTGTAGTATGTGACAATTTGTTTAATACCTTTGCATGCAAATAAATAATAAGTTTGGAAGAAAAAGGAAGTATCAGGGCCCACAAATAGACATTTGAGAGAATCCTCATGTTGCTCTTTAGTCCTGTCAGCTTCTGTGGTGGATTCTTCATTTGTGTTATAAATCTGGTGACTTCAATTTTAATACACTCTTCCTAATTGTGGTGGGAAAATAAATGTCAAGTAAAAATTAAATCTGTTTAAGCATAAAGTTCTCAACAGAAATGACAATCTTTACAAATTTAGCAAATTAATTTTCTGATTATTAGACTATTAAGTTTCAGTTAATTGAACAATTAAAAATGTTTAACCTTTATAAAATGTGATTTTAAATTTTAAAGGCCTACAGTGTCTTTAATAAATCAATTTAAATGAATTAGGCTCAATTATTTTTATGAGAAATAAAAATTTGCTGAAACAAACAATAATCAGTATAAAATTCCCTCAAACCCACTCTGGCTAATTTTAAATATCAGAAGCTGATAAAAACATAAGTAAATCCAGAGGTTTTAGTCTAGAAAATTAACAACACCCGTTATCTTCTAAATATCAATATCTAAAAAGAAAAATGAGAAACAGCAACAGCAATCGGAAGTGATTTCTAGATGAGTAATCACAAAGATAAGCACGTTAAAGGGAAAGAACAGGAAATAACTTACATGCACTAACAAACAGAAAACGTTTATTGAAAAGTAAATCACAGAGCAGTGGAGGTGATTGAACAGGTAGATGCTGTGTTTTATTCCAATAAAGTCTTCATCTGCTGAAGTAATAATTGTCAAATTCAGAAAGTTACATACAAATAGTGTTCGAATGTAATTTCAACTATTTAAATTTTGGAATAATTGCAAAAATGGCTTTAAATTTTATCACCTCACACATTTGACAGCTATCAATATGTCAGGGCCCACCTGTGCCTCATTTGTTGCCCCTGGCTGAGTTACTCTGGCCTAGTGGGGAAGCAACGGGACAGGGGTGTGGGACTTCCTGGGTTTGAAGCTAGGCTCCATGGCTTATTTGTTAGGTGATCTCAAGTAAGTTACTTTGTGCCTCAGTTTCTTTATCTGTAACGTGATGATAATAGCCTACTACACTTTTGGCTGGCATGAGGATTAAGTGAGGACACATATTTCATCCCTGAACAATGTCTAATGTAGAGTATGTTCTCAACTAGGGTGGCTCATTTTGATCCCTACTACCACTAGTAATAGTAATCCATGAAAATAGGGCCTGTGGTCAAATGATAAATGTTGAATTAGGGCAAAAGTAAGCAGCTGTTCTAATTACAGAATTATAGTACTTAATATCCTTCTAATATGCATTGTGAATCTCTGAGCGGTGGCAGAGCCATAGTGTATAGTGTTTTCTAAATTTACATAGCCGTACGATAATTATTTTGGCCCAAGGATCTCATGTGGACACTGCTGTGCAGAAGACATTTTGGAAAACACCAGCCTCGTGGCATCCCCAGACTAAATGAGCCTCTGCAACATCCTTTTAATAAGAAGGTCCTTTCCAAAGTCCAGTCCCAGCCCTGGCCCAGATCCTCCTATTTGGAAGCATAGGCTTATGCTCTGTGTCAAGGCTGATTTATCAGATGGTAAAGCTTGATAGAACTATAATAAACACTCTTCTTGATCATGCTAAGTAATTTTAAATCATCTAACACTTTAAATCAGCCTCAGATTTTTCTTGCTTCTTTGAAGACCTCTGCCAGAGAGAACATTTGGAGCACTGGCTCCCTCAGACACCCTTTGGGTTGCATGTGAATATTTCCATCGTATTTGAATCTGTTTTCAAAATAAAGCCTGATTAGAAACTACTTTAAATGTCTGACCAGAGTCCAAACACCCTCAGAAGTCTTTGTGAAATGTCATCCATGCCCGGATCCCTTATGTATTTATAATATTCCTGCTGTATCTTTTTCCCCTGCACTGTTATGTTTTAGATATTCATCCCCTTCTTCTCTCCAGGAAGGAGTGTGCAACTAATATTAAACACAGAGACAGCCTTCCTGAGCAGCTGCCAACAGATGCACAGCCCTTGGGCCAAGTTCAGCTGTCAAACAGCCCTGGCCCATGAAACAAAGGGCAGAAGCTTCCCAACCACATGCGGATGAGCAGAAACAGCTGCATTTGCTGTAGCCAGGGGCCCAGCATCCAATTCCTGTGATTCTTAATAAAAAAATACCAAGCACATGGAAAGGGAAAATTAAATACTATTCTGACAAATACCATAATTGCTAACATCATCTCCCAGGAAGGCAGCATGGCAGATAACCCCTATTCATGAGCCTTTGTCCCATTGCGACAATCAGTGCTCAACACACTGCATTTTAGCTTTTTACTCAGTCAATGGCCTGGCAAGAGAATTGTCTTTTTTTCCCTGGAGCTTGAAAATGGAGTATATGAATTTGGGAGCATATGAAGTTGGTAGGACTAGCTCCTGGAGGTAAAAGTACCTCAGATTATACATAACAAGTGATTATATTTCAATCAGCAACATCTACCGTAAAATACATAAGCCTAGGGGCACTTAAGAAAGCATATAAACCTGGGTTTGAATATGGTGGTAGCACTCAGCTGTGTCCTTCAGCAAGTTTGTTAACCCATCAGAGAGTTAGTTCTCTCAACTGTGAACTGGGCTGATGTGAAGATTGAAAGAAATAATACCTGTAAAACCCTTAACAAATGTCTGAATACAGTGAAAGCTCAATAGGTGTTATTTTTATTATATATCTATTTGCTGGTCCAATAATTTTTATAAGACCAGTATGACTTCTCCACCAGAGACTGACCAGGAAAGAATGCCTTCTGAATGACCTCTCTTGCAGCAATAGCACGGTAGGACCTATGTTTTCCTCGAAGGGTTAATTTCTCATTCTCTGGCTATGTCTAGCACTAACAGTTCCATTAGAGAATCTCTTGCCCTCATGATCTTGTTCTGCATCTGGTAAGCTCCCCACATTTGTTCCCCTCTTCACATGTCTTTTGCAAAATGAGCTTTCTATTGGTGGTTGGCTCTGCCCCACACTTTCTTGCCTTTATAACTCTGTGTAGGCATTTTCCATTCTACTTCCTACTTCCATCAGCTATAGAAGGCCCAACACCCATTTCAGCTCTACTCCACTCTAGCACAGTAATTGTAGCAGGGGTTTTCCTAATTTCCTTGAGGGAAGAAGGAGAGAGAAAGCAGAGGCAGGTAAAGGGCCCTTGAGAGGGCTCCCTCACGAGCTCCACACCTGTAATCAATGCCAGAAGACTCAATGCACATTCAGAGGCCACCGGTGTAGACTGGAGGCAGCCGAGAAAGACTTTGTGGAGGAGGCAAGATTTGAAGAATTGATAGAACTTGGCTTATGGAGAAGCAAAGGGGGAGAAGAGGGAGAAGGTGAGGAGAAACAATTCCTGAGTATTAGAAAAAGGTCTGAATTTGGAGCTTTAAGATCTAGGTTTGTGATCTTGGGCAAGGTACCTAAAAACTCTGAATTTTAGTTAATCCATGATGTATATATGGGGGCGGGGGGTAATGTGAACTCAGAAAACTTGTGTGAGAAGGTGCTTAAAAATTAGTTGAATTGAATTTTATAGAAGAGACACTAGTAGACGTATTTAGTTGTAAGATTTTTATTGTGATATTAATGCTGCCACGCTAATAGGGTTTAAAGATGTAGTTGAATCCTGTTATAAAACAAGCATCATGTCAGATCCATAATTAGCATTAAAGTATTCATTGAGTGCCCATTATGCCCTGGCAAGCTCATACCTCAAAATTGTGTTCTTTTACTTACATATGATTTATACTAGGGTGTTTTATGACTTTCAAAGAAATTTGCCTTATCAAGGAAACCAATTATACCTGATGGACTCCTGCATACTCATGTTTTTCAATTTAAAATTATCTTTGATTCTACTGATGATCAGAAAATTTGTGAAAATTTTAGAAAGTCCAAACTTTTAAAGTTTGGAAAATACAATGAAGAAATAAAAAATCAGAATGAACTGTTTCCTACTCAAATTTTCATTCATAACATAATCTTTGGAATATTATTAATGGATTTATATTATTCCAAAGTGTGGGTATCTTGTAATTTATGAATATCTCATCTGTTCCAAGCTTTTGCTATTGTAATTAAACTTGCAATGGATATCCTTTGTATAAAAATCAGTCTATAATTACTTCCTTTCTTTGCATCTCCATGAAGGGAGGAGAATGTTTCTTCCTCATTTATAGGCTCAACAGCCCAACTTGACCCTCCAGTTTGTCACACACATCTTTTCTGCAGGATAAGAAATATCAGTTTCCTTGCACACTAGCAGAAGTGGTTCATTTCCACTGGAAACTTACCAGAGGCATTCTCCACCAGATACTGCATTTCCTTAGGAAAAGTTTTACCTATTTTGCTGAGAAGATTTTACTCACTGAAGCATAAAAATACATGCTCTCAAGATGAATACATGTCAGGTAAGTTCTAGAAGGATTAATTTTCAGTTATTTAATTCTGGAATTTAATTAGATCACCTTGGAAGGCAAATTTAAAGAACATTCTTAGACAAGGTATTCATAATTCGAAAAGGATTTTCCTAAGAACTGATAAGCATGGTGGTGTCTTTCCCTTTAGTGCTTTTTCCTGGGGGCATTTAGAATTCATGGAAAACAGTTGTCAAACCTCAAAAAATGGACTAATGAATGAATATAAGCTCAAAAAATGGACTAATGAATGAATATAAGCTTTTACTCAAGAATTAGGAAGGATTAACATCCTTTTGCTCATTCTGTGACCAGATGTCTTGTATAGGGTTATATATATTTCATTTCTGTTTCTCTGGTTAAGGGCATCAGTTGAAAGTGTTTGTTACAGCTGAATTGACTTGTGCATTCATACTCTAAATATTATTTTAAAATATCTAATTAATATATTATTCACCGAGCGACTCTTTTTTAGTAGAAGCTATCACATCAGAAACTCTTTATTCTGACAAAGTGACATATTGTATAATTTTATTCCCAAAGCTAATTTTTTTATTTTAAGACATTTCATGAGATGTTAAAAGCCCCTAGTGAAGACTGTTAAATGAGCCATTAAGGTTAGGTTATCAATGATCAACTAACCAAACTATCTTAATTTTCTTTTGATTGAATAATAGTAACAGCAACGGTAGGAACACACATATGTGCAACTAAAAAATAAATAAAAGTAAGGACAAACTAAAAAATAAGAATTATGCAATGGGCATTATTTAACTTTGAAAATGTCCTATAAGATTTCAAGGGAAAAAGTAAATAAAATGTATATGCACGTGCTTACATTTTCTGGAAACTTCTGGGAGCAACTATTTTGCATTTCAATATATTTTTATTTAATATAAAACTAAAAAGTTGTCTTAAATAGAAGTTAAAAGCAGTTTGCTTTCCATACGCAATTCATTATATCAAATTGGATAGTGTTCTTGGCTCAGTCAGCAGCAGCAGCAGCAACATTGAGTGCCCTTGGGTGTGGCTCTGTATTAGGGTACAGCTAGTAAAATTGTCATTTGAGATAGAGAAATAGTGTCATCTCTTAAGAAATATGCTATTTTCATTTAACAAATGTTTGTTGGGCATCTATAAGCTGTCCAGATGCCATGCTAAGCACTGGGGACACAGGTATGAGCAGCATATACATGATCCTGGCTTTCCAGCCCTTAGGTTCTAGTGGACACTAAGACAAGCACACAGGTACTATGAGAAATAGTAGAAAGCTCCTGTGCTCCAGGAAATTAGAACTGAAAACAGTTTGTAGTGCCAAGTAGACAGGTGGAAAATATGTGTTTAATAAGGAATTAGCATAAAATATAGAGATACACTCAGTGTGCATTCCTATACATTCAAATACAGGAATGCACAGTGGCAGCAAAGTGTGGTGGTGAGCAGATGAACTCTGGGCACAAATTGCCCAGTTTCAATCCCGGCTCCACTATTCCTATAAGGTAAGTGGAGCAAGTTACCTTTTGCTCTGGAAGCCAGGACAGGGATGGTGGGCAGAGAGAGAAAGGGCCAGAGAGCGGGAAGTGAGGACTGCTGGAGTATAATTAAAGCAAAGCAGGTATAGTGGTTCCAAGAAGAAAAATTTCTTTCAAGAAGAAAAATCCAGAAGAATGGCTTGTGCAGCAGGTGGCGTCACACAGCATGTAAGAGAGGGACTTACTTTAATGCTGGTAGGAACCGGTAAGAGGACATAGAAACCCAGAAAGATAAGGGTACTTGCTCGAATCTCTCAACCAACAAGTTCAGAAATCTCATGTAGGACGTGGTGAGGTTTATCAAAATGGGGCATGGGATGCAATGAAGTAGCAGAGACACTCAATAATTTCGACTTGGAAGACTGGAGGATTCATTACCATAAAAAAACTGAACATGGGAAATGAATTATAATAAAAATATAATGACTGGGTGTTTAGTTTGAATAAAGAATAGAACATCACTGTGTAATAATCGCTGAGAGGTTTACAGGTCAAATGGAAGATTGTTCTGCAAGAGAAAAGAAAGGTAAACACTGCAAGCAACTACAGGCCATGAACGATGGTAAAATCGATGTGGGAGACAGAGCACTGAACTGGGAGTCAGGATACCTGGCCTCTACTGAATTTTTAGCAAATAACAGACTTTTCCTGCACCCTAGTTTCCTCATCTGTAGGCATTACATAAACAAATATTTTCATTTATGTTTCTGTGAGCTCAAGAACATTGCCTGGTATTTCATATTATTAAGTGCTTAATTTTCTATTTTAGTGAAAGTATGCTGCAAGAATTTAGAGACAGTGGCAGGTAAATAAAGACAGCAATAAGGCAAAAAAAAAAAAAAAAAAAACCCAGCAAATTGTCAATAAAAACAGTAGTTAAAAGCTGATTTCTGGAGGCAGACTGCCTGAGTTCAGATCCTGGCTCTCTGCAGTGTGATCTTGGGCAAGTTACTCAACTTCTTCTGCCTCATTTTCCTCATTTATAAAATGGGAATAATAATATTATCTTCCTCATAGTATTTGTGGAAAGATTAAACAAGTTAATATCTATAAAGCTGCTTAGAGCAGAGCCTTTTACATAGGGAGTGTGCAAAATTGCTATTAAGCTTCACTGAGGAGATGAAACTCACTTGAGCTGGATATTAAAGAGAGAAAGGTTTGGAGAGATATTTCAGGCCAGGGAAGCAGCATGTGAAAAGGAAGAAGCAAGCATGAGTTTGACAGTTGTGCATGGAAGATAATCGTGTCACTTTCTAGGGGAGAAAGAAACCAGGATGAATAATGGAGAGCATTTATTTCTAGTACAGAGGTTCCTGCTACAAGGATTAGGAAATCCGGTCATACCTACATTGTGCCTATCTCTGTAAAGAGACAATGGGACAATACTGGAGGTTTTCAAAAGGGAGTGACATACCATGGCTTTGGAGTAGCTGGGTCTGATAGGCACATTCTGATTGAGTATACATTACTGAGGTCATTTGGCCAGGGTTTTCTGCAAGAGTAAGGCAAAAGATAATGAATATTTTTAGAAAATAGTAGTTTCAACATACTCCAAAAGGTTTGGTATTAGTGATAGAATGGGCCAGGGTTTAAGCCATGAAAGAAAAGCCTTCTCTTTGGGCCTTTTCATCTAAATTACAGGTGGTATTGGGGTCCCTGGAGAGAGTTCATTTTGTAGTGAAATGCTATGTTTTGTGTGGAGAAGTTTTCTATCAGCGCTTTTGTGAAATTTGGAGGTCTTTAAAAAAATCTGTCTAAGTAAATGGTAACTAGGTAATTTGGGAGAGGAACAAGTATAGTAATCTCACTGAAAAAGTTACAGTTTTATTTGCTAAGGATTATAGAAATAGTAAAAAAAATGTGAACGTTTTCATGGGCTATTACATGTATGTCTTTGTTATAAAATTTTATTGCTTAAAAGATGTCCTCATCCACAGCCATGTCACCTGAGCCTGTGCAGTGCTAGTATTTGAGCAGATGCTGAGTTTTCATTTTGCTTCAAAGTCCATTAATTCAGAACTCTTTAAGAGTGCCTTTAAAAGTTCAACCACATTTAACTCATCTTATCTACCTTTGCATTTCCCATCCCAGTTGACTAAAGTTTTTTATACTATAAGTGATCACATGTTAAGTAAGATCTGTAAATACTGCTTTAGCTCTGGGAAATTGTTTGAAAGCACTTTAAAACATGGAGTCTTTCTCCATTATTGTATTTCTTTCTGTATTTATTGCCTATCATCTTAAAAAAATCTGAAAACTGAAGCTATGACAAAATAATGAATTTGAACATATCACAAGTTGATAACTAAGATAAAGAATGTTCTTTTATAAGACATTGCAAAGGGAGGTTTTATCCTCTGTAAGTATGCCAAAAGAATCTACTTGGTCTCAGGTGTTGCCATTGGATGTCAACAGTGATAGGCCATTTAAAGATAAGGCCATAAACTGATATCTAGAGAACTTTTGATTAATTAGCAGCTGGAGGATAAATGCAAAGAAGCTTCTTGAGTGTCTAGATAGACTAAAGTTTGCTGGATGAGGTAGATAGAGACATCCTTCTGGTGGTTTCTCTATTGTCTGAGAAGCAAATGCTAACTGAATATATAGATAGACATTACACACACACAGAAATTTTTACCTTCTCTCTTTTCACAACCTTGCTATTGCCCTTTGGCAATTTCTTCTTCCTTTATATTGGACAAGACTGATCCTGATATCATTTGTATTAGTCAGTGTCCAGTCAGGAAAATATAAACCATATCAGATATTTTAACAGAGGAAAGTTATTAGAGGAAATTGGCCAAACAAGTACTGAAGGACTAGATTTGAGATTTTACAGAGCTAGTTATGAAGGAAGCAGCTACCACTTCTAAAGTGGTGGTGGGGTGGGAGTGGGGCAGGGAGAGAAGATGTTTGGGGTTCTTAGGATGAAGAAACCTGGAAAAGGTGCCTGTGAAACTGAAGTCCAGACCTTTGGATGGAGGGGCTCTGTTTAGCTGGTAGCACTATATCAGAAGCTCAGAGAAGGGACACTACAGAATTGGGGCCTACACCTCTAATGAGAGTGTTGCTTATACTATTTTGGGGATGCTGCAACAAAATACCTTAGACTGGGTATCTTGTAAATAAGGAAATTATTTCTTACAGTTCTGAAGGCTGAGAAGTCCAAGATACAGGTGTCAGCAGATTCAGTGTCTGGTGAAGATCTGACTCCTGGTTTGTAGATGACTGTTTTCTTGTGTCCTCATAAGGTAGAAGTGCAAGAAGTCTCTCTCGGGCCTCTTTTATGAGGGCACTAATCCCATTCATAAGGGCTCCATCCTCATGATCTAATCACCTCCCAAAGGCCCCACCTCCTGATATCTTCACCTTGGAGGGTTTTGAACATATGAAACTTAAACTCTGGATTTTGGAGAGACACAAATATTTAGACCATAGCAGGGTACTTTGCCACCACTTCAACTATCTATGAGGGGTCACAATGAGGCTGGTTTGGGAACACTCAATGAGACGCAGGAAATGGAACCAACTGCTATTGCCAGGATGAAAGGCCATTGTTGAGGTGACACCTGCAGGAATGTGAGCAAAACTGGAAGAAACAAGTCCTTTGTTTCTCCTCCAGCCTCTAATAGGTTAATTACAGCACAAGAATTTTAACTAAGCGTTACTGTTATCAAAGCATGCTGATAGAAGGACCTTGGAGACCCTCTCACCATACACAGACATATATATATATAATATGTATATATGTGTGTATATATACATATATATGCATACACATACATATATACATACACATATACATATACATGTACATGTACATGTGTACATGTACGTATACATGCACACGTGTATACATGTAGGTATACACGTGTATACATGTAGGTGTACACGTGTATACATGTGTACGTGTATACATGTGTATGCATGTGTACATATACGTGTGTATGCATGTACGTGCGTATACATGTGTATGCATGTACGTGTGTATACATGTACATGTATACGTGTATACATGTACATGTATACGTGTATACATGTACATGTATACGTGTATACATGTACATATACATACACATGTACATATACATACACATGTACATATACATATACATACACATACATATACATATACACATACATATGCATCTATATATATATGCATATATATAGATGCATCTATTTTATAGATGCATCTAAGAATAGGGTCAGTGGTGAACCATAAACTAGAATGATGAGTATGATTCAGGAAAAAAAACCAAAAACTAACATCACTCTTGTTCCCATTATGGGTCTATAATTTTATTAAGTTATTCAGAGATAGCATCTCAGTTAATAATTCTCATTTAATAATCCCAACAGCCTTGTTAGAGAAGTGGGATAATTTCCATATCGAAAATGAAAACAATCAGACTCAGAGGATTTAAGTAATTTCAGTCAGTCAGTAAGTAGCGGATAGGATTCTGGCCAAGGTCTGTTTAACAACAAAGGACATGTTTGAACTCTCATCCCCTTCAATGGAAAATAAGGCAAAGCCAAGAAGCCAAAAGTACAGGCACCCAACAAAGTGGGAGGCACAGAACAAGGGGGAGGGCAGGTATGAACATCCAGAGCGACTTTGATTCTAGGGAGATGCTCACTCGTCTACGGAAGGTGTATTGTATTCAGTTTCTGTACTTCCGGTCTTCACTCTAGCCTTGCCTTCTGGATTGTTCTACCAAGTACTTTGGCTTTTCTCATAGTCTTTCAAAAATTGTTAATATTATTTTGATTGACCAGTCATAATTGTACACATTTAAGGGGTACAATATGATACTGTGATATATGTATACAATATGAAATTATTAAATCAAGCTAATTAACATATCCATCACTCCAACTACCTATCATTTTTTATGGTAGGACATTTGAAATTTACTCTCATTTTGAAATGTGCAACACATTGCTGACTATAGTCACCCTAATGGGCAATAGATCTCAAAACTTATTCTTCTGCCTGTCCTATTTGAAACTTGGTACCCTTTGAACAACAGCTCCCTACTTCCTCCCTCCCCCTCCCCTGCCAGGCTTTGGTAACCATCATTCTATTCTCTACTTCTGTAAGTTTAATGTTTTAAGATTCCACATATAACTGAGATCTCAAACAAACTCAAATCAGTATGTCAAAGGAATATCTTCTGTCTTAGTCTGTTTTCTGCTGCTACAACAGAATACCACAAACTACGTAATTTATAGAGAAAAGAGATGTATTTGGCTCACAGTTCTGCAGGCTGGGAAGTCCAAGGTATGATGCCCATATCGGGTTGGCCTGGGGAGGTTGTTCTTGTTGCATTGTCCTTTGGTGGAAAGCAACTGAGCATGTGAGACAGGGAGGAAATTGGGCCAAACTAATTATTTTATTAGGAGCCTATTTCTGTGATAACTAATCCCATGATAATGACATTAGTCCATTCAGGAGGGTAGAGCCCTAGTGACCCAATCATCACCTAAAGGTCCTACCTCTCAACATTGTTAAGATTACAGTTAAATTTCAACATAAGTTTCAGAGGAGACACTGAAGACACAGCATCTGCATTCCCATGTCCATGTAGCTATTCACAATAGTCAAGACATGGAACCAACCTTAAGTGTCCATCAATGGATGAATGGATAAAGAAAATGTGTTATACATATGCAATGGAATACTATTCCGCTTTAAAGAATAAGAAAATCTATTATCTAGCACAACATTTATAGATCTGGAGGACAACATGCTGAATGAGATAAGCCAGGAACAGAAAGACAAATCCCATAGTCCTGAAGTCAAATTTTTGCTGCCACAAACTGACGCGTCCATGGTGGCAGCTATCCCTGATCTCTCATGCTATTCATGGGTATGATACAACAGTGGCCAACTTCATTCTCATGCTTTTCACTTCTTGCCTCCCACCTTGGGGGTTTTCAATGACTGCTTAGATATGAGACACCAGGGCACATGCTCACTCCTCATGCATGTGTAATCCAGAAAGGGCAGGGAGTTAACACCCTTTGGAGTGAACTTTGAGCAAGGGCTGTTAGAATGTGTAGATGCATTTTTCTCCCTTCCTCTCCCTGGATGAACTCTTCACATTTATAATAACGTCAGTTGGCCTCTTTGAAGATGTCCTGCAAGGCTAGGCAAACAGCTTCGCTAAGCTGGACAACTCTATAGTACACTCCATTATATTTGTTTCCCCTTACACTCCTTTTCCTTCACTTCTGCTGTTTTGGGACTGCGCCATCTCCCAATAAAATGTTAGCACAAGATGCTTTTGCAAAGGCTTTTTTTTTTTTCTGGGTTAAGAGCAGGGACTGGGCTGTGAAGGAGAGCCATAGGCTAAGATGATAGGACCCACAATTTTCTTAGTGTCTGGTAGTAATCCCAGGTATCCATCAGTTCAGGAAGGTAGGTAGAAACTATAAGTAGATTAAAACAGGGTAGCAAGAAGGACTTCTGAAAAAGTAGTGAGAATAGATCTGACAGCTTCCACCTTTATGGAATGAAAGCTTCATCCTGTAGATTGGTTCTTGTGATGCTTATTTAAAATAAATTTCCTTAAATGAGGCCCAACATGAACCAATTCTCCACCCCTGTGAAAATTTTCTATTGCCAGTTTGAACTTCTATGGGTGATCATACAATCGCATAGCTTCTGAGGAGCTAACTTTCACTCAGAACTTAGGATTCATCTGTTGTCACCTCCTCTGGGGAGAACTCACTGGCCCCTCTCCTTTCTGCCAGCTGTTGAGAATATTAGGGTTCCCTCTTCTGTGTTTCAGAGGTATTTTCTCATTTCTATCGTGGCACATTTTATGCTGTTTCTGCACAATGCAGAGAGATCCTGAAAGCAGAGAATATGCCTTAGCCACTGCTGAATTTCTAGAAACTAACAGAAGCCTGCCACACAGTAGCCATTTAACATGGATTGATTCCATTGACTAAATTAAAGAATTCATGAGGAGCTCTGATCATGGCCTGAGGTTTGCAGTTACCCTATTGAACAAATCCCAGAAGAGAATTTGCGGAATTAGGTCTACATGTAATACACATTTACCCACATGATGAAATAAGATGACAAGAGCTTTGTGGTATCAAAATATCTATGTCTCTGACAATTTTCACAACTTTACTTAATTATATTAGGGTTAAGTATTGGAAAGCCTTGATACAATGCTAATTTGGAAGCATTATACCAAAGTGTTAGATCAGATTAGCCCCAGTTCTCTTCTAAATAGTTCCAGAAACCAGATTTGGACCCAGTCAGCCTAACGGCAGTAAAAACCAAGACCTGTCTATCATGCTACACTGCTTTCTTCAGATGACAGGGGCCTTAAGAGCAAAGTAAGATATTGATTGGCCTCCAGGATCCAGGAAAAACAAAACAAAACAAAACAAAAAAGCCAGAAAGAATACAAGGTGAAGGCAAGACTGAAAGGAAAATAGTTTTGATGTACTAGGAAACAAAATCATTGAATCTGAAACACTGTTGTCTTTGGAATATCCTGAGAGAAAGGAGCCCAACACAGGTCATTTGGCTGGAAGGAAGATCAAGGCAGGAGTCCGTCTGGTGCGTGGGGTTCTCCATGGGAGACTGTCAACAGCTAAGGGCAGCGGAGGGCAATGATGAATGCCTCAGAGCCGAGGGCCACAGAAAAGGCACTGGGAACACTTTCCATGCACTTCATACCTATGACTGAGAGGATGGCCTAGGCAACCTGCTTTAGGGTGGAAACTATAGTTACAAAGATGAGCAGTCACTTAATTTACTAATGAATGACCCCAGGTCTCATAGCTTTTCTTTAGGAAGGATTATATAGTAGTTAAAAAGTGCATGGTTCCCAGATATAGAAAAATCTGGGTATTCACCTTGGCTGTACCATTTACTGTGTGAACATCTCAGGCTACTATCTTTACCTCCATTTGTCTCAGCTGGCACCTCCTTAAAGCAAAAATAATAATATTACTTCAGAGGGTTATTGTGGACATTAGAGAAATATATGTGAAACACCTGTCCAAGTAGCAATGGTGAGTGTGCAATGAATACTAGTTGTTTATCATGTGATTATTAGTCTAATTCTTGCAAAATGTCCCAGCCTTTGTGTTTTGATGAACAAGAATATATTTTTAAAAAATTAAAAAATTTTGTTGTCCTCATAATATAGACATCTGCTCCCTGGGACCTAAAAAGCAATCCATAATTTTCCAAAGCTGCTAAAAAATCTGCCATGTTCTAAATGACCTTTATCAAGCGATCTCCTAGTCTAGAGAGGCGGAGGAGTAACTTGAAGGTGAAATACCCCGTTAGCAATCCCCCAGGTGAATAGAAAATTTAAAATAATATTCTAATGATTCATTGTACATTACTACGCCCCATTAGGTGTCTACATTACATCTTGGGGCACAATCAATATCTGTCATCCTGCTTATGGTTTTGGTGCTAGAGCGGTTCAATTTCATTTTGCAACTCTCATGCTCATGAAGCTGTATCTCGGGTGTCATATGATAAAATATTACTCAGAAGTACGTATTCAGTCCTAAAGCATAGTGGGAAATAATTGATGAAGAAAGTGTCTTTCCATCTGGTCAAACACCATTAAAGTGAGGATACGATTTATATGAGAAAAAACGAAGATTGATATTCCTTTTTTTTTTTTTTTTTTTTGAGACAGAGTCTCAATCCATCCCCTAGGCTGGAGTGTAGTGGTGCAATCTTGGCTCACTGCAACCTCTGCCTCCTGGGTTCAAGTGGTTCTCCTGCTTTAGCCTCCCGAGTAGCTGGGATTACAGGCACGCACCACCACGCTCAGCTAATTTTTGTATTTATTTTATTTATTTTATTTTTTTAGTAGAGACGGGGTTTATCATATTGGCCAGGCTGGTCTTGAACTCCTGACCTTATGATCTGCCTGCCTTGGCCTCCCAAAGTGCTGGGATAACAGGCGTGAGCCACTGCACCCAGCCAAAAGACTGATATTTTATGAAACTTTTTGGTAAATCCACGTGAGAGAGAAAGTTTTTATTCTGTACTCAACATAGTTCCATTACAAGCATTTTTCAAACATTTAAACTGGATTGCTACTTACAAAATTTTAATATAGACAAGACTAGTTCATGAACATATCCCCTTTATAAATACAGGTACCAGTACGTAGACATATATTTCTTGTATTTAAAATTTAAAAAATCATACTACATTTTAGAATATGGCAAAGCTTAAGAGATTCCAAAACAGTCATGGATAAGTAATAAGTCACTTGTCATTGTTCTATACAAAATTAATGAATGAGTTAAGTAACCTATGTTTTGAGCTGTTTCCTTTCAGAATTGAAATGCCAAAGGAGTGACCCTCTTTTTCTCATGTGGGTGCACACAAGCATACTCCAATCGAAATATCTTCCCCACACATTCTACCATGTGGTAGTACCTAGTAAGTACTAACCTACTCACTAGGTTAGTAGAGACTTGTATTAGAATTCAGACATCCTTGGGAGGGTTAAACCCACGATCAAGTGACTCATACTTTCACATGAATTTTTGAAAACTTTAAATGTATGATTTCTATGCAAATTGAGATCAGACTAAGTGTGAATTCTACTTAAAAGAGAGGATTTCGGAGTACTGTGGAATAGGACATGCCAAGGCCCTTGCCACAGCTTGAGACAGACAGAAGATGACATAAAAGTGCGTGTGTGTCTGTGCAAGTGTGCGTGTGCATATGTGTGAAGTATAAAGGGCCCATGGAGGGCTATAGAGATAGATGGATAAGAGTTGAAAAATGGATTTAACTTGGACTGCTCTTCTGTTCAAGATGCTTTTGGCTGCTGCACCCTTTGCAATGGCTCTGGAAAATCACCAATAGCATGGGGCTTCATGCACAGATGCTCTAAGTGCTACTCGACTTACCCAACTTTATAAAAGGAGGGATGTGCACAGCTAGTACATCTGTGATATTTGCTTTGGGATCAGAAATACTAAGTGGGACAGTGGTTTTCTTTGATATAGGGAGATGTTCACCTTAAAAATGACTGGAAAAGTGGCTTGATTTGGTCTTCAATATCTAATCATGAAATGGATATACTTTATAACCAGGGTATATAGTTTGGGAGTTTTGACTGATTATAATTTATGTCATTTCTTTTAAAAGGTTGAGAGATTCAAATGCCTTGATACTGATATATCAATGACACGTTGGAGATGCATTTTTTGGGTTTTAGCATACTGAAGTGAAAGTCAGTCAATAGAATATACATTGATTCCAGGGTAAATGTCCCAAATTTGAGAAAAGAGGTTATCCTGAAAGGGGAGAAATTATCTCACGGTCCCAAACAATATGTTGTTTCATTACACTGTTTGTGGGACAAGAAGGGAAGGGGGTTGGATGCAGGATTAAGACAAGTGAAACTGTCACATAGAAACATGAACTCTGGTTGGGACAATCTCAAAATGCTGCAGGTGTTTGTAAAGCTTGCTGAGATTGACTGGGCTCTCCTATTACTTACTTTTGATGCTGGATTTTGTCTGACTTTTGTCCCATAAAAAATAAGACACTAGAAAGGCTTTTTGGTTTTTATAATTATTCATCAGTTTCTATTTTCACATAGCTTTGGAGCACTGTAGAGGATCCCTTGTATATTTTAGAATGCCTATGTGGGGGAAAGAATCACAAGTAGTAAAGAGCTTACCTTGATTTTTGGAATAGATATGTTTTAACCAAGTGTAGTAAAGTGAATATTCTACTTTCTAGTCATTTGTTACAGAATCAGGCACTACTACCTCCCTACTGTCACAGTAAGTAGCTGTAGTCTTTCTATAACTTAGGACTGGTGTGGGGTGATTTTTGATGGGTAAATTTTCAACATTCTTATTTCAGTCCTGAATTTTAGAATTTTGTTGACATACACAGGATTCTTCAATAGCCTTCTATTTAGTCTTCTATTTGCCACTTCTTATTTCCAACTCATCTTATATGTTACTATGAGACAAATGTTCATTAAACATTACTTTTGTTTGTTTTTGAGCAATTGCTTCTTGAAGTGCCAGTTTTCTATTGCTCTTGTGTATAATCCACTTTTCTCTTTCTGGATTTGAAGGTCATCCTCAGTTTTGCTCCACTTGATCTCATGTTAACTTCCTGCCCCTCCTTATCATGAAAAGTACTCCAGCCTGCAACTAAGCCCTTCTCCTCACCCTCTATCGTTGTCTCTATGCCTGCCTTATGCTATTGCTTTTCCCAAGAGTACCCACCCCACCCTCTTCTTCCTCCTTTTTATACCTTACTGAGCTTTAAGTTTCACCTTAATTTCTACCTGTATAATAACAAAGTAGCTTGCATTCATTGAGACTCCACAATAGGCCAGCCACTATTCTCAACACATGTCATGTATATGTTGTTAAATGTTGATATCACCCTATTGGGGAAGATTCTTCCTCTACCCTCTAAGGGTCTCTGGCAGTACCTAAGAATTAAATTAAACTGAGGTGGCTGGGCGTGGTGGCTCATGCCTGTAATCCCAGTGCTTTGGGAGGCTGAGGCAGGCAGATCACAAGGTCAGAAGTTCGAGACCAGACTGGCCAATATGGCAAAACCCCATTTCTACTAAAAATATAAAAATTAGCCGGGCATGGTGGCGGGTGCCTATAGTCCCAGCTACTCGGGAGGCTGACTCAGGAGAATCGCTTGAACCGGGGAGGCAGAGGTTGCAGTGAGCCAACATCGCGCCACTGCACTCCAGCCTGGGCAACAGAGTGAGACTCTGTCTCAAAAAAAAAAAAAAAAAAAAAAAAAGAAGGAAACTGAGGTAACACAGATCAACAGGAGAATATCATACACAATTTGCTAAAATTTTACATATATGTGGAAGTCCTTACAAAACAAAATAAAAAAATATAGACCCAAAGAAGTGACCAAAACAGATAGCTTATATACCTTTTAGACAAAGAAAGGATAAATTTTTAAAGAAATGATAAGACAAAGGGATTTGGGCTAGGAGCAATAAATTGTAGGGAAGTAACTAACAGATATATTGGGGAAAACTAGTAGAAGATAAAGGTTATTTTAGCAAGCTTGTTTGAACAGATTCATTTCAGCATTGATTCCCAGTCTCTGGTGATTAGAGTGTTCCTCTTTTCTTGGTACAGGGAGAGCACCTTTCTCAAATGAAATTTATGTGTTTTTTTTTTTAATGGCCCATTTTTAGGTAGCAAAGGGGAGGTCAGAGACCCCTTCCTGCATCTGCTGTTCCTCAAGTATCTCCAACTCAAAATAATCAATATGCCCAAATAGCATATTTTGAGGTGGCATGTCCTGAACTCCTTCAAACTGTATAAGGTAGTTCTACATCTCCATTTTACAAATAATGGCATCAAGGCACAAAGGAATAAACTCACTAAGGGACACAGTTGTGAAGTCACTCCGCTGGGACACAAAGCCAGCTGCCTGCCCCACACCCTGTTCTCTCTGCCACTCTGCTGCCCTTCCCTTCAGTCTTCTCGGACTCTCCAGCTCATTCTGCTTTCCTCTATCTATGAACTTATATGGTAGCTGTTTTCAAAACCGTACAGTTTATCATTTCATTGTGACGAGTTCATGCATGTTAGTTTTTTCTGAGCAATTACATAGCAAGATATCTTGAAATGATTTCTATGCCTCATTCTACTTTCTTTCCAAAGCAGTCCTGGCTCCTGGTAAGAACTCATTAAATACTTTGTGATTGATAGATAATACAAATAATAGAGATAGGAGGCAGGGGAATTCTGGGCAGAAGAAGGCAGGTCCCCGGCAAGGGCCCCAACCTCAAGCCTGAAACCACAGCCCAAAGTGAGAACATACATACCTGTTTTCCCACTCAAATGTTGCCTTTTCCAAAACCACCCATGGCCTGTCCCACTCCCAATCCTGTGCCCATAAAAACCCCAGAACTCAGCCAGCAGAGAGGAGAAGCAGCTGGATGTGGAAGACTATGGTTAGATGTCAGAGAGAAGTGACTTGACTTCAGAGGGACAGCTTGATGGCATAGCTTTGGAGAGGAATCCGGCCGTTCCTCCTCCATCCCCTTTCCAGCTCCCCTTCCTGCTGAGAGCCACTTTCATCGGTAATAAAATCCCCTGCACTTACCATCTCCAATTTGTTCCTGTGACCTTATTCCTCCTGGATGCCAGACAAGAATTTAGGTGCCATGAGTGCGGGTACAAAAGGCTGTCACACTGACCTTCCACTGAGCTTTTAACACTTAAGCCATCCAGCCATCCACAGATGGCAAAGTTGAAAGGGCACTGTAACACTCCTTCTAGGGCTTCAGGTGTTGCAGGCACCCCCCTAGATGCTGCTGTGGGGTCTGCACAAAGTTTTGCTCCTGCCGGCACCCAAAAACACTCATCCTGGCTCCCGTGTCCACTCACCTGCTCTCCCCCTCCCACAAAAGGTGGAACACAACTGGGCCAAGCAAGTGGAGTCTGACCCTGCCAGCACCAAAGGAGCCAGCTAGCCTGTGAAGGCATCAGGGAAGTATCATGCTTCACAAAGACAGCTCTCCTCCCCTCCTATGATACAAACAATTGTATTGATTTTTGTAATTCACTCTGACTATATAGACCAAGTGCCTTCAAGCACGGTGACATACTAAAAAGTATACATTTCATGTGACTGATCTACAAAGTAGCCCTCAGCTTAGCTGAGAGTTGACTAGCATCCTGCAATGGTTTCTGAGTTGGGCTCCAGTGGGTCTGAATTATTCAGTTTTCTTTTTTTTCTTTTTTTTTCTTTTTTTTTTTTTTTGAGACAGGGTCTCACTCTGTTGCCCAGGCTGGAGTACAGTGGTGTGATCTTGGCTCACTGCAGCCTCCACCTCCTGGGCTCAAGTGATAATCCCGCCTCAGCCTCTCGAATAGCTGAGACTACAGGCATGCACTACAACACCCCAGGTAATTTTTGTAGTTTTTGTAGAGACAGAGTTTTACCGTGTTGTCCCGGCTGGCCTCAAATTCCTGGGCTCAAGCCATCCACATGCCTCAGCCTCCTAAAGTGCTGGCATTACACGTGTGAATCACTATGGCCAGCCTTCAGTTTTCATTTGCATTGTTCTGAAACAATTTTTTAACATTCCATGTTATACAAACATCACACAAACAAGAAGATTACACCATTTGTGATACGTACGTGGTTATAGTTCACATAATAGGAGACACTATTCAACTACCTTAAAATCAGCTTACTGAGCACCAGAAACAACATGATTCATATATTGGCTTAAAAGTCCAGTATCACTGTGATTTTCCTGATTTTTTCTTTTTTTAAAAAAAACCATATGATGATTATGACTTGAGGTTCTATCCGGGATTGATACTGGAATAATTCTTGAAGGTTGGTGGTTGGGGACAGAGACCTGGTAATCAGGCAGACCTGATTTGGAATCTCAGCTGTACCACTGATTAACGTGGCAATTTTAGCAAGAAACTTAGCTTCTCTGAACAACTACTTCTTGATATCTAAAGTGGGAATAATAACCCCTACTCTGCAGGGTTGCTATAAGAATTAAATTCAATAATGCATATAAAGGAATTATACTTTCTACCACATGGTAATTGCTCAATAAAATGTTTTTATTAGTGGTAATCATGTATCCATAAGCATAGTAATTGATATATGCTGACTCACCTGAAAAAATGGCAAGTAGAATTTGGAAATGACAGCCTCTTTTCTTCCTTTTTTCCTTCTTTGCTTCCATCCTTCCTTCCTTTCCTCTTTCTTTCCTTTCTTCTTTTTTCCATCTCTCTCTCCTCCTTTTCTTTCTCTCTTCTTTGTTTCTTTCTGAGGCATAATTTACATACAATAACATGTATTTATTTTGATGTACAATTTGATGGATTTTGGTCATTGTATGCAGTCAAGTAAACGTCCTTACACTGAAGCTATAAAATAGTGCCATCACCCTAAAACATTTCCTCATGTCCTTTTGCAATCAACTCCTCACTTCCATTCTCAACCTCAGGTAACCACTCATCTGTTTTTGATCACTATAGTTTGGTCATTTCTAGAATTCCATATACATGGAAACGTAAATTATATAGTTTTTTACATTCGATTTCTTTCACTTAGCATACTTTTTGTGATTGACTCATGTTAAGTGTAATAATATTTTGTTTATTTTTATTGCTAGTAATGTTTCATGGTATGAATATATCACAGTTTGTCTATTCACTAGCTGATAGACATTTGGGTTGTTTTAATTTTTGGCTTTAGGAATACTGTTGCTATAAACACTTGATTGCAAGCTTTCGTGTGAACTTACTCTCCTTACAGGGCTTAGTGTGCCCAGAAAAAGGACACTGGGTTACAATGGGAAGTATAGCACATCAGAGCATCTAAGTTGTGTCTTCTCCTTGCCTCTAGTGATGATAATGAGAGTAATAAAGCCGACTTTCATTTATCTAGCCTGTTTCCTCCTCTCAGAGAGGCTGCTTTCACAGCCCCCACTGTCCCCAAAGAGTCAGGTTAGCTTGTCCCCATCTCATCACTGGTTCATTGAGCTGTGGTAGACACCTGCCTCAAACTGGACCAAATGGATTTTCTACCCTGAGAACGTGAAATTCAGAAACAGGGTCTTTTAAAATTAATTATGTATGCTTAAACTAGAGGTAAGATAGACTTAGCTAGGATGGGCAATTTGAGTCGAATACCAAGACAACCGACATCTCCAGTGTGAGGAAAGAGACAGCGAGAGTGAGAAAGAGAGAGAGAGAGAGAGAAAGAGAGAGAGAGTGAAACTGCAGATAAGCAATGAAATCCAGAAATAAGAGACTAGATTTCAAGACAGAGAAGTGAGCTATATTTATTTCACCCTCTTTCAGTACTGTAAGATGCCACAAAATCCTTTAAACTCTGTGGTTTTGCCAGATGCTCTGAAAGTGTTCCAGGGAACTCTCTCTTTGGTTTGAACTAGGTTCAGCAGGCTTTTGTTTCTGACAAATAAAATAACCAAATAATCCCTGACTGAGACAAATCATAATTGTTATGAAGATTTGTTGAATCCTAACTACCTACCTACTTTAATAATAATTCTATTAATCCTTTCTTACATCGGATCACCAAAACAACCCTGTAAGGAAGGATTTTTCTTTGAAGGAACTGAACTAAGAAATGAGTTCAGTTAGTCGAGAAATTAAATAATTTGTATAAGGTTACATGTTTGGAGGGTAGCAGGCCTGGAGACTAAATTCTGAACTGCTTTTCCCCAAGGTCTCTGATGGAAATAGCAGTCCCATGCTGGACCCTGGGTGTGACATGAAGGAGACAGCGTAGGGCTCCATACAGCTCCCCCAGCTTGGTGATCTCTCTTTATATATCTAAGAAAGTGAGTGGAGTAATAGGCATTGAGAGGGCTCCTGTCTATGGACTCCACTTTCTCTGTGAATCTAGATTATTTGCTGTTAATAAGGGAAGATTTGATAGTGTTGGATATTTGAAGGAAGTCATTTGTGAATGCTATCAGATGCCAATTTGGAAATGCAGAAAGATTATAAGCCAGTATGGTCCTATAAGGACTATATTTCATGTAAGTAAAGTTGAGAGAAATAGAGACATTTCCCTCTTAAATGTTTGCCTGTTGGTTTGTTTTTACATTCATTTTGTGGAGGAAACACATGACTTTAAAAAAATGTAAACTATTTCTGTTTCTTCTTATGAGTGAATCGTGGTGGGAAAGACTTCATGGACAGAGTGAAAATGAAAGAAATGCTTTCTAAAGCAAAACACAGAAAAGGAGAAAGCTGGCTAGGAGGTGATAAGGAATATGAAAAGACTCCAGGAGTTATAAGAGAGAACTCAGAAGTTACAGTGATTCCCCTGCCTGGTGGGCTTCAGAAGCATTTGTAGAATGAGTGCAGCATAAGTTTTAGTCATGCAATTTGGATGTGAATAGAGACTTTGCACTATCTGGCCTTTCACCACTTCCTTTTCTTTTCTCAACTTGGGCCTTCTCATCAGAAACTGAGGATTGTTACACCTCACAGGCTAGTTGTATCAACTAAATGGGCTGTCCAGGAGTGGTGGCTCATGCCTGTAATCCCAGCACTTTGGGAGGCCAAGGTGGGTGGATCACGAGGTAAGGAGTTTGAGCCCAGCCTGACCAACATGGCGAAAACCTGTCTCTACTAAAAATACAAAAATTAGCTGGGCATGGTTGTGTGTGCCAGTAATCCCAGCTACTCAGGAGGCTGAGGCAGGAGAATTGCTTGAACCCGGGAGGCAGAGGTTGCAGTGAGCAAGACTGCGCCATTGCACTCCAGCCTGGGTGACAGAGCAAGACTCTGTCTCAAAAAAACAAAACAAAAAAACAAAAAACAAACAAAAATCCTAAATGGGTTAATGCAAGTAAAATACTAAGCCTGCTGATATAGAGCAGGTGCTCAATAAATGTCAGGTTTCCTATCACCACTTCATACTGTTCTTTGAGACATTCATTGGTTTTTCAACTGTTTGCCTTTAGGAGGATTTCTTCTGGTCTGGACAATCGAAGAGGTTCACAGTGATGCACGTCATTTCCTGGCCTACAGTGAAGTGACAATTGTACACTCAAACACAAATCTAGATGTAAATATCACAGACTTATTTGTAGTTATTAATTTAAATTGGTTAAAACACCTTCTTAGTTACAGATACCAAAGAGCTTAAGTATGTGGTTTAAAGCATTAGACGCAAAAGGTATTACAGACGCATTCAGGGATGATGGGTATCCCCGGATCCTAAGGCCTAGTGAATGGTCTCTTCTGTAGAAGACAGAGAGGATAAGAGTGGGGACTAACAATTCAATCTTATACCAAAGATAAATAAGTATGTATAGATATCAACATAGGTATATAGGTATAGATAAATAGGTATAAATATATATGGATATAGTTCTAAAGCATACTACTTTACACTCTGCATACAAAATATATTAGTTGATAGCTTTTTATATTTAGCCTTGAATATTCTTTTGTGCAGAGAGACTTTATAAAATCAATGTGACTCCAAGAAAGTATTAGCAGGAATTCAGGCCCTGAGAAAGACAAGCTTATGGAGCAGGTAAAAAGTTTCATAATTGGGTCCTCCAGTGTTGTGCTAAATACAGACAGAACTGTCAGAGTAGGCTTTTGACATTTGCCCATTTATTCTTGCACTAAAATGAGCAATTTAAAAACGGTTGGAAAGAAATCAGTGGCTATTTTTGAACACCATCCTCTGAAAGTACAGCAGATAAAAACAAAACAGAACAAATATATGGAAAAATATGTAGCTGATATCAGGGAAGCCCAAAAACCACCTTAGAGTTACACATTTTCCAAGATCTCAACTGAGCTTCTGAACCACTCCCAGTCAAATCAAACTCGATTATTTGTAAAGATGCTGTCTAATGATCAGTAGAAAGTGAAGACACACAGGATATGTCTCCATCAGCTCTTAACACACGTTGGCTCCCAAACCTTACAATAGCTCAAACTTCTCCTGCAAGTTTGATCCACAAAGTGATCCTGAACTAACACGAGCAGCCCAGGCATGATGGCATCACCCCAGAACAGAACACTTCCTCCAGGCATACATTGTCTGTGAGCTTCAAATTGCTTCTTGTCCTGTATTGTTTCCAGATGATGAGTTTTCCATAAATGTTGTCTCTTGCTAGAAAATGTTATATTCCAGCATCTACCTTTAAAGGCAACTATCAAAACAATAATCTTTAAAGATCTGCAGATGCCTGTGGAGATGAGACTCATAATTACTCTGATGAAATTGTTGTCTTTGAACATAGCAATGAAGAGTTATTTTTATTTGGGAAAAAGTGTAGAAATAAGAAAATAGCATAGTAAGGCTGCTCTTGACTTTCGTACAGCTTCAGCCTTTTCATGAAACATAACTCAGATGATCTTCTTCTGAATTAGTGAACCCTGATGTTAGTTATATAACCAGGGGACCACGGTGTCAGCCTTGTTATTTTAAGGGTCTTTTCCAGTCTGCAAGACCCAACCAATTTCCTTCACCTTTCACATGTGGACTTCTCATTGTTACTAAACTAACCATCCCTTCCTGCTCATCTCTACACATACTTTAGGACTTATTGATTTCATGGACGTTCATTTGTCTCACAAACTTGGTGATATAGAAACTGCATTTTCTGCTTTGGTGCACCCCTTAGAGAGCCTAGTGTGGTTCAGACAAACCTGATGAGATGCACAACTTGGAGGTCTCGATTTTCTCATCTGTAAAACTGGGCAAGTTGTTATAAGGATTGTGATACTATACAGGAAAGTGCTAAATACCGCAGGCACAGATGAAAGGAAATCTTTCCCTCTCCTGGCACAATGCTACGGATGCAAACAAACACATTGTTTTACCTTTACATATCATGAGTTACCCAGAGTTTTCTCGTTCATGTATGAAGGGAGTACTAATTCGTCATCACCAAAGCATGAGCATATTTAGAACTGGATTTTGAGTTTTGTAAAGATGTGTAAACTTCCCAGGTGCCAGTAGCAGGCCTGTGTAGATGTTGTCCTCATCAAGGATCAGGGACTGCTTGTTGTCACGTTCCTGTTGAGGAATGCCTGCACCTCTGACCAGCCTCAAACACTGCTGTAGAGGAAAGATTAGAAATATAAATTATGTAAAATGCAGATCATTGACTGAACATTTGACTGTTCAAGGAGTTGCATTTTACTGCTTGGAATACCTTTTAAAGTGAAGGAGAAGAAAAGGAGGAAGGGGGAGGGAAGGGAGGAGAAAAAGAAGAGGAGGAAGTTGAGAAGAGGGAAAGTTGCTCCATAATTTACAAGGCTCTTTTTTTCACAGTGGGATTATTATTTCCCATTATCACATGAAACAATCTTCATTACTTTTCTTAATTCTGTCTTCATTCTCACTTCACCTTGTCCTTTTATATATGTTCTCTCAACTTGGGAATAAGAAACTGGACCTTTACAGCTGGGCACGGTGGCTAACGCCTGTAATCCCAGCACTTTGGGAGGCCGAGGCAGGTGGATCATGAGGTCAGGAGTTCGAGACCAGCCTGACCAACATGGTGAAACCCTGTCTCTACTAAAAATACAAAAATTAGCCAAGTGTGGTGGTGGGCACCTGTAATCCCAGCTACTCAGGAGGCTGAGGCAGGAGAATTGCTTGAAACCGGAAGGCAGAGGTGGCAGTGAGCCAAGATTGCACCACTGCACTCCAGCCTGGGCAACAAGAGTGAAACTCTACCTCAAAAAAAAAAAAAAAAAAAAAAGAAACTAGAGCTTTACGAGACCAAATATATCTGAATATCTGAGGCTTTAGAAAAACAGAAGAAAGGAAGGAAGGGAGGAAAAAGAAAGAAAGAAAGAAAGAAAGAAGAAACAGACAAAATAAAAGCTTTGGAATTGCTATAGAAAGGATTAGATTAGATGACTAGCTAAGACCTTTTCTCGTGTCTGTATTTGGGGAAGAGAAGGCATGAATTTCCCCTTTTAGTTAGGTAAACGTATTTTTATATTGAGAACCTCTTGCATAAGGACAGGTGAATTAATATACTCATTGAAAATGAAATGACTTCAGAGCTCAAAAAGATCTTGAGAATATCTGGCGCAGTGTTTTTGAAACTTTTAAGAAATCAGCATAATTATTCCCCCCATTTATATTTCAGTTAAGTAAAATTGACTCTAAGTGCATAAAATACGGGAAACCTGGCTACTAGGGTTTGAATCGAAAGCAGGGTTTGTGTTATCCAAGGCATCTTTCCTCCCCTTCGCTGTCCTTCTCTTTCTCCAAGGTTAAGTCTGAGGAGTTTTCTAGAAAACCTCAAATTCAGTGGAACACATTCTACCTCCATCATAATGTGAAAAGAATCTGTGGTCTAATCTGATGAAATAATTTGCTCGTGGCTAGCTGATAAAAAGCACTTGTAGCTAACACATATTGAGTGATGAACCTGGACTAGATGCATGAAGTACCTAATCTCCCCACCAACCCTGTGATGTACACACTCTTATGACACTAATTTTATAGAGAAGGAAACTGATTTCAGAGAGCTTAAGTGATTAGAAGCAAATCCATGACTAGACCTTGGTGTCCTTAACCCTCAGGGCAATGCTTTGGCACTCTACAATCTTACCTCCTAGAAACACCTTCAAAACCACCCTATGATTAGAACTGAATTTTAGCATCTACAAAAATTCACAGTTCACTTTTAGTTCTCTGTTTTCCTGGGTTCTTCCCAGGAATTTAAGTTATTTTGAGACCAGAGAAGCTTAAGGCATTGACATTCCACATGCCCTCAGGATTTAACTTAAGCTCCAGGCTGTTTCAATACCAAAGATTTTGCCTCAAACTTTGCCACCACTGAGAACTTGGGGATGTGAAAACCACTGAGGCAGCAATGGCAAAGAGAAGAGTGGGAAAGGCCTTTCCAGGATCCATGTGCAGAATTAGATTTGTGTACCACCTGTGATAACTGGGAAAGATCTTTTTTTTCTGGTTTTTTTTTTTGTTCCTTTTTTTTTCCACGTTGGAGGCAGGAATAAAGCAGGTGAGGGTTCCATCAGAGTATCTGCCCTAATTTCCTGTAACAGCAACAGGAGTTACCCATTACTCCTATTGCCAATAGATATCATGGCTTCACTCCTAAACCATACTCAGAGCATTCACTTGTTGATGTTAGTAAGGAAAAGCAAGTTGTGCATAAGCAGTATTATACAGCATGCTTCAGTACAGTTTGTAGCTATTTGCTTAACTGAAATCTAGGTACAAGCCTCTTCAAATAACAGATCTTCTTTTTCTGTATGTTCCTTAAAGAGAAAGAGGAAAGAGAAAAGAAACATGCCTGGAGTGAGCATTTATCACCAAGACAATTTCCAATTTCATCTCACGATCAGGTTTACTTCCCAATATTCTACAACCGTACCATTTTATCATGGGCATAAACATTGAGAATAATGACTCTTGTGTCTTTTCAGAGCCTAATTTGTGATGAGAGAATTTTAATGTTGGAAACAAACTTTAAAGGTACCGAAGTCCAGACGTCTAATATACCCTAGAATCTCTCTGCAGCTCGTTGGCAACAGACATCTGGCCCAGCTGTGATGCTCTAATAAGTCCAGGCAAGAGGACCATAGCACTTTAGAAAGACATGAAGCTTACTGAAGATATGACTTACAAATAGAGCTTTTGGTACAGTGCAGTCTGAAACTGATTTTCCTAAAAATAAAATGCTCACGTAGGTCTCAAATAAAGGTGCCTCGCTCCTCAGATAGATAGAAAATAGTACAACACCCAACCTAAATAGTCAAAATAAAAATATTGTGTATCCAAAAAAAAGTTTTAGAAATGTATTTAGTTACCACTTGGAGCCAGAGGTAGTTGCCAACCCAATTTCATTATAAGTGAAATTTCTAGGGTATTAAAAATGGCTCTCCTCTTCTTCTTCCTCTCCCTTTTCCTTCTTCTTTTTCTGTTGATTTTTTATCATTTAATTTTGATCCACAATTCTGTATAACATCTACATCTCATATCAACCTTTTTTTTTTTCTAGAATTATTCTACTCCCTGGGTCAGTCCCCAAGATGTTTCACTTCATTATGGATCTCCTTAGCGCTGGTGCTAAGGTTAAAACATTAATTCTCCGCATGCTGAGAGTTACTTAGCTCCATGGTGAAGTCTCTATCTGCCAAAAGTCTCTGTTCAAATAAATATGTAACTGGTGATTCTACAGCATGCATTAGAATCATGCAGAGGGTTTGTTAAAACACAGCCTGCTGGGCCCCACCCTCCTAAGTCTCTGATTCAGTGGATCTGAGGGAGCCCAAGAATTTGCATTTTTAGCATCTTCCCAGGTGCTGCAGATGTTACTGGCTCAGCAACAACACTTAGAACAACTGTTCTAGAAAGAGAGTCCCTAGAACTGTTGCATTCTAGTTAAAGATGGTGGGAATGGGAGGAAGACATTGCTCTATACCAGGCTGTTATGGGCAAATTCGGGAGATAATTGTGATGAGGTTGAAAGGTTTGAATTTAATCTCCAAATTTCAGTCAGAGAGTAAGATTCATTAAGGCTTTTTTCCATCCCCCTGCAAAGTCCATTCTTCCAGCCAGCTCTTGCTCCAGCCCTGCTGTGATGAGACTCTGCTGTTTTCTGTTTTAGCTACTTCTGCAGCTCTCCCAACCCTGGAAAAGATGAAGAAAGATGATGATTTTGTTCTCAGCTCTTAGTCTTTAGCCTTTGGACAGCCATCAAAAGTACATTTTAAGGAAAAGGGGGAAAATATGTCTACTAGGAGAAATGCCTTGTATTAGACTATTATATCAGTGATTTGCTTTTACTTAATGTAGTATTGAGGAGAAAATGCCTCTCTTTTATTATTCAAATGGTTTGCTTTTACTTTACCAAATTACAAGAAAGCATACCAAATGCAGGCTTCTAAATAGTTTAAACTGGTTTACCACATTAAACTCAAAAGAGAGTATTTCATTAAAAAATATAAATGGACTGGAGCTGTTTTCTGACAATACACTGTTGGGCTTTTTTTAAACTTCTACTTTTGTTTTATGAACCGAACTACTGGTGTTTAATACTCAAAGATGCTCAGCTTTTAGGTAATATTTGTTGTAGGAATTCTTAAAAGCCACAGATACTGCTAATGGGGAAAAAACAACTTTTCTTATGTTGAGGTTATAGCAACTTTGGTGGATAACAGTTAATACAATTAGTTTTCCATCAGTTTCTCTAAATGCATTTTTTTTTTCTAACTAACTTTAGGGTATTCTGTATCCTTGGCATTGATTTAGTGAGATCTTCATTACATGGCATTTCACTTTAGTTTCCATTGCAGATTGATATCACAGGTAATAACTGAATCTTTAGGGTTTGAAGAAGCTGACCTTTCTTTAAGAGATCTAATCATTTCACGGACAAGTTCCAGTGGTATTTCTATTAAGAAATCAGGGTATGGCTGGGCACAGTGGCTCATGCCTGTAATCCCAACACTTTGGGAGGCCGAGGCGGGAGGATCACCTGATGTCAGGAGTTCGAGACCAGCCTGGCCAACATGGTGAAACCCCATCTCTGCTAAAAATATAAAATTAGCCAGGTGTAGTGTCACATGCCTGTAGTCCCAGCTACTCGGGAGGCTGAGACAGGAGAATTGCTTGAACCTGGGAGACGGAGGCTGCAGTGAGCTGAGATCACGCCACTGCACTCCAGCCTGGGTGATATACAGTGAGACTCCGTCTCAAAAAAAAAAAAAAAAATTGTCTGTCTTCATGGTAAGATAATCAGGACTTTAAGGAAGTGTGTAAGACATTTTACTCATATTTTTATTACCAGTTTACATTATGGTTTCTAAGGCCATTATGTGAATCCAAATACCATCTTGAAATGAAAACACATTAAGCTATTTTTAATCTGCAAATTATTTGATCAGCTGCCTCAGATACATGAAGAATCTGATGGCAAGGGCACAGAATAGCTAAAGTTTAACGGGAAAGCTGGTACTATCCAAGTCAGTGAGGTGAACACCCAGCTGCAGAGCGGAGGCTCAGAAATGGTGAGTGCCAAGATGAATCAAGCCACAAAAGGAATGTGGAGGACCTCTGAGGTTTAGCTTCATATATTGGGCAATGTTTCTATAGGCAGTCATTGGCCTTTCGTCTTCGTCTTCTGCACCGATTCAGTCATTTCATTTGTAGAGTCTTCCTCAACATATTGTTTAAAAAAATTCAAGATTTTTCAAATTTGGTTTTAGGATTTCAAAAACAATCAGGACTAGTATGAGCTATTCATTTTTTTTTTTTTTTTTTTTTTTTTTTTAGATAGAGTCCTGCTCTATCACCCAGGCTGGAATGCAGTGGCCAATTTCAGTTTACTGCAACCTCTGCCTCCCAGGTTCAGGTGATTCTCCTGCCTCAACATCCTGAATAGTTGGGATTATAGGTACCCACCACCACGCCTGGCTAATTTTTGTGTTTTTAGTAGAGATGGTGTTTTGCCATGTTGGCCAGGCTGGTCTCAAACTCCCGGCCTCAGGTAGTCCACCTGCCTCGGCCTCCCAACGTGCTAGGATTACAGGCATGAGCCACCGTGCAGGGCCTATTCATTGTTTTTTTGTTAATTCTCTAAGGATTAACTTTTGGGCCATGTTGGACTGACAGATTCTGTCCTTTGCTCTGCTTATGTTTTCCCTTCTATTTTCAGGTAGTGATTAAGACTGTGAAGACAGAAGGTCTGAATTAGCAATTTTTCAGGCAGCTGACTTAATAATTTAGACTAAAATTCGTTCCAGGATGCTTGCTCACCTCCTGCATGTGGTGTCCTAGAAAGCCTCTTGTTTCTCCAGCTGTCCTCCCCGGCAGCATTGGCATCACCTGGGAGATTGCTAGAGATGCAGATCCCAGGCCCTCGCAGATCCATGGAGTCATCACCTGCATTTTAGCAAGAGTTCCAGGTGATTCGTGTGCACATTACAGTTTGAAAAATATTGGTAAATATTATGGTCATCATAGCGGGTTATCCAACTACTGGTTTTAGCTCTGCCACTATCTAATTGTGTGACCCTTTGCCAGTCAGCTCAGCTTTTCAAACTGTGTTTCATGGAGCTGTATCCATTCAGTTTATTACTCAGAGGCTGGGTAGTAAGGTCAGCAGCTCCCATCTGAGCCCTGAGCGACTCCAGTTTTATTAGTTTTTATCTGTTAGGCTTTAACTTAAGACACTGTTTGAAGAAAAGGTTTGCCTGTGAAAGAGATCGAAGGCCTACTGTCTCTGATGAGTCTTAAAGTCATTTCCTGATCTGAATTTTCTATGATTATAATATCATTCATTGATAGGAATTGTTTCCTTAGCGAAAAGGAAAAATCTCTTCATTTCTATACATGTGGCAGGTTGACATTTGTCAGGTACTGAGGCTGACAGACAGTTTAGCTACCTTTAGGAGGTTCCTTGATCAAAATAGAGAAACTTTGCCAGCCACTGAACTTCTCACTGTTTTCCTCATCTTAGCGACTTAATCCAGGCCTCACCCCATCTGTCACTACAGAAGAACTGTTTACGAGACCTCACTTTACTAGCTTTTATTTATTTTATCAGTGTTGGTTATTTGGGAGCAAACTGACCCTGAGCTATCCTTTGGCCAGTGCCATTCACTTTGCATACATTGATCTAAAAAGGCAATTGGGTTCCGAGGTCTGAGATACCCAATGATATTCTACATGTGACAAAGACATTTCCAGTCCTGCACACCCTGGTAACCTAAAGAAGGCCAAGCATCTCAATTAATTTTCAGTTGACAGTTTCTGCAGCTGAGTCCCCAAGTCAGAGTCCCTAAACAAAATTGTTTGCATTCTATAGGAAAATAGGACACATTATTAGCCCAGTTCTAAATCCAGTTCCATCTTTCCTCAAACAACAGCAAATGTTCTTCTCAGATTCATAGCATGGAGCATCATCCACTTTTAATGTTTTCCATCCACATAGCTGCATTGCCCTGTTACTTATTTACAAATTTATTGGCTTTAGATGGCATATTTTCTCCAAAGAACTCAGGCAGTTGAATGAGTTGTTTTAGAAGTCTACAAAATATACCCTTACTCATTCACCTGTGGGATTTACATGAGGTTATTTCACATTCCTCTTCATGTATTGCGATGGGGTTGTTATAAAGATACTCACACCTTTAAATCTTCCCAGTAGCACGTATATTTCTGCTTTCAAACACAACAACCAAGAAAAAAGAAAATTCTACTGAAACAACTGACCAATCTTCTTTCCTTAGAAAAATCAATCTCATCAGTAGCTCATGAAATTCAATTTCCCTGGTCAGGAACAAAGCAGATAATCATCCCCTAATAATATTTATGGATGACAGAAATGCAGAGCAAATAAAATTAGCCTCTAAAACTATCATCAAGTTCCTTGAAACTTTTTTCTTTATCTCAAGGGGATTTATGGAGTAATGGTAAGTGTGTTTTTCTCCATTTCTATTTAGGCCAACACACATCAGAGGCACTCAATAGATATCTGGTGAATGAATGAGGAGTGAGTAAATGAATAAAGTAAAATACAGATGACCCTCAATTTGGACATAATGCATTCCTAGAGACTGCTTCATAAAGGATATTGCTTAAAGGCAAAACACCGACTGCAAGAATGCCACCACTTTTGTCTGTAAAATTCATTACAAATTGACAGCAGATAAAGTAGCATATATATCTCTTCATTAGGTAACAGCAAATAAATGGAAAGGCAAAAGAGGGCCACAATGAAGCATGAACAATGTATAGAATTCTAGTAAAAGATGATTGCATAAGGACATTTTTACCTTGCTTCTCTTTATGAAAGTGTCCATCAATATGAAGAAAAAGAAGGGAAGAACCACCATCTTCTCCATGACAGCATGCCTAAAGCTAGTCTAATCTTCTCTCTGTCTTGAAAGGTTTTATGGATCCTGTGAGTCTGCTTATCACAGTCATTTGAAGAGAGAAACAACAACTGCCAATCATGAAACAGAGGATGTGTGAGATATGGGCTTGCTGTGAACCAAGATGATCCAAAGGGGATGCTGAAAGCTTAGCAGAACCAAATACTCAAATAGAAAAAATGTGGCTGATTTGCTTCAACAGCTTTCCGAGATAATATACCAAAGTGGAAACTGATAGCTTCTCCAGATCATACTTGCTCATTCTGTCCCCGATTCTTGGGCAGAACTCTGGTCTAGAGAGAACTTTCCTTATTCCAAGAAGCACCGTGAGCAGAAGACCTAAAACAAGACCCATAGAGTAAAGGGACATGGGAAACAAAATGGCAAATCTGACATCAGAAAAAAATGAAGAAGAAAATAAATAAAAAATATAGCCTTCATACTTTTAAGTAAAATGAGTGTAAGCTAGTTGCAAAAGACATAAAATTAATAAAAGATAACAACTTAATAAAAGATATCAAATCTAATCTGTCTCTCTCACATGCACAGACACACACACACACACACACACACACACACACACACAAAGTGTTGAAAGGATAATCAGGCAGGCCGATTTTAAGAAATAAATGTAAAAATAAAGTCATCAAAAACTGTCACCGCATTAAGAACCTAAAGGATTAAGAAAGACAACATAGAAAATAGCATCCATGAGCATAGAAGGCTTGAAATAATCACAGAAAAAGAAATGAAACAAAAAAATTAGAAAGCGATTAGATACAATATTATAGATATGGAAGTCAGACATAGAAGATACAAATTATGATATAAATTATAGTCTAAAAAGAGAAAAATATAACACAGGAAAATTTAAAATATTTGTTAAAATAACATCTCCTGAAATCAACTAAAACCAGAATCTTAATGTTAAAAAAAGGTCTATTGTGTTTTAGGAAAATTTTATGTGAAACATCTCCTGATGAATAGAAAGTCTGTGGCCATCCAAGCAGAAAAATCAAGCTAGTCTAAAATTCTTCATGGCAGAATTGAATGCCAGAACACAGAGGAAAAATTGTATAATTATAGATACTATTATCCAAGGTTTTTTTTTTTTTTTTTTTTTGAGATGGAGTCTCGCTCTGTCGCCCAGGCTGGAGTGCAGTGGCGCAATCTCGGCTCACTGCAAGCTCCGCTTCCCGGGTTCACGCCATTCTCCTGCCTCAGCCTCCCGAGTAGCTGGGACTACAGGCGCCCGCCACCGCGCCCGGCTAATTTTTTGTATTTTTTTTTTTTTTGAGACGGAGTCTCGCTCTGTCACCCAGGCTGGAGTGCAGTGGCGGGATCTCGGCTCACTGCAAGCTCCGCCTCCCGGGTTCACGCCATTCTCCTGCCTCAGCCTCCCAAGTAGCTGGGACTACAGGCGCCCGCCACTACACCCGGCTAATTTTTTTTTTTGTATTTTTAGTAGAGACGGGGTTTCACCGTTTTAGCCGGGATGGTCTCGATCTCCTGACCTCATGATCCGCCCGCCTCGGCCTCCCAAAGTGCTGGGATTACAGGCGTGAGCCACCGCGCCCGGCCTATCCAAGGTTTTTATACCCAGTCAAGCTGTTCTTCAATGTAAAGGCTATATACTAATAAGCAATCTAGGCTATAACACCCATGATCCTTCAAAAAACAAACAAACAAAAAAACCAGCTGATGAAAGAACCTAACCATAGAAGATAAATCAAAGAACTCTGGGTTAGAGAACTCATTGAATTGGTATTGAATCTATATATACTTAGAGATAGGACTAAAAAAACACTCTGGGAATTATGATAATAGAAATATAAATAT
The DNA here is from genome assembly GCF_000001405.40 of Homo sapiens. Taxonomy (NCBI): domain Eukaryota; kingdom Metazoa; phylum Chordata; class Mammalia; order Primates; family Hominidae; genus Homo; species Homo sapiens. Next base: position 114,522,542 of record NC_000002.12, read on the forward strand.
TACAAATGTATTACTGCATCTTTATATTTTATTTTTCAATAATTATATAATCAGCAACTGGGGGAAGCAGTTAAGACTTTAAGTTTGGGGAGAAATGATGCCTCTGATTGGTCTTTTTGGGGTGTATTAATCCATTCTTAAGCTGCTGATAAAGACATAACAGACTGGGCAATTTACAAAATAAAGAGAGGTTTAATAGACTTACAGTTCCACGTGGCTGGGGAGGCCTCACAATCACGGCAGAAGGCAAGGAGGAGCAAGTCACGTCTTACATGGATGGCAGCAGGCAAAGAGAGAGAACTTGTGCAGGGAAACTCCTCTTTGTAAAACTGTCAGATCTCCTGAGACCCATTCACTCTCATGAGAACAGCATGGAAAAAACTTGCCACCATGATTCAATTACCTCCCGCTGAGTTCCTCCTACAACACATGGGATTTCAAGATGAGATTTGAGTAGGCACATGCAGCCAAACCATATTGGGGGTGTCTTAGGTTAGGTTCTCTCGAAACAGATCCTGAGACAGGAATTTGGGTACCATGGTTATTGAGTGAGTGCTCCTTAGAGGAAGGATGTGGATAAACAGGATGGGGAGACGTTAAATGAAGATGTGGTCTCAGCTTGAGTCCAGCTTCAGTCTGATCCCATAGAGAGTTCTGGAGCATAAATTGAACCACAGTGCTAGCCCCATTTTGAGGTGAGGGGCTGGACTTTTGTTCCCTCCTTTCAATCAGTCATTGACTGCAGGCTGTTCAATAGGGAAGGGATAAATAGGGGTGTAACTTTAGAGCTAGATGGCTCGACTTCCATGCTGGGTAATTCCCTGAAAAAGAGACAGCTGGGGGCTTTAGCACCAGCACCCACAGCAGCAGGGGTCTGGGTGCATCAGTCTGTGAAAGCGAATCTTGGCAGTTTCCCAATGGTGTCTCCTGTAGAGCATTGATAGCTCTGGTTGATGTTAGCTTTCCCTGTCACTGACTGGTCCTTTGTTATCCTTTATTATGGCTTATAAATGTCAGTTTTCAGTGTCTGAATGCATTTCACTGAGAGAAGGAAAGAAAAGAGGCGCTGTAGAGGGAAAAGGAAGTGGGGAAAAGCCTAGACTTTTTTTAAGGAGAGGAAATGTGCCAGTGAGCTTTGTGGAAGTTGTTTCAGCATGGAGCAGTTATACATGTTGCCAGATGTGGAGTCTCAACAATCTCAGAGGGTCAGCCTCTTTAGCTATGAAGTGTTGCTTTATGCCCTCCAGAAATTATCCCTCTCTCCCCTCCACCTGCTGCTCATCCCATCCCCCTTTTCTCTCTACTCACCCTAATGATCCATCTCACAAGAGATGGCATGTCTCAAATGGCAAGAACAGGAAGTGACAAACATAGACAGTGTTGGTAATATCGAAATGAAAAGAAATAATTGTCTCTGATTAAGATGAGACTAGAAAGACATTGACATTGCTCTTTGTAGCATGTACTAGGGAGCACCCAAATCTCTAAGAGAGGACTAAAGTGTGGCATTTTGCAAACTTACTTTACAATTGTACCCATTGTCTGTTGACTATTCAGTGGGAATAACATTCTACAAAAACATTCTTTAGCAAATGTGGATGTAGGCAATGAGATCCAGGGGGTTTTCAAGAAATACAGGTGAAGATGACATTTGTGCTTTAGCAATAACTCTTAAAGAAATGTGGAGGATGGGTTAGAGAGGAAACAGAATGTCAGGGAGGCCAGTGAGGGCTATTTCAGTAGTCTAAGTAAAAATATTAAAGTCCTGAACTAATCTTAGTAGTTATTAAAGCAACCTCCCAGATAACGCAGGATCCCATATCCCTGACAGAAGAGCCACTGATGCTTCTGTGTCCATGAAACAGCTAATAAAAACTGATGTTTGAGCCTAAGCATTAAGAATGTTTTCCTGATAGGGAGCTAAAATAATCTTTGAAAATCACACCCAAAATATTAGTCCTGCCCTTTGAAGCTATGCAGAACAGGTTGCTTGTTCACTAAGAAAAAGATGTATATATCAAGTGCTGTCTTACAAGTGGGAATACAAAGGTGAGGAAGGCATAGCCGTAGCTCTCAAGGAGCTGAATATCTAGTGAGAAGAAAAAGACATACTCAAGTTTTGTTGCAATAAATTTCAGCAGAGGAAAGCTATAGGGATTTTAGAGGAAGAGGTGAATGACTGTCCAGGCATGCTAAGAGGATTCATGGTGCCTTTATGAAATAATCCTTCTGATATAGGAGGGAAGGAATCAAGTCCATCCTACCCCTACCTCCTGTTTGTTTGTTTCTCAGTTTGCCCAGTTCTTGAACTTGTTCTTTTATTACATGAATCTAAATTTCATTGAATCCCATTCCTTCTTCCTCTGGAGATTTTGTACTTTTCCAATGTTTTTCTTTAAATGTAGGCTTCCAATCATTGGTCATTGTCTCAGCTGTGATCTGAGGAACGTAGAATTCAGCATAGTGTGCTGGGAAGTGGCAATGTACCCAAAATGTGTGTGGAAGGCTTGCCAGTATATTAGCAATACCTTCCCTCTACCCTTTGAGTTCTCCTTAGAGGTTTAACTCACTTTCTAAGCCTCCAGAAACTGTATCCTATGTTCCTTTATATTGTATTAGAAATAAAGAATTGGTTAAACTCAAAATAAATAGATGTTAGTGCATTAACACAAGCCTGTACCCATTATAAAAATGTATTTGGCAAAGAAGGTAATGTTTAACCCAAAGAAATATCCTTTAGGGAAGGGATTTTAGGCACCTTAATGTAAAATACACATTTGGTAAAGAGGCCCTCTTCAGTACACTTGAGTCACACCATATATTCAATTTCTGACTTCATAAGAGGCTAGGTCCTGATAAAAATATTGAAGGAACACATGTGTTAAAAGTGTAGTATAACATCTACTATTATTGGATGCTACATAAAAAGCATGGAGCTAAGCAATTCTCCATGTATTATGATCATGCAATTTCAACAACCACTCTATAAGATATATGCTATTATCTCCATTTTACAGATGAGGAAACTGAGGCTTAGAAGTATTGTTCGAGATCGAGTGAAAGAGGCCTAGTTTTCAGATCAAGAAATTTGATTCCAGTTTTGATTTTATCACTTACTGTGATTTTCGCACAAGTCATGTTACTATGTTTAACCTTTTGTTTCTCACCTGTAAAATGAAGGAAGATGACTAAACCATTTCTTGGGGCTGTTCCAGTTGTATGATTTTATGAACATCTCCATGAAAGTATCTTTATTTAGCAAATAGCCAAATCTGAGAAAAAGGCAAATTTATTAGTCTTTCTAGAACTCTTTAGCATCCTACCTTTACCATGAAGCATTACTCCACATTGGCTGGCCTGTATTCTTTCCAACTCCTAAACAGTAGCTCTTCTTTCAAATGTCTCCCTCTATTTAGGCACAAGCAAGGTGCTGAAAAGCATGAGAAATATGAGCATAATACAAGGAAATCGATAAGGTTAGGAATCTTCACACGTTTAACTTAATCATATCAGACACTGAAAACAAAGTCATATTTTATTGCCAAAGAGAAATGCTCTTTGGCAAACCATGATAGTAATCTGATTGTGAACAATGCTTATTCATCATTTCTGGGGCACTGGCTGCTGTGCCAGCCAAGGGGACAGCTGACCTAATGGGCTTGAAGTTGCATTCCTCAACATTAGTTATGTTGTTGTGTGCAATCACCAACACAAAGATAGTGTACATTGGTCAATCAGAAAATATGGGCTCCTTGCTTGTTTCCCGTTCTGTTTTTATTGACGATTGGGGGATAAATTGCACAGTGATAGCCAAGAGCATAAATTTTCTTTGTACTTTTATATAATCTTGTTTCTCATTTTACAATATCTGTATTTATTCCTAAAGTTGAGAAGAGGATCAGACATTACAAAACAATCTGGAAAAGGTATGGTAATAATCTAAAATATCCCATAGAAAACACCTTTATGTGTTGCCCTAGGTCACTGAGGCAGTTATAACAAAAAATACTATAGACTGGATGGTTTAAAGAAAAAAACAGTTATTTCTTGCAGTTCTGGAGACTGGGAAGTCCAAGCTCAAGATATGGCAGATTTAGTGCCTGGTGAGAACCTGCTTCCTGGTTCATAGAAGTCTGTCTTCTTACTGTGTCCTCGCATGATGGAAGGAATGAGAGAGCCCTCTTGGGTCTCTTTTATAAGAGCACTAATCCCATTTATGAAGTCTCTACCCTCATTACCTAATCACCTCCCCAAAGCCCCCATCTCCTGGTACCATCACTTTGGTAAGGGTTTCAACATATAAATTAGGGTGGGGGATACAAATATTTAGTTAATTACATGTGTATTTATGTCTCAGAGATGAGGAGGTCTTAGTTTCAAATAGTTACACCTATGCAATTATCATTCCAAACTTAACTTTTCCTGTAATCCTCTCCTTTTGATGTCATACCATTTGTACACTGTGTAAACAGTTACTCTGGGACATAGTCCATAATTTACACTCCCTTTTCCTTAATTTTACTTTGAGGTTCCTTCTCAGGGCTTCCTTTGGACTCTGTGGTTACCTCTATCATAACTCTTATCACATAGAATGAGATATAATTATGGTTGTGAGATCAATCTTTAGACGAGAGTTTATTGATTGTTTGTGACTAGCTTTGTGTTAAATGTGGGGTCACTAAATCCTGCATACACTTCTTTTCAACCAGGTATTGTTTCAATAATTCCCTCTATCTCTCTATAAAAAATTGAATTCCTTAAACCCGGGAGTCCTTATGGATCAGAGCAAGTGAGCAGCACATCGCATTCTACCAATTTAGCTTTTTTACAGAATCCCAGTCCAAATGGGACTATTCCGTAATGTTCTGTGGTCGTAACTGTTGTCCAGTGTGATTGGCCTGGTTTTCTTAGGCATGAAACATGATGTATTAATTATGATCTGAACAGTGAGCCAGAAGTTACTGTATCTAGTTTGACAGTATTAACATTTATGGCACATAGTTAAACAAGGACTTTTGATTCTGAGGTAGGAGGAGTTGGGAAGATATGAGCAGAATTTTTATACACGGGGGATTCTGATTAGAGGATCAACAATTACAAAGTATAGTTATGCACCGTTTAATGACAGAGATATGTTCTGAGAAATGTGTTGTTAGGCGATTTTGTCATTATGCAAACATCACAGAGTATACATACACAAACCTAGATGGTATAGCCCACTACACACCTAGGTTATATGGTACAGCCTATTGCTCCTAAGATACAAACCTGTACAGCATGTTACTGTACTGAATACTGTAGGCAATTGTAGCACAATGATAAGCACGTATATAAACATATCTGAACATAGAAAAGAAATAGTCAAAACATTGTGTTATAATCTTATGGGACTACCGTCATATATATGGTTTGATTTTGTCCAAAACGTCTTTCTGAGACACATGACTGTTGTCTCACACAATAAAGAGATAGAACCTTCATAAATGGAGAGTGGAGTGTCAATGCAAAGTGGGATTAAATCAGGAACTTACTTGAAGACGGAAAGAGGAGGAACACCTTCAGCACCATCTCTCCCATCCTTATCCCAAAACACTGATGACTTTACAGCCACCTCCCATACACACTGCAAGCACAGGGCACTGCAAGAAGCTGTGGTTACAGAGGAGACACTGCCTAAGGGATCAGTCTGAGTGCCACTGGTATCTTATGGAAATACAAGCCAGGGACTATCATAGTCAATGGAAGAGGATTCGTGTTAATGTCCCACAGTCAGCCAGAAGTGCTTGTGACTCTATGCATAGGCACAGTGCCTTTGAAAATTGACTTTCAATCACTTTGTGAGAGTGAACACTGTTACTGCAGGGTCTAGCTGCTCCACCCATTGTTCTAGATGGGAGATAAAACAGCCTAACTCTAGCTGGATGCTCAGTCCAAACTCTAGGATGAGGGTCAAGGCAGGGACTGCACTATTCATTCATGTTTGCTTTTCTGGGACTCCTATAACTGATGCCTTGGATTTGTGGGATGGTTGGTTATGACCAGTGGCTACACCTGAGGAACTCACTGTAGCTTGATGGTTCATATAGATTTGAGATTACCAAAATGTTATTCAACATTCATACTAGATGGTCTTGAATATACTTCAAATTCAGCATGTTCTCATCTGAACTCACATCTCAACATCACCACACTGTCCCTTTCCTTTTTCTTATATTTTCAGAGTATCAGTATAAATCTCATTGCACCAGGCAGAATCTGAGGAGAAATCCTTGCAGCTCCTTCTTCCTGATTCATCATCAAAGCCTACTGATTTTGCCTCCAAACCATTCACTTCTGTTCCTCTTTACATATGGACAATGGGAGGAACTGACTAACCACTTGGGCTTGTCATTCTGTTTGACCCCTTTCCCCAGATGTATTCTTTGTCCTCTGCCCTATTCTGCCTTGACCTTGACTTATGCCCTCCAAGTGGGTCTGGCTGAGAAATAACTGGCAAGAGATGAGCATTGGGAAGGGGAGATAGGAAAATATTTATCTCCATCTCTTGCTTTGTCAGCTCTTCTGGTTGCTACTGCCCCTACCTGCCAGGCTTTGGTAAACTGCCCCTCTCCTTGTCCCTTCAAGCTATGATGTGGTGCGCCAATGGCTGAGTCTTCCTTTTTGACTCCTGAATTTTGCTCATATCTGTGTTAGTGACTCCTTTGCTACATTTTCTTTAGGCCAACCACTTTTTTTCTTGAAGAACGCTGGACAACCCACTATTTTTCCCATACTCATGTTGCCCACTTCAAAACTGCTCTTCATCCTCTAGAGAGTGGTCTTTTAAAGGGTAAATTTGACCATCACTTTTCTGATTAAAACTCTCCAAGGGGATCTTGTTGATCTTAATATTGACAGAAATAGCTCTAATGTGGCCCACAGCCTGTATGAGCTGACTCCTGTCTGCTTCTCCATTGTCATCTCTTGTCACAGTCACTGGGTTCCAGCCATGTTGCTCTTTTATTGTTCCTTGAAATTGCCATGGGACCTCCAGTTTTGAAGGTCTTCTTTAATTCTTCTGTTTTCAGAAATTCTCTGCTCCTTTCTTGCCTCCTCCCATCCCTAGCCTGCAATTTTATAGGAAGTGTTACATTCCTTTTTAAAAATTTTTATTTTAAATTCAGTGGTAGATGTGCAGGATGTGCAGGTTTGTTCCATAGGTAAATGTGTGTCAGGGGGGTTTGTTGTACAGATTATTTCATCACACAGGTATTAAGCCTAGTGTCCATTAGTTGTTTTTCCTGATCCTCTCCCTCCTCCCTCCCTCTGTCCTCTGATAGGCCCTGTTGTGTGTTGTTCTCCTCTATGTGTCCATGTGTTCTCATCATTTAGCTCCCACTTACAAGTGAGAACATGTGGTATTTGGTTTTCTGTTCCTTTAATTTGCTAAGGATGATGGCCTCCAGCTCCATCTATGTCCCTGCAAAGAACATGATCTCATTCCTTTTTTTATGGCTGCACAGTAGGAAATGTTACATTCTTAGAGAAAATCTTCCTCTTCATGACACTTTATGACATTTCTGCCACAGGAGTTTGATTCTATAGTTAATATGTTCTCATAACACCTTATATCTTTGCTCCAAAGCATTTATGATGGAGTATAATTACATAGAATTGTTTCATTGATATAAAATAAGTTCCAGTGTGTGTGGAAGGATGTTCTGTGCCTTGTTTTTCATTTTATCTGTAACAATTTGCACAACTTGTGGCAAATGATTATCATTTTATAATAGTTATTGGGTAAATAATTAAAAAGTATCTCTAGCTAAGGCCAACCAGGACAGCAAAAATAAAACTAAAATGAAGAGCACTTGAATGAGACAGCAACAGCAGTGAAAGTAGCCTTCCATGATTATTATCGAAATATCTGTTGGGAGTTAAGCTGAAAACTGACTTGAGGAGTTTGGGAATAAACATAGCCCACAGTCAGAGGAAGGGGCTCATTCAAAAACATTTAGTTGCTCTCAGGTCAACGATAGGTCTCAAATTCCATTTTTCACGAGCATCCACAATAAAACCTCAGAGCACAAGCCAATAACTCAAGTACTCAAATGCCCTCCAGGGTTCCTTCCAAGTTGCTCTGCTGACCTGAGCTCATTACTTTTATATAATGATTGCAGCAGAAGCATCTATGGAAGTACTGTCTACAATGAGATAGTCAAAAAAATACTAAGGAGATAATTACAGTATTAATTCTTAAGTTTTGCAGAATTAATTAAACATAAAAAATATTATTTTGGAACATCAAGTTTGGATATATGGTGACAAAACAAAACCACTGCTGGCCAGTGAGAACTTCTAGGGAATCTATATTATACATTTTTACATTATGTGAATTTGCATAAGTAAATTATCCAGAATAATTTACTCATGTCAATTAACAGAAAAAAAAACATGACTTAATTAAAATCTCATTACAGGAACTCTCTTCAATCAATAATTTTGGAAAGTGACAGACAAAGATGGTCCACAGGGGGATACATGAGGACAAACATAGCTTTAGATAAGACTGTGTTTGCACCCTAGACTGGAATGTCTCTTCCTCAAACATGTATTAAGCCATTCCATTTACTGAGCACCTCTTATATTCTAAGAACTGTACTTGTCATCGTGGTGGGGGAAGGGAGGCATAAATAAGCTGTGATACTTGGGACAGGACAACCAAAACCTAGTTTCCTTCAAATAGGACTTGAGTCACTCATAGAAGTCTTTCCTAAATATTCCGGTCTTCAAGAATTTCTCTGAAGACTTCTAAAAAGTACTGCTTATGTCACGTGTGAATCCTTTCTTGATGATGATGATGATAGAGAAGTATTTATTATGAAAGAAAGAAAGAGAAGGAGAGAGAGAAAGAATTGACATGAGCCAATTCCCAAAATAAATCTTTTATATATATATGTATATATCTCTCCCTATATATATCTATGTATACCATATATATATATTTATATGTTACAGATAAAATGAATACATATATATGTATTCATATATATATTTATATGTTACAGATAAAATGAATACATATATATATATACCTATACACACATATCTCCTATTGGTTCTGTTTCTCTTGAGAACCCCGATTGATACATAGATAGAAGAGTGTATGTAAAACGGAAGCAAATAGATCTTCATGGAAGATCAGTTGGGTATGAAAGCAAAGAGCTATGAAAAGTATATGATGCTTATTTGCTTATTGTTACTTGTACAGATTTTGATATGTATTATTGTAATGATTACTTTTATGTCAACATGACTGAACTAAGGGATGCTCATATATCTTGTGAAACACTATTTCTGGGTGTCTGTGAGGATGTTTCTGGAAGAGACTAGCATATGAATGGGTAGACAGCATCAAGAAGATTGCCCTCCCCATTGTGGGTAGGCGTCATCTAATCCACTGAGGGGCGAAATAGAACAAAGAGGCTGAGGAAGGGAGAATTTGCTTTCCGTTTGAAACATCCATCTTCTCCTGCCTGTAGACGTGGGTGCTCCCAGTTCTCAGGTTTTTAGACTCGGATCAAAATATATGCCATCATTTCTCTCAATTCTCAGGCCTTCAGACTCAGACTGAGTTACACCACCAGCTTTCCTAGTTCTCCAGCTTGCAGAGAGCAGACTGTGGGACTCCTTGGCCTCCCATAACTGCACGAGCCAATTCCCATAATAAATCTCCATATATATATATATATATATATATATATATATATATATATACACACACACACACACACACAGATACACACCATATATATCTCTCTATATATATGTATACCATATATATATGTATATATACACACATATTCTCTTGAGAACCCAGACTGATATATAGATAGCAGAGTGTATGAAACGTATGCACAGTCTATAAATTATATAGTAATCACCTATCTACCCACTTACCTACCCACTACCCAGGTAAAGAATTAGAATATGGCCAGTGTCTTAGAAACTTTCTGTATGTCTGTCCTCGATTACATTCTGTTTTATCCCACCCTCCAGAAGTACTCACCATCCTGTTTTTAGGTTAATTACTTCATTGCTTATACTTATGATATTATCAACAGTGTAAATGTTTTCAAATAATATGTGGATTAGTTTTGAAATTTGAATAGCTGTGTAAGAAAAGAGCAATATTGCCACTATTACACAATGCCTCCCAAGAGAAGAGAAATAGAAGTCTGAGAAATCTCATGGTCCCAACTTCATGGAAAGTTTACATGGATGAGTCTCCTCTAGGCATGTCAGAGGCCCCACTCAGACCACGTGGTGGGGTTAAGGTGTGTACCATGTACTGGATATCCAGCAGGGATATGATCAGGGGTATTCTCTGCTTCTGGACTCATCGTTCCCTACCTACAGCTCTCAGAGTGGGTCAAAGCTGAACATTTCTGTGAAGCAAATTGAGTGTCTTCAGCTGATTCAGGAAGCATGGCAGAGTGGACAGGATATTTATTAGCACATTGACAAGACAAAGTCAGACCAGCTACTATTGAGAATCATGCTTACCAAGGAATTTTATTCTCTGGTAAAAAGTTGGTATGAGGTGTATGTATCATGGCATTGGGCATCTTAGCGTGTATAACTTTCAGTGCATCTGACTCTTGGGGTGCATTGGTCCAAACTCTGGGTTGCCCTTGAATGGGGGGAACTCTGTCCTTCTGATATAACATTTTATGGTGCTCCATAGATTCTCACATCCTTTCTCCTATGTTGAATGACCTGCTTCCTATGTCTTGTTCTTTGTTGGCTTATTATTAAGTATTATTATTATTACTATTATCGTAGAGCTCATATTTGAGTCACTTCTTAAGAAAGGAAAAGGAGTGAACAATGAGAACACATGGACACAGGGAGGGGAACAACACACACTGGGGCCTGTTGGGTGGTGGGGTAGGCAGAGAGAGAGCATTAGGAAAAATAGCTAGTGCCTGGTGGGCTTAATACCTAGGTGATGGGTTAATAGGTGCAGCAAACCACTATGGCACACGTTTACCTGTGCAACAAACCTGCACATCCTGCCCATGTACTCCTGAACTAAAAATAAAAATTAAAAAAAAAGAAATGATAAGAGGGAAGTGAATTTTTGAATCTTGAATGTTTGAAAATATCTTTATTGAAATATCATATTAATTGCTAGTTTGCCCGGGTTTAGACTTTTAGATCAGAAATAATTTTCCTTCAAAATTTCAAAGGCATTTTTCAATGTTTCCTTTCAGGGTTATTGTTGAGAAACCTGATGCCATCCCAATCCTCAATTCCTTATCCCCTCATTTGAAGCTTATAGAATTGTGATTTCACTGTGCTGGAAGCTCACTAGGTCCTTTACATCTAAAAACTCTTGTCATTCACTTCTAGGAACTTCTTTTGAAATATTACAGTGGTAATTTTCTCCTTTCTCACTGCTGTGATATCTCTTTCTAGAACATCTGTTATTTGGATATGGGATGTTCTACATACTTTGTTCTACTTTACAGTATATTCTCTTAACTTTATCTTACAACTCTTCAATTGATATTTTCATTTTATTTCCTGCTTATTATTTGAATTTCTAAGAACTCATTCAAAATGATGGGAATATTTTTCTTATGTGTTATTCTCTTTTTGTTTCATGTCTGCATTACCCTATCCCTCTGAGACTATGAATCATAGCTTTATGTTCCTTTTTTTGGTCTTCTTTTGGCATGGTCTCTATTTTCTCCTAGTTCCTCTTTGTTCTGTTTGTCCTTTGGGTCTCTGTATTCTATTTTAGAGTGGCTTCTTTATCTTAGAGGCTTTCCTTTAACTCTGATATCCAGTAAACCTAGGTACCTGTTCATGATTAAGAATGAACTACTCAGAGGTTTATTTGAAGCTCTCATTGTCTGGTATGTTGTCAACTTTCAGATTCGCAAGAGGAGAATGCTCCAGTGTCTTTGGTAATTTTTCCTTGTGCTGCTCAGATTTCCCAGAAAACCCTCCCACTCTTCCTCCTGTAACAGCAGAAATCTGACTGCCAGAGCAACTGTCTTGGAGATTAAACAGTCAGCATTATTTTTACATAGTTACTTATTTCCTTTGTTTTCAGTATGGTGCCCACACCCTCAACTGTGCTTGATGTCCCTAGAAACCTTCTGTTTTGCTTTTTACTTTTTTTTTTTAAGGGAATACGTATCAACAATTTTATGGTGCAGCAAACATCTTTTAGAGTCATGGAGTTGAAGAGAATGGCAACTAGTGGTCTACCTGATTCTTAGATGGCTTCACCCAAATATCTGTTACTTTGACCTCTTCCTTCCCTTTATCTGCCTCTCCTGGTTCCAAACATGACTGGGATGCCCCCTTCTGGGGCCCCTTGAGGATTTGAGGATTCTGTGGTGTAACTTGTGTTGGTTTTCAATTTTCTTTGATACTGACTTGTAATTTAACTTTCTCGGCTCTATCAAGTTACTTCTTATCCACTTGCTTTTGGCTTCTAAAATTTGGCTGCTGTTGTCTTCTTTTCTTTCTTCCCATTTGCAAGAGTTTGTTTCTACAAAAAAAAACATTGTTTATAATGAATTTAGTGGGTTTCATGGGGAAACAAAATTAATGTATGTGTTTAACCTGTCATCTTAACCAGTAACTCGGCTGGTGTAGTTTTAATGTTAAGCTTTCACCTATTTAACACATATTTCTTGATCTCTGTGGAGTGAAGAAGAACATCATCTCGCCTCCATAAATTCTAAGACAATTACTTTTGGCATCATTTAGATACCCTTTCCTTATTAAGTTTAGGATAGTCAAGCTTTCAAGCACTAAAAGTGCTGGGTAATAATGGTAATTAGCCAAATTGGGAAAATAAGGCCATCTCTCTACCTCGTAATTTCCTTTTTTCCCTCTAGGTTTAGCAGTACAATTTGAATTAAGACAAATTCAGATGTTCTCTAAACATATTAATCCCATTGCACCCCCAAATTATACACTTTTTCTTCTTCTAATGTTAAAATAGTTACTAAACCAGCGAATGTTCCTTAACCACACTTATGCTACGAGCCCCTTATCCAAACATTCTCTCAGTTTGGATGATTTCACCTCCTGAATATCTCCTGCATTTTTTCCTTTTGTATTTTCCCTGCTGCAAATCTCTCAAACCTACCTCTTTGATTGCTGTCAGACAGTTTTTTTTTCTGAATTACAAATATGACCATGTCACTTTCTTTTTTAACTCCCAAATGAATCTGTATTGCTTTAATAAAGTCTAAACTTAGAGCAGCATCAAAAGCTGTCAAAGATGCCCTAACTGCCCTCGTATTTTCAACCTCATTTTTCACCATGGCTTTCCTGGGTGCAGCACTTCAGTAAGAACACATGCAGGTGTGTGTATCCATGGCAGACTCCAGGCAATTTCATACTGCTGTGCCCTTACACATGCTGCTCTCTCTGCTTGGAGCATCCTCCTTGTGCTGTCTCCTCTGGTGACATCCTTCAAAACCAGGTTGGATGCCTCTAGGAATCTCTCACCAGCCCTCTTGAGGTTGGGCTCAGAGCCCCTTCTTTACCCATGGAGAGTCCTCTGCATTGGTGCATCCTGCATCGACATGGTTTGCCTGAGCTTCCATGCCCTCTTGGAGCCCCATGATTTTATTCCTCATGTCTTGCATGCTGCCTGACAGTGTAGAATGTTTCCTACTGTGAGAATATTGAATCTGAGGGCTGCCAACAGATGAATCTTTTCCCTTAGAGGAATGTTTTACCCATTTCCATAATTATTTCAGCCATTTAGATTTAAAATTCACTCACTGGCCTAGGATTAAGGTAACTTTAGTGTATTCCTTTTTTTTCTTTCCTTCTTTCTTTCTTTTTCTTTTTCTTTTTTTTTTTTTTTGAGACGTAGTCTCGCTCTGTCACCCCGGCTGGAGTGCAGTGGTGCCATCTCAGCTCACTGCAACCTCTGTCTCCCGGGTTCACACCATTCTCCTGCCTCAGCCTCCTGAGTAGCTGGGACTACAGGCGCCCGCTACCATGCCCAGCTAATTTTTTGTATTTTTAGTAGAGACAGGTTTTCACCGTGTTAGCCAGGATGGTCTCGATCTCCTGACCTTGTGATCCACCTGTCTCGGCCTCTTAAAGGGCTGGGATTACAGGTGTGAGCCACCATGCTTGGCCAACTTTGGTCTGTTCTTCATGAGCTGTTTAATTTCTCTGGGCCTCAGCTATGTCATTTTAATCATTATTTGTTTAGATTCATATAATTTAACTCTAGCATTGTCATCTTTCTCAAAATCCTTCTGTCTTTTCCTGATACTTGTCCCTCCAGCCCCATACATCCTTTTCTGGTGTTTCCTACATAAAGTTTGCTGCTAGCAAGCTCTCAATAAGTTCACCCAAGTTTTAGCTAATAATTTCAAATACACTCCCAAATGGATTTGCATTACTAGAAAGAGTTCTGGATGCTTGAAAAGTCTTATAACTCCAAAGATTAAAGCTTCCTATGGATGGGAGATTTCATAGTGCTCATTAAGGATATTGGGTGAAGGGGCTCTACTCTGGATCTTCTCCTCCCACCACCTAAATAACTGTACCACATGCCTTTAGGAGGGTGTGTGTGTGTGTTACAGAACATGGTCTCCAATTCTTTTGCTTTTATTTCCAGCCAATGAGCTCAGGGATGTGAGTTGGATAGAAACAGTCGGCTAGACTACCGTGAGATCTGAAGGATAGGTGTTTATTTTAGTACGTTTATTCAGAGAATAGCAGGCACCTAGGAAGGAAAACCGATTACAGAGATAAAAAGCAGTTAGGATCTCTCGGAAGGATAGGAATTCATGTGCATTCAGAAAGAAAAAAAAACAGTTGTTCTTGTGTGTGTAAGGAAAATCATCTCTGTGGAAATAGGTTGTTTACGTTTTCAAGTCGGCAAATTCCCTTCACAGCCACACCACGTATCAAATAGAGAAGGGAGACTTTTTTTTTTGGTCCCTGGTGTGCACAAGGAGGATCCCTTGAGATGCATCCTCGTGGAGCAGGAAAGATCATAATAGCAATAATGACAACAATGCATCAATTGTTCTCAAAGGCATCTATGGGGCAGAGTATGCTTTTCAAAGGACATTCACTTCTATTCCATCCCATTTGATCATTATGACAACCGCAGGAGGGAGATAAGATGGGTTTCATTATCACCATTTCACAAGTAAGCATCCTGAGATGGGGACAATGTAGAGTTATTTTTCTGGAATCACAGAGCTAGCTAGTGGCAGCTTTGGAGCCAGAGCCCAGTTTTTTCTAAGAATTTCTGTCACATAAATGGATTATGTGTACTGCATGAACACAGAAATGCCCAGGATGTGGAGAAAGCCCAAACCTCTCTCTTACTTGGAAGTCTGGATCAGTGGTTCTGGGAATTCGCAGATTTGCCTGGCAGTTCTCTTAAGAGGACACAGAAAGGCCAACTGGGAAATCCCTTAACACTAGTTCATTGATACCTTGACTATCTTAGCCAGGAGAATTGGTGTTTTTATTTTCCCTGGCTAGCTGTTGGGTTTGTAAATCTCCAGAGATAAATTAAGGATTTGTTCAGTGGCCTTGAATGAATCATGAATTGTTTCATAATTGTTTCTTTATGCAAAGAAGAGCAGAAGGGAGTATTAGTGGCCTGGTTCTTTGGACGGTGTGTCTACTGACCTGGTATCCAAGGGATGTGTTTGCTCTGCTTGATGAACAGAGAAGAAAGAAGAGGAAAGGAAAGCAATGCTCAGCTCTTCCATGTAACACAGACTACTCTGCATTTGTTATCCCATCAGCTCAGAATGTTAGGTGGCAAGGGTTTTGGAGATCTAGTGCAAACCCCTCACTCAGAGAAGGGAATTGAGACTCACAGAGCTGAAGTGTCCACCTAAAGTCCAGGGAACCAGTTAACAACAAAGCTGAGACTGGAATAAAAAAGCCAATAGGACTAGTTTCTAGCTACCATTTTCTTAGAATCTCCTTTGTGCTTGCTACAGTGATGCACACTTGTGTATCTGTTGCTCTATTGTTTCTTACATTCCCCAAAATTGAGTCCTATTATTCCAGTGTTTTAGTGAGGGTAAGTTAGGCTAGTTTGAGGTAACAAAGTAGCACTGCAATCTCAGAATCATTAATATAACATAGATTTATTTATTGTTCTTGCTACTAATTTAGCGTAGATTAGTGGGTGACAGATGCAGCATGTATGGAAGTGCTTCTTCTTGTCACTGCCACCAAAGGACCCAGACTGAGAGAATGTCCAACTTGCAGTAGGTGCACCCGAGAGCACACATCTCTGGGTTTGCTGGGGCAAAAGAAGAGAATTCCCTTCTCTGTCGTTAGGCCCATAAGAGCTTCACATCGCTTTTTCTCATAGCCCCTTGATCAGATTAGTCACACATACCCATCCAACTGCCAAAGAGCTGAGAAGTCACTGTCTTCCTGTCCTTCAAAGGAGATGAGGACAGACACTGAGGAACCTGAGAGATGACAGCCACTTTGATCTTCTTGCTTCTACTCATAACCTTTAATTGCCACATAGCAGACAAAGTGATGTTTTTAAAATAAAAATTGTATTTTATATATATAAATATATTTATAATTATGTTATATTACATGTTTTATTTATAACTGTATATTACATATAAATTATATTTATAATTATACACATAACTATTGATACAATATATTAAAAATATATTATAAACACATAATTACATATATACAATTATATATAACTTCTAGGAAAAGTAAATTCATATATATACATACACACACATATATATATACATAAATTCATTATTATTTCACAGCTCTGATGGAAGTTCCTTCCGACTGTATTTCCTTCCTATCATCTTAAGATAAAAGACAAGCCACTGTGCCATAAGGCCTCTAGGCCTGTGTGGCCTGGCCTTTTCTATTCTCATGCTTCAGTCCCCTAAACGTGTGCTGTAGCAGGCATGCTTTCTTCCAGTTCTTGCATATTCCAAGTGCTTTCTTTGCTCAGGTTCTTGACCCCTGCTTTCTTTTTGCTTGGCTAATTCTTATGCAGCTTTCACGTTTCAGCTTCAGTGTCATCTCTGACCTGCTCTACGTTCCATGCACGTAGAGAGCATGGGTATTTTGTTCTCCATTATAGATTCAGCACATCATACTGCACCTGGCACAAAGAATATACTCAATAAATATTTGTTTATATTAATTAACAAATTAATAAATATTTGTTAAATGATTACACGCAAGAATGAATGATCAGAGGCCTCCCATATACAGCACTATATGTAGTCTTCTAAAGCACATTGACATAGCCATAACAGATAAATCAGTCACTTAGAACAGCAACCATTTATATTCTTTTATATTCTTAGCAATATTATTATGATAAAGATGCCCACATTGCAGGTAATGATAATTCCAAGTGTTCGCAATTCATCACCTGCCTACTGGACATTTTCAGCATACAACATATTATTATTTTTAGTATTAAAGTACATAATAGGAATGGAAATCTAAGGTTTGAGTAACAGGAAATGTGCAACATATTTTCAAAGACAGATACCACCAATTCAGCCTCTCTCATGAGACCAATGGAGTGATATTTTCCAAATAAGGTATCAAATGCAAAGTGACAAAGGATTTTTGCATCATTTCCAAATGTGGACCAGTACTTAAGAAGAGTAGTTTTAACTCCCTACATTGACATAGCTAAGGCAATTTGATGGTTCGGAAGGACAATGGCATGGAATATGTATAATTAGAACTGTCATGGAGAATCTGAGACAGATTGTTGTCATCTAGTCAGATCTCAACAGAAGAAAAGTGATTGGAAGCCTGATATACCTATTTTAAAAGGTACAATGAGTGGTATAATTAAAAAGGTTGGGTATAAGCTTGACGAAGTTAGCAGATACTCATTAAAACCATTTCAGTAATTCCTATAATAATACTGGCCATGGTTTTAAAGTCACCTAGTGAAAGTCATTATATTGAAATAATTAAAGAAAAACTTCATATTGTGTTTCCTTGGCAATAGAACATTCAGATGGAGCCACACTAAATATTTTTCTATTTATTGCAGCCATCTCCTTAATGACACTTTTCAGCACATATTATACATTAAAATTGTTTATGATATTTTGTTATTGCTGAATTTGATTTAATTACATCAGGGCTTAAGGAAAAGGAGTCTAAACTGAGAGAGTTCATGAAGACTTCGTTTTCTAACAGTTTAGCGAAAGGTCTTTCAATTCCCTTGCCTCTGCTTATACGCCTCCTGCTCCCCACTCCTAAAACCATACATAAAATGGTATTGTCCAATCTCTTCTTAGTCTTACCTTCACTAAAGGCTGTGAACTGCCTTCAGAAATATACTCGTAAAACTTACACAGACTCTCATTAGGAAGCTGCTACCCTCCACTCCCGTCACAGCTTAACTCCAATCTCTTTGGTCTTTTAAATACCTTGTTTCCTCTCCATCTTTAAGAGACAAATAGATATATCTTTCAAGAATGTTTCAAATGAGAACTCATAACTTTCTTGAGGGAATTCTCTTGCCCACTTGGAAAATAGCTTCTCTGGCAGGGGTTGTGATTTCCGATGGGGGCGAAGTCACGGCTTTTCGCAACTACTCTGTATTTTTGTTTTAAATGTACAGGAATCTCTTCTAAAGTTCAGATATAGACTTATACTCCCCTGACATACTCGGGGGGTCTGGATATTTTCGGAGGTTGAAGCATTCATATTCCATCCAGTGGTTTGTATGAAAGTAGAGTCAGCGTGATCAACACTGGACACTGGGAGGTGACTCTTGGACAGCCAAACCTCTCCTTTCTGTGCCAGCTTCCCCCTTAGGAAGACCCTACTATACCATTGTCAGGAATTCCGGAATTCCATACTCCCTTCCTCAAAACCCCCCTTTTTCCTGAAATCCACTCTCAGGAAAACAGGTAAGCTCCTTTCAATATACAAATGAATCATCAGATCTTATACTCTAGCTTTCCTGCAGATATTTGAGTAATTGCAGAAGGCTAAGCTTTAAGTTAAAGAAGTTAATCTTTGTCATTTATAATAGAAAAAAAATAAAAGCAAATGACTAACAGGGAAGAAATTAAGTAAGTTATTACTTATACCTGATGGCATGTTACCAAAGCACATTGACAGAAAGTTTAAATTTTTTTCCTATAAAATTATTAAACATTTAAAACTTGTAGAATATTAATGGCAAAACATGCTTATGCCATATGTTGAGCAAACACAGGAGGAAAGAGTATAATACGATAAAAACTATTTAAAATGTCACAGAAAAAGACTAGAAGTGAATAGTTGCTTTTGAGTAATGGGATTATGGTTTTTATTTTAATTTAAAACATCCCTTTATTATTTTTTGTAACAGGGAAAAATGTAAGTGTAAAATAAAGAATGGATTCTCAATGGGAGATTTTTTTTAAAAAACCAGTTTCTGCTTGAATATATATACATACAGTTTTTTTTCTTTCTTTCTTTCCTTTTTTTTTTTTTTTTGAGATGGAGTCTCACTCTGTCTCCAAGGCTGGAGTGCAGTGGCGCGATCTTGGCTCACTGCAACCTCCACTTCCCGGGTTCCAGTGATTCTTCTACCTTAACCTCCTGAGTAGCTGGTATGACAGGCATGTGTCACCATGCCTGGCTAATTTTTGTATTTACAGTAGAGATGGGGTTTCACCATGTTGGCCAGGCTGGTCTCGAACTCCTGACCTCAGTTGATCCACAAGTCCCAGTCTCCCAAAGTGCTGGGATTACAGGCATGAGCCACCGTGCCTGGCCGAATATCTTTATCTACTAACACCTACACTCCTTATTTGGTGGGGAATGGCATACCAGTTCTCCCCACATGCTTTCCAGAAGGCTGATTGAGTGGAACACTTGGAGCTGATGACTTGGATTTACATAAGTCTCATCTTACTAACACATCAAGGCTTTTGGATTTAAACCTCTTCAGCATCCTCTGTATCCCTAAGGAATGCAGTTTCTGCCCCTCTTATCCCTGAGTATAGAGGAGAATAAAGCTTTGGCATCAAATCGCCTTCAGTTGTGGTTGAATCCACCATTTGCTAGCCGTGTGACCCTGGGTGTCTACTTAGGCAAGGAAGACAAGCTTTCTTATCTGTAAGGTGGTAATCTGGTGAAATAAAAATGAGAAAATCTATGTTAAAAAATTCTTAGCACAGATTCTCAAACACGAATAGTTACTTAATATCTCATGACTCATTATTGCACTATGCCTCCAAAACTGAATGTGCCTCATAGTGTGGGTTTTATCAAGATTGGGATCTGCCTCTCATTTCTTAGGATGAGATCTTTCTTAGGAATACCTGTGGCTCTATTTCCTCCTTCCCCAATCATGCCTGAAACCTTGGATTGGCAAAGTCCTGCTTCATTCAAATAAGCCCTGGGTTTGCTCAAGAGAACAGTGGCTTATCTTTTCCAAGTTAATAGAATACAATTTAAATTACGTTTTCACCACAAAGACTGAGTTAATCCTGCTAGAGGCTTTTTCCATTTCCTGACCAATACGATTTGGCACTGGAGGAGACTATGGTATGTTAATAACAGTATTAATTGTTAAAATTCACTTGTTACAAAGTTTTCATTGTCTTGGTATCATTATAATTTTCCTTTTATAAGGAGAATCGACTTAAATCACTTGGCTGCTCTTTGTTCTTCCTGTTTGCTAAGCACTGGCGACGTCTTGTTTTCAGCACTTAACTGAGTGCACATCTCAGCTCTCACCTAAAGCCTTTGCCAAGGGGCTAATTTCCAACATTGACAGCATCCTCCACTCCTGCGTCCCTGAAGCAAAGCTAAAGAAAAAGTAGGAAATAGCAAGAGGGAAGAAGTAATTTCCTTCACTTCTTTCTGAGTCTGTTCATTCCTTCTTGGAATTCAGTTGAGGGTTAACTGTCTTCTCCTTTCCTGCGAATGCTTCACGCCGCCTCCTGGTGACCAAATAAAGCCATACTTTTTTTGCTGTCTTTGGAAATATTCTTCATGGCTCCTGTGGGCTGTGGGAGCAGGAAGCCAACAAAAGATAAGGTCTCAAATCTCTTCAAACAGTCCTCACACTTGCTCTGCTGCCAAGTCATTAAGCAAGCAAACTCCTCTCCCATACGGGCTGTTAACTTTTATTTGTGTAGTGCTGCTTTTAAACATGGCTGGCCTGAACTCTTTTTTTTTTTTCTCCTTGTATTGAGAAGAAACTGCCCAGCATCTGCTTTGATCACTGCAATGTCTGCTAGTCTACTAGACTTTTGGCCTATCTCAGATGACTCTTTGAATGTAGCTTGTTTTTTTTGTTGTTGGTGGTGGTGGTGGTTGTTTTTGTTTGTTTGTTTAGCCTCATTCATGTATTCATTCATTCAGGATTCATTTTTCTAATTCAACAAATTTATTTTAATCAGCTAGTATTTGACCATTCTAGATGTTAGGTATATATCAGGGAATATAGCAGTTAAAAAAAAAAAAGAAAAAATCCTTGCCCTTCTAAAGCTCACTGTCCAGTAGGGGAAGGGAGCTATGCAAGTTACTGCATATAGTGTGCCATAATGTGGTTAAGTGCTTTGGGGAAAAAGTAGAACAGGGTAAAGAAGATCAGAAGAATCAATGGGAGAGGTCTATCATTTTAAATGAAGTGGTCAGGATGGGTTCCATTGAGAAGTGAATGTGAGTCAAGACTCAAGGAACTGCAGGCATGAGCCAAAAAGCCCCACGAGGCAAGAACGCTTCAGATCCTGTGGGAGGAAACCAAGACATAGAAGCTTTTGTTCATATTCTTGGCAGTATGAGTCATTGGGGGAACACAGACTAATAAAGTATGTTTCTTGCCTTCAAAGAGTTTATAGTCTAATATAAGAAACAGGTCCAAAATAGGCAATTTCAGTAGACTGTGATTGATAAAACACTTGGCTAAGGATGCTTTAGGGGCATAAAATGGTCTGAAGAAGGTGATATTGTTAATGGCTTCTCTTTGTCAGCATTTGTTAAATGGCCTTTTGTAGAGTATAGACCACTAATTACAGAAAATAAGAGTCATTGGGGGGACTCAAATTTGTTTAGCAAGGTCTATATAAGTTAAATGATATAATAATATATTAAAATTTATACATTAAGCGTAATAATTAAGTGCTCAATTTATTGATTATATTTATATAAGCTACTACATAGCAATATATTATTAATTTATATTTAGATTGTCTCAATAGGATTAATTCATAGATTGATTATTTTAATGTATGGATTATGTAAATGTAGTTCATTATGTTTATGTCAATATATTAAATTTTTTTTTTTGAGGCAGAGTCTTGCTCTGTCACCACACTGCAGTGCAGTGGCGAGATCTTGGCTCACTGCAACCTCCGCCTTCTGGGTTCAAGAGATTCTCCTGCCTCAGCCTCCCAAGTAGCTGGGATTACAGGCGCCCGCCACCATGCCCAGCTAATTTTTGTATATTTAGTAGAGACGGGGTTTCATCATGTTGGCCAGGATGGTCTGGATCTCTTGACCTCGTGATCCGCCCACTTCAGCCTTCCAAATTGCTGAGATTACAGGTGTGAGCCACTATGCCAGGCTCTCAATATATTAAAATATTTGTTAAGTAATATGAAATTAATGTATTTTGTAAATTAAATCATTAAATAATTGATAATGAGATTTTGTGTATTTAATTACATTTTATATAAGTTAATAAATTTTAAATATTATAATTAATTTCACTTTCATTTTAACTACTTTTACAGTGGCCACTAGAAAATTTGAAATTACACATGTGGCTGACACTTTATTTCTATTTGTCAGCACTGGTCTTGATTCACTGAACAGATGGCTGGCTTCCTAGTTCCTTACCTCTTAGCATTCCAGAATGAACAAGGTTACCCCAGGTCACTGAGGGACACTGTTGAGGAGAAAAAGTTGGATTCATTGAGATCAACATACAATGTCTTTCCAACTGCCTTACCTTCTTCTTAGTAACCTGATGAGTACTTCTCATGCAGGGGATTTAGATAAAACTTTCTTAGACTTTCTGTGTGAACTGTTAGCAGGTACATGAATTTATGTGATTCTTCATTCTTTTTGCAAAAAAACAGTCTAAGTTTTACCCACTCTATAAAGTCTGTTCTCTATTTTTCAGCCGCTTGTGGTGTTCATTTACCATTCAACACAGGTTAAGCACTGCTACTGCTGATTATTATAATAATTATTATTTTGCGATAGTTTTGGTTTTACCTGCAAGAAAACTCAGTCTAGTTTTGGATTTCTTTATACCGCAACCCATGGAGCAAATGTTACTCATGTAAAACTCTCAATGAGTGTCTTTTATCTTTGCTGCTGCCATTTCATTACCTGGGACATTTGTGCCTTGAATTGTGTATGAAATTCTACTTTAAAACAGATTCCTGGTTTATATACTCATATTGATGGTCTCTATTTTATTCCTTGGAAGCAGTTCTGTGTTCTGTTTCCTCTGTCCCCACCCACACTATACAGTTCTATCATTCCATTCTTGAGAGTCATAATTCAGCATTCCCCCCTGTATCAGTCCATTTTTTCATTGATATAAAAATACCTGAGACTGAGTAACTTATTAAAAAAAAAGAGTTGTAATTGGCTCACAGTTCTGCAGACCGTGCAGGAAGCATGATGCTGGCATCTGCTTCTGGGGAGGTCTCAGAAAGCTTCCAATCATGGCAGAAGGTGAAGGGGGAGCAGGTACATGACTTGGTGTTGAAAGCAAGAGCAAGTGGGGAGGTACCACACAGTTTTAAATGACCAGATCTCATGAGAACTCACTCACTATTGCTAGGACAGTACCAAGAGGGATGGTGCCAAACCATTCACGAAAAAATCATGATCCAATCAGCCTCTGACCAGGCCCCACCTCCAACACTGGGGATAACATTTCAATGTGAGATTTGGGCAGGGATAGATAGCCAAACTATATTACTCATGCAGCCAAACACCCTCGCTGGTCAATCTCCTTACAGTGGGCCTGAAGCTCTGAAATGTTTTTCTGGTCTGAAGATTTTGAATCTTCCCTTGACAGAACAGTCAAGCCATACTACTCAATTTTAAAGTGGCTGGTGACATCCGTATCTCCTAAGGCAAAGTGTTCTAGTTAATGATTTGCCACTTCTGCTAGGTGTGCACACTTAATTGAGGCTCTGTATGAGTCTGATGCTGAGATTAGAAGTCCAAAAGTCACCAGAAATTATTACCTGGCATAACCTCGTTTTCTTAATTACAAAGAAAAATTAAATATCTTCTTTCCTTGGCTAACAAAATAGAGAATGTATGTGGGCCATAGGCCTGGGAAATTTAAGATGTGATCTGTCTGTTGGATTTTATTCTTATTCTGATCCCCAGACTTCTCACTAAGGAGAGAGAAGTCCATTTATTAGCTCTGGAAGGCAACATGATTCTGTGGTAAAAGCATGGATTTTAGAGTCAGATACATTTTAAATCCCAGCTTCATTGCACACAGCTGTGTATCAGCCCCGCATCATGTGTGTGCGGTAGCACAAGGCCCCATCAAAACAGGCAGTGCCCCTGTGGTTTAATGCCCTGCAGTTGCTGCTTTGAGATTCTTCATAATTTTACTTTCGAATTTGTGGTTCATAAGTGAAGCCCAATGGGACGCTGGAGCAAGCCCTGGGTCGCTGGCCTTCTCACCTCCTGCTACTTCCACCCCTCCAGGGAACCACTTTGCTGCTCCTCCACTCCTGCCCAGTCACGGCTGCTGCTGCTGCCCCTGCAGGGTCTGGATGCAGGCATGGGAGGCATCGGGGTTGGCACCTGCTCCCAGGGAGTGTGACATTAAATAGCAAACAAAAGCACACCATGCAGGTCAAGAGGGAGACCACAGAAGAAAAGAAATAGCTTTTTTTTTTTCCTTTTTCCATAAAGCAGCTGCATTTTGATTTTGTCCTGGGCATCACAAATTTTGTAGCTGACCCTAGCTGTACAACTCTAGGAATGTTCCTTAGCCATTTGATTTTCTGTGTATCCATCAGAGTAATGGTTCAAGCAGAAAAGCACCCTAAGATATGCCTGTGTGTATGTGTTTATAAATATATAAATATTTGTGTGGATGTGTACTTATGCATATATGTGAGTCCAGTGCATACATAGGTGACATAAGACTTCAGAGATTGTTTAACTGCTTACAACAATAGTAGTATACCTTTACCAGCACAGGGCAGAATGGCTGTAAGAACTTCAAGGTTGCTGAACCTGTCACTGTGGAAGAGTGTAGAAATGGACCACTGGGCAGATATTCCCTCTTTAGGGGAGCACAGCTACTGCCACACTTTGACCCAGCAGGGGTGGGCTGGTGATTGCATTCACCGACTTTTCTCCTCTGATTCTCTCACCTCATGCTGGTGCCTTCTTCTGATAGAAAAAGGACCAGCAGCCCCACTGCAGGGACCACAGTTGACGTGGTCCCTGGAGGCCAGCCTTCCAGGGATGGAGTGGGGTGAGGAGGTTGGCTAGTAGATCTGTAGGGCAAATAAAGAATGCCCAGCTCACCTTTAGCAGGGTTGCTTTGAAGATTACATAAGATGAAATAAGTAAAACCCTTTATAACTGGAAAGACAGAGGCATCTATTATTACCGTTAAGATGATTCATCTCTATGGAGAAACTGGAGCAAGTTTGAGTTCAGGTAGTGGGATTGGAAGAGTAAAGAAAGTTCTGCGGCATTCCTGATTCCGTCATAGCACCATGCTCAGAAATGGTGATGTCATGTTAAGGTACAAAATAAAATTCCAGTGACACAGCCTCAAAATTAGTAACACAGAGATGGGGGTGTTGCGACATCTGGGTTCTCATTCTGGCTCTGACACCTTTCTGCAGAACAATCACACAAGTCACTTGCCTCCTCTCCTCCCCTCCTTACTCGTCTTTGAGAAGGGCGGGCTAGTTACAGGCTGCTTGTGAGGATTGGAGAGATATCTAGAAACTGCTCTGATACAAGCCACAGCTTTTATGAGCGAGTCTTTTCCTGGGCCAAGCATGGAAATCTAGGTTGGTGGGTCTCTGAAGCAGTTGGTTGTCCCTAAACAGCGACTTCATTTCCGGAGCTACTTTTTAAGTGTTGGTGAAAACACAAATAACTGGAGACTGTGAAGTCTTTTAGCGCCGGGACCTGTGGGGCAGTAACCTCCAACAGGTAGAGTGAAATGACATCCTTTCTCTCCACGCCTGAGTGTTCCTATGGCACCAGTTGCTTGTAATGGGTGAAGAAAAAATTGAACTCGTTTCTCCTGAGACACACATACGAAAGCTGACTCTAAGAAAGAAAAACTGAAATGTGGACCATCTTATTTAGTTCCAGTTAAAGAGAGATGTGTTTAAAGCACTCTGATGTGTGGCCTTAAAAAAGGATGGGGCTGCCTCTTAAGGCGGAATCACACGAGCACATAGAAATAAAAATCAAAGCAGTTATCATATTTAATTTTCTTACTGACTAGATTCATTTTGCATTAGCAGGGGATGGCGAAGGAGAGGGACTGGGAATGCATTATGTTCTTATTTGGGTCATTTCCTTGTGCTTTGGGGAACTTTCTCTTGTCAGCGTGCACATGCATGCCGGGGGTGGGCGTGAGCTGGCCCCATGCACTCACTGGCTTCTTTCTCGGTGTCGTATGACCCAGGAGGGAGTCTGCAGCATGGGGTGATTCTCCACATAGAGAGTCATTCACCACTCTCAACCCCGTCTCCAGGTACTTCCTGTGTTCATTTGAGAAGAGGCAGCTGACTTAAAGCCTCATTTCTAAGCAGACTATTAGAAAACATGTCCGCATAACCTGGAGCGGCAGCTCACGCCTATAGTCCCAGCATTTTGGGATGCCAAGGTGGGCAGATCACGTGGTCAGGAGTTCAAGACCAGCCTGGCCAACATTGGGAAACCCTGTCTCTACTAAAAATACAAAAATTATCTGGGCATAGTGGTGCACACCTGTAGTCCCAGCTACTCAGGAGGCAAGGGCAGGAGAATCACTTGAACCCAGGAGGCGGAGGTTGCAGTGAGCTGAGATTGTGCCACTGCACTCCAGCCTGGGCGACAGAGTGAGACTGTGTGTCAACAAAAAAAAAAAAAAAAAAAAAAGAGAGAGAGAAATAAATAAAAAAGAAAACATGTGGGTACAAACAGGAAGAGAGAGGGCGAGAGGGGCATCCTGGTTGGAGACAGCTGGACTCACACATGCACTTTGTAGCCACTCACCATAAAGGCAGCCCCAAAGGCTCTGAGAGCTGGAGGGGGTGTAAGAGATCCTATCCTGGAAAGCTCCCATTTCATACACAGGCAGACAGCCTGTGAGGTGAATGGGGTGACGTGGGGCTGGAAGAGAAGGGCAAGGGTCAAAGGAAAGCATTTTACCTCCTTTAGAAACCATCATGCCCCCAAACCTAAAACTTAGGGACCACCGCTGCCTTCATCCATTTGTCACCTAATTCTCTAATATTCCAGTCTTAGTATCTTTTGAGCCCATTTTATTCTTGCCCTGTCTATTGCCACTGCCTTAGCTTCTGGCCTCCCTCATTTTTCATTTAAATGACTGCAAGTCTTCACCCTCAGCTTTCTAAAATGCAGGTCCGGAGACTTTACTGTTCTTGCTATATTTCCTCAACATTCCCACACCATTCTCAAGACAAATCCCAAGGGTGTGAGCATAGGACAAAGGGCCCTCTCCATGATTTAACTGGCTTTTAAGACTCCAGTTGCACCACATTACATATTTGCCAGGCACAGTTCTAAGTTCTTTACAAATGTTAGATCATTTACTCCTCAAATAACCTTGGGTGATGTGTATTTTTATTGTCTCTACAGAGGAGAAAACTGAGACACAGAGAGGTTCAGTGATTTTCCAAAGGTCACACAGCCAGTAAGGAGCAGGGCTGGGACTTCGACCAGACATCTGCTGGCAGAGTCGGTGCTTTTAGCCCTGGCACCTGCTGGTGTGGAGTGCTCTGTATGAATCAGACCCTTCCTCACCTCTGGCACTGTACACAGGCTGTTTCCTCACTTTGAAGCAACCTTTGCTCCTTTCTTTGCCTGAGCATATTCTGTTTGTTTTTCCAGATTCACCTCAAGTACCACACAGTGTCTTTCATAAAACAAGACCCTGTCTTACTTGGTTTCTGTGACACATTATACCAGATTGAAATTACTGATTAATTTGTCTGTGTTTCCCCAGACAACCTGTGTGTCTCTCAAGGTTAGGGACAGTTTCTACCTTTCTCTCACTTGCAACTGAATCATGGGGGCACGGAATGAAGGATGGTGCAAATGGTCTTTCAATTCTTGTCTCTGACTGTTCAGATCAGACGAGTTACTTATCTCTGAGATGCTTTTTATAATAGAGGTAAACAGAGTTCTTCCTACAGCACAGCTATTGTGAAAAGCAAGTTAAATGATGACTATAAACCCATAGCCCTGGTCTGGCACATAATAGATACACCACAAAGCCCCCTCTGTTGAGTCAGTCTGGTGTCCTTGCAATCCATCCTCCACTACACTCATTTTTTTCTAAGCTCATTTCTCCATCTGGACTCATGCTTGCTATCAAGGATGATCTCCCCACTTCTACCATCACAATTATAAAAATTCAAATCCACCTGTCCACTAAGCCTTCCTTAACTGTGTAGCTCGCTTTGGTCTCTCCCTGTTTCCTAAAACATATTCTCAGTGTCAACATTCTCTGGAATGGTCCCCATCATGCCCGCTGCCCCCCTGCCTGAAAATTTTGACTGTGGATTTATGTCTCTTATATTCTCAATGAGGTTGTATCCTCTCAAGTGATCAAGGCTATAATTTTTATTTCTTTACCATATTTACAACTCTAGGAGAATGACACGTGTTCTCCAAATAGTAAATACTTGCAGAGCTAAAGTGAATTGAAGTGAATTCCTTTCCCAGGTACTTTGCTGCCTCCTAGTGTTGTGGTGAGGCTCCAGGCTGAGAGAAGTTTCCTCTGAGCTCCAGCTCAGCCAGCACCCTTCTGAGTGATGAACACTGTTGCAGACCATAGACCTGAGACAGCTGGCTGCGGTTTGACACAGTTTAGAAGATGCTACTACATCAGAGGCCTCTCTTGTCCATTGGGTCCCTTGTAGTGGACCCCTTTGCTTTACTCCTGAACTGAGTATCAGTAGGGCATCTGTGCAGGGCTTTTAAAGACTTCTTTCCTCTCTCAAATACCTCCCTTCTTCCCAGTTTCTGACCTGGTTACTGTTTGGAGTTTTTAATTCCCTCTGATCTTAAGGTTATATTGCAGTTCATGTTAACATTCAAATACTATTGAGAAAAATAAAACATAAATTTTCCAGTTATCTAGATTGTAAATGAATTTATGATCCTGACGAGAAAAAGGCATGAAAGGTACCCACTCTATGAAAAAGTAAAATGGGGCCACGTTAATGAGACAGAAAGCACAAGAAGCAGAAAGCCTTGTGTATGTCATAGATTAACCAGAAGTTGTTTCGGCTAGGTACCGGCAGAGACAACATGGTACAGTGGAAGGAACATGGATTTTGGTGTAAACACTGAATTCAAATCCCAGCTTTTTCAGCTGTTAGCTCTGTGGTGTGTTAAGTCTCTCAGATCCTCAGTTTTGTTGCCAGTGCAGTAGGGCAGCGATGCGTAGCTCAGAGTGTGTCATGAGGATTGGATGAGACAATATATGCCAAGGCAATTAATACGATGCTAAGGGGTTTGTGTTTTTGAAATGCAAAGAGTTTAGTTTTGTATTGATTCCCATTACAAGTTTGCTCCTGTATTTTCCGGCTGTCTAGTCCATTCACACATCTTCATCTCTTAGGGAAAAGACATGGTGTCTTTAATGTTCTCTGAATTAGCACAGTGCCTGGCACTTAGGGTTGTAGTAACAATTATGGAATAAACGTAATGCCTACAGCTAAAGATGCTGAAACTCTGTGACTTTCCATTATACATTCTTTTTTCTTTCTCTTTTTCTTTTTTTTTTAGACCAAGTCTTACTCTTATTGCCCAGGTTGCAGTGCAGTGGCCCCAACTTGGATCACTGCAACCTCCGTCTCCCAGGTTCAAGCAATTCTCATGCCTCAGCCTCCCGAGTAGCTGGGATTACAAGTGTCCACCAACACACCTGGCTAATTTTTTTATTTTTAGTAGAGATGGGGTTTCACCATGTTGGCCAGGATGGTCTCGAACTCCTGACCTCAGGTGATCCACCCACCTTCGCCTCCCAAAGTGCTGGAATTACAGGCGTGAGCCACTGCACCTTGCCCATTATACATTCTTTCTATTCTCAGTTTTTATCTTTAATATTTTAGAGTCGGAGACTAATGACTCCCACATCAGCACCCCAATTAAATAGACTTTTTCCTGTTTATCACCTTTCCTTTAATTTCCTCATTCAAAGCATTATTCAGTTGTCCTCTCCTCTTGCTGCTTAAGCCTCTCACCAGCTCTCAGTCAATGCTCCCAGATGCAGCTTTCATTGCATGTGATGTTGTTTAATTTCACTTGTCTTATCTATAATCACATCAAGCCATTTATTTGTTAATAGGCTGTTTGGTGGCTTCACAGTTGGAATTGCTGTACATCACATTTCATTTCCACAAGGACATCCTTTATGCCGGTCTGCCTTATGTGGCATTCGTCTCTTCCTCTTGCCAGGCTGGGCCAGCTTCTCCCGCTGTACCTTCCACATCAGCTGTTCATTTTCCCCCTGCTGCTGTCACTGATAATTTCCAGGTTAAATCTTATAAGTGGAAATTGGATCCACAGCTGGAGTTGAAACGCAGCTCCTTGGAGTTATTACCACAGTCTGTTCCCGGGTAGGTGGGAAAGTTGAAGATGATAGATTTCCAGTGCCTGGGAATAACAATGCTGTCCCTCTAACCACAACTAAGGTGAGATTACTTTCCCCTGGGGAGAGCGATATTTTTACCTTTTCACTCTGAGTTTACATCAGGGGGATTCAAGAGAGGCGAGTGGTTTTTCAGTAGTTTTCTGTTATTTTATGAGAGATGAGTTAAAGTGATAATGTAGGCTGGACAGCAAATAAGTTATAAGTGATTGACCAGCCTTTTAGGCTGTCAGCTATCTCAAATAGAGGCTTTCTTTATTTTTTTTTCCACAGTAGAAACATTTGATTTATTTGATTCAAACAGTAGAAGTATGAGAGGATCAAATAAATAGGTTTGTTCAAGAAAAAAAAATATTTTAGTATTTCATGCTTTCAAAGCCTATGCCATAACCTTTGAATTATTCAGCAATAATTAATTCAACAACTATTTACTGAGCAGCTTCCACTGTTTCAGGATTGGAAATATCAGCGCAATAGATCACACAAGATTCCATCTTTTTGAAGCTGGGCTTCTAGTGGACAAGACTGATAATAACAAGACAAGATACATAAGATGATTTCCAATGTACTAGGAAGAAAAGAAAACAGGAAAATGTGAGACCATCTTGGGTGAGATCATCAGGAACAACTTTTCATAGGAGAGTTGATGTTAGTGAATCCATAATTGCTAAAGGAGATTTGAGTAATTAAAAGGGGTCCGGGTTGATCTATATCTCTATTTCTTTTCTCTCCATCCCATGCTTTCCTCTCTGACCCACCCCAGCCCCTAGTAACCATCCTGAGGTCAGAAATATCAAGATACCTTAAGGGGCTTTCTCCTTAAGATGTCAACAACATCCACTGAGGACTGAATAGAAGATGCCAGCGCTTGGCTCAGGTGCAGGGGATGGCAAGAGCTGAGCTCTGGGCTGTGAGGAGTTCTGGTTCTGGTCTGGCCTCATCACTGGGGCTGTGTCACCTTGGGCAGGTCTTGCCCCCTTTCTGGGCCTTAGCCTTCATTTTCATTTGTGAAGTCAGTGTGATCAGATGATGTATGAAATTTCAGAATCGTATAGAAGATAACCTACCTATTACCTTAAACAGTCCGCGTGGGAGGAGAAGGTAGCAATAGTTGACATGAGGTTGTGAGGGATCAAAATGAGGCTCTCAGTGCTACCCTACACCCCTCAACTTTGTCACACTGAATCTGACCTGGAAGGTACATGTAGGGACAGTTTCTTATAGAGAACACACTATCTAATAAGTGGAGACATGGCATGTCCTCAAAACATCTCCCTTATTGCCCATTCCGGGCTTTAACATCTGCCCCTTCCAATTACTTTGACTCTTCAAAGGTTTTCAGTGCACCTTAAATGGTTTGTACATCTTCTGCCCCCTTGGATACAACAGCATGCACGGACATTTGCTTTTCTGATTAATCCCTTTGCTACCACCCTCAACTCAAAGCATTACAGGTAGGAAAATGGACTCAAAGATATACAGGTTAATAAAGAGAAGAGGGGAAGAGCCAGGAGCACAAGCAGTGTCCACGGGCTGCTGGTCCCAGCCAGTGAGTGAGCAAACATAATGGACCTGGGCATCGAGGTTGGGAGAATGCTGAAAAAGAAATGCCAAAGTCAATTTAAGCCATGTTATCCTATTTCCTGGGATTGGTGCTGGGTACTGAACAGAGGCTCTCAGCCAACCCCTACCTCACCCAGAGCACAGTATAGAGTATAGACACTGTCTTGTACACACTCAGAATACAATAGTGATGTGTTTCTGTGTGCAGCCCTGGACTGTGTGAAGTGGCTTCTCCTGGACATGTCAACTCTCCTTGCTTGTGGCAGGACATCAAAATTGGTTAGACTGAAAGTGTCTAATGAGCTACTCCCATATGCCAAGCACCATTTTCAGCAACAGGGACTCAGCAGTGAACAAGACTGGCAAGATCTCCACCTTCAAGGGTCTTATATTGTAGTGGGGAAGACAGGAAAAAATAGGCACATAAAGAAAAGCAAATCAATACATTTCAGTTGCTGATGAAGAATGTAATGTGGATAAGAAATAACTGTATGGGTATTTGTGTTGCTTTACCCTGCATGATTGGGAAAGTCTCTCTGAGGGATAGATATTTGAGTTCATTCATTCAACAGAGATAATTAAGTACCTTCTATGCTGCAGGCCCTTTTCTAGGCAGAAAGGATTCATTAATGAATAAACCAAACAGCCCCATACACAGGGAGCCTTCTTTCAGCAAGAAGAGACAAAGAAAAAATATTTAAAGTGTAATTTTTTATAATAGGTATAATAAACTTCATATTTAATGATGTATAACTGATATATAGGAACAGTAATCATTCTTATTGCTTTATTGAGCAATGCACATCATATATAAGTGTAGTTGTAACCCAAATACTAAGAGGGTGGAGCCACTTAAAGATTTGGATAAAGCACGTCCCAAGAAGAACATAGTATCCTCAAGGCACAAGTAACATCCTATGTGATGGAACACTTGGGCCAGGAAGGCATGGATGGGAAGATAAGAGGTTGAAGAGAGAGCCAGGAGCCAGATCATCAAGCCTTGATTTCATCCAAGTTTCAAGGGAAAAGCCTGGGAAAGTTTTAAGGAGATGGCAGAAGGAATTGGAGAGATCTGATTTAAGGTTTAGAAGATTCTCTCTGGCAGTTGGTGGAGCATCAACTTAGGGACAAGAAGGGCAGCAGGGAGATGGGTGAGGGAGCTGCTACAGAGGTCTAGAAGAGAGAGGGTGGTGACTTGAACTAGGGCTGTAGCAGGAGAAACAGTGATACATAGATGATACATATATATATATATATATATATATATATATATATAGGCAAATAATAGATGATAGATGAGTAAATAGATAATAGATAGATAGAAATAGGTAGATAGATAGATGTAGACCTGACAGCGTAACTACTGAATTGGTTGTAGGATGGGAAGGAAAAGGAGAAATTAAGGTTTTCCCCTAGGTTTGGCCTGAAGAGTTGGGTGAATGTTGGGGCCATTTATAGAGAGAAGGAAGACTTTGTGGGTAGTGAAGAGGGAATTTGGAGGACACAAGTAAATAAATAGCTCAGTGTGAGCCTTTTACAGTTTGACTTTATACAGTATGCAAATGAGGATGTGAAGTAAATAGATATGAGACTACAGTTTTGAGGAGTGGGGCTGGTATTTGGAAGGCATCAGTGGTGAAATGGCATTTAAGCTAGGGGGAGGATGAGAGCAACTAAAGAAAGTGTATACATAGAGAAGAGGTTTGAAGACTGAGTTCTGGGACATTTTCAGATTTGGAGGTCTAATAGATGATGGAGTCCCAGCAAAGGAGGGCAAGAAAGAGTGGATTTTGACAGAGGAAGAAAACTGAGTGTAGCATAGTAAAATTCTAGATTCATGGGAAATGTTGCTGAAAAGGTAAGATGACAGAGAATTAAACATTTTCCTTGAGAAGGGATACAGTTACCGATTACCTTTAAAGAGTGTGGTGGAGGACCAAAACCAACTGGAGTGGGGTGAGGAGAAAAAATAGAAATTAGGGAGTGTCAACAGATAGCAAAGACAGCTTTTTTTTTTTTTTTTTTTTAAGAATTTTGCTTAGAAGTAGAGAAAAGTGCTATTTGTTGGATCTCTAGTTGGAGTCAAGAGTTAAAATAAATTATAGAACAATATGTAATCATAAAGAGGTGAGAAAAGTGTGGATGAATGCTGTGGCTTCCTTTTTCTCTCTAGTAGTAGTCCCTAGTTGGTCTGCAATGAACTTTTGCAAGAACGAGAGTGGGGAAGACTCTTCATGAGGCTGATAGGCTGTAGCTCTCATGGTTTGTCTTTAACCCACAGGTAGTGAGCAAGCCATTTGCTCTCAGGGAAAATGTGGCTTTCCTGACAGCCCCAGATGATCCATCTGTCTCTGCAGCCTATAGGTGGGGCATATTGGAAACAAAGCATTTAATAAAATGTAATAGTTGTGACTCGGGACATAGAAGAGGCAGATTGAAAGAGAAGTGGAGACCAACACGCCATCTTTCCACATAAATGGCTTCAGAAAGCTGCAGACTCAGAGTGGATTTGTTCGTGCAATCCTCACCTCTCCTACTAGTTAACAAGTCGGCAAGCCAGCAGTGAGGGTTTGGTTTGTACCCTCAGTTATTAACCATTAGTATTTGTGTCATGTGCTTTTGCCTGGGAAGGTGTCCAGAGATTGGAGAGTAGTGTTCAGTCTTCAGTGGGTAGAAATTGATCAACTGTAGAAAGAAATAAGTTATCATGGATATGTACATCAGCTGTGTCTTGTTTCTAATGGCTCGGCTCGCGACTAGCTGAAACAATGAAAGGAAAAAGTGTGGGTAATTTTCAAGTAATTGATGTATTTGGGGCTCATGTAGGCCACAATCATGATAGTCACCTAATTTGATCCTTATCTCAGAGCCAAATCTTCTCACAGAGTTGTTGACATGGGATGTATTTTGATCTTGATTTTGGAGTCTTGAATTCTTTTTCCAAATGTTCATTCTTCTCCCTCTGTATGTCCCTCAGCACTAGATTTTATCATCAGGCACAGAACATCTTTCTGAGTAATCTCTTCCATACTCCAGGTGGCGAATTAAAAACTATGTGAGGATGACTGGAAGTAAAACATTTAGGCAGTACTTGCTGCTCTGGAGACATTCAAAGAACAATAAACACTTCTAATGTAGTATTTACTGACCTCCAGAAGTGATAGCTGATAGTGAAGACAGAGTGCCCGGGCGCTCCAGGCTATTGCTCCATGTTGAGATTGGCTGAGAGGTCTTCGGAAGTCCTCAGATTGAATGGTAGTTTCACTTTAAACCAAGCAAAAATTGTCATCAAAATTCATGACTCTCTCCTACCCCAGCTTTCCTCCAACTAATTGGGCTCTCTTTCTGGTCTTGAATGCATCGAGTTTTTATTTGTCTCAGTGCCTTTGCACTTTCTGCTCTCTCTACTACAAAGCCCTTCCCAGGGCCCTACACATAGTTGGTTAGCACATTCTCGTCTTTCTGGCATCAACTTAAATACCGTCCCCATAAGGAGATAGTCTTTGAACAATCAATTTAAAGTAATCCATCCATGCCTTTTATTTTCTTTATGACACTTATCTCAACTTTGTTCATTTTGTGTCTCTTCCATCAAACAAAAAGCTCCTCTAAAGCAGAAATTTTCATCCTTCCTGCTCTATGCTGAGTGCCCAGCCCAATGGCAGACACAGCTGACACTCAGTAAATATTTGTTAAACAAAATGGCAAGTGTGAGTGCTGTAGAGTATTATATGTTTAAATATTAATTTCAAAGATTTTTAAGACTTTTGTTGACTTCTTCAACACATTCTCCTCCCATGCTATAAGCATCTGGGGGCTCTTTTCCACCTCTTCCCTCTCCCATCACAATGTCTGACACATAACAGATACTAAACAAATATTTGTGGTATCCATGAGTGATTCCAATTAATTTGTATTGGGTATTTCAATATAGTCATAAGTACATCTCCATGTCCAAGTATATCTCCATGCCCAAGTATATCTCCATGTCCGAGTACATCCCCATGTCCAAATACATCTCCATGTCGACATACGTGTCCATGTACAAGTACATTCAAGTACATCCCCATGTCCCACATACACCTGAGGATACCGAAGCTTAGTGTGGTGGGCAGAATAATGCCCCTTCCTCATAGATGTCTATACCCTAGTCCCTGGGACCTGTGCACATTGCCTTGTATGGAAAAGGGATTTTGCAGATGTGACTCAGGTAAGGATCCTGAAATGGGGGGATTATCCTGGATTGTACTGTTAGGTACAATATAATCACAAGAGTCCCCGCATGAGGGAAGCAGGAAGGTCAGAACCTGAGAAGAGGCAGAGGTCAGAGTGATGCAGTTGCTCCCTGGAGGACACAAGTGAAAGAATGTGAACAACCCCTAGAAGTCAGAAAAGGCAAAGAAATGAATTCCCCCTTAGAGATTCCAGAAGGAATGAAATCTTAGTGACATTTTGATTTTAGCCCACTGAAATCCATTTTGGACTTCTGACCTTCAGAGCTGTAGATAATACATTTGTGGCATTTTAAGCACTAATTTTGTGGTAATTTGTCACATAAGCAACAGGAAACTCATACACTTAGTTCCTCACATTGAACCCTACCCACTCTAGCTCTCTCGCCATCCCTGTTCCCTATTAGCTAGATTCCCCAATTCACACACCTGGAATCTCCAGAGAGGGAGTTCTAGAGTGTGGGACTCTCCCACCAATCTGTGTGGATCATGAGTAGGTAGATCAGAGATCCATGGAAGGCCATCAAGACCATCAGTGGTTGGAGTAGGTCATGAACGTGATAGGGCCTTGAGGGTGAGTAGTTACTCCTCTCCCAATTTGGTAAAGAATAAACTTCTTCCAGGAAAATCACAGATATTGTCATAGACTGCAAGAAGAAAAAAAGCAAAAAAAAAAAAAAAAAAAAACAAAGGAAGGAAAGAAGAAGGAAAGGACAGAGAGAATTATGACTGTGTTGTGTCTTTCTCTGATACACACTCCTGGAGCTTCTCCAAGCCTGTACTTGCCTTCTATGCCATATGCAAATGCTGTAGAATGATTTCTTTCAGTGCTAACTTTATTTAATTCTATCATCATGGTTTTTACTTTAGGAAATTTTGGTTCCAATAGTTTAAGAATAACATGGAACTGACCTTAGAAATTGTCTAATCCATATTGTGACTGGCATTATGAAAAAGCTATTATTGGTGAACCATGGACTGCCCTGTGGGAGTTGGGAGGAGAAGGAGGGCAGAGGGGCAGAGTGGAAGAGGAGAAGCATTCACAGATGAATTCAAGGTCTTTGCATAAATGTGAGGTTTCTTACCACTATAATTTTTTTTAAATAAAATTAAAGAAGCAAGCAAGCAAACAAAACAAAGAGAAGATGGTTCCTGAGGACAGGTGTTTTATCTAAGACATGTTGGATGCCCAGGATCTCCTTATTAGGACTTAGGATATTAGGCCACAGAAACCAAAGATTTGTGAGGGAGAAGTTGGGGACCAGTGTCAGGTAGTCAGGCCTTTGCTGGTAGGAAGATGGGGCTTACATACCCTATAGCCACACAGGCTTGGCACTGGTCCTGGGTGAGGAGAGAGTGGGGCCCAGGTATAGGCCAGCCAGGCTTCCCCAGATGATGCGTCTGTACTTTCCAGTCTCACTCTGCTCCCCTCACCACCTCTCCACACAAGCCTCAGTTCTCAGTCACTAAGCAGCATTGAGAGGCAATTACAGGGTGCAGAACTCTGCCCGGGCTCCTGGAAGAAAAGAATATGTGCCATACTGTGCTAATGCAGGCTCTTCTATCATGCCTCTAATAAATGGGTTCAATAAATAAATGGGTTCTATAAATGGGTCCACAAGCGTATGTTTGATTCACTATACTTCATGTTGTCATTTTCGCTGGCTCCTTGGGGAGAAGTCTCATGCTTCAGGGAAAGGCACGATTCACCAGAAGCCCCACCTCAAACTTCCTTTTTGTTTTTGTTTTTAAAAATGAACTTTTGTGTTCTCACAGCTCCATCCAGCAGGGAATCCTAAGGAAGCTCTGAGGAGAGCCACAGCACCCCCTTTCTCCTGCCTGGGTGTCTCCTGTCCCTCCACACCAGCTCCGTCCGCTCCTTTAGTTTGGAATATTTCCTTAACAGACCTGTAGGCTCTGCCTCCCTACTCCCTCCTAAGCCCTCATCCGCAATCCACATGTCTGACCTCTCCAAATAGATTACTAGTTCAGTTGGTTGCTGGACATCTTAGCTCTCTTGCTATCCATATGATATTGGACAAGGAGAAAGACAGGGTTTTTCTTTGTTTTTTGTTTAAGGAGAAAAGTGATATAAATGCCCCTAGTCCTTGTCAAGTTTTATGTTATTATCCTTTCCTCAAAATAGAGCACACATGCACACACCACATACACATACCACATACATCTGCACACATGTGCACATAAACACCCACACACGTACACACCACATACACATACACACACGACACACCACAAATACATGTGCACACATATACAGAAAGTTTTTGCTGTAGATATGTCATTCCTTTAGCAACTATTTTACACTTTTTGGAGTCTTCTCTCACTATTAGAAAGAGCTTTGCGGTTTACTTTTAGAGAAAAAATCCACCTCCTCCTTTAGCATCTAGTCATCAGTTGGGAGACAGTTTTTTTTTTTCCCAATTA
Source organism: Homo sapiens (assembly GCF_000001405.40). Classification (NCBI taxonomy): domain Eukaryota; kingdom Metazoa; phylum Chordata; class Mammalia; order Primates; family Hominidae; genus Homo; species Homo sapiens. The sequence goes on from NC_000002.12 coordinate 114,561,671, forward strand.
GAAGGAAAAAAATTCCAAGTCTATTTTAGAAAAGAAATAAATATTCTCTTTCTCAAAATGCATTTTCAGCCAAAATATGCCATCTGGGGGATGTTAGAAATTTCAGTCAGTTTATCTTTATAAACTATTGAAGCTGCACCTGTTATAAATGGCCTCTGACACAAAACATTCTAGAAACTTCGAAAACAACATTGAACATGACTTCTTGACTACAGATTTAAACTTATTTCATCATACGTGCTTCACAGACAGTGAGCTATAAGGTGTTTAATTAGGGCACAGCAGTCATTTAATTTAGCAGTTAAATAACTTCAACTAAGATAACGGGTTAATTTTGAGGAGAGTGATAAACTCCACTCCCTAGGTCTTGTTTTATTGGACTATGGGGCTTAGCCCTTAGCACTGGATTGGCTTGGGAATTTATTTACTGATGAATTCAACCAATATTACAGGTACTTTTTTAAAGGCAGTCAGCTGAAAGTTGGAGGAAATTCTGTTTCAGATTCTAAGAAAATAAACAAATCTGCTCACCTTCCACTCTATGCTACCTTTTCTATTTTGAGAGAATAAACCTCTAAATCTTTAGACTTTTATGAAGAACACTTACCATCATTTGAATGTCTCTCTTCATTTCCAGTCTATTCTGAAAGTATCTTCCTCCCACCACTAGGCTTTAGTAAATATTTATAACCCAATCATCTCAAGTCCATTGGACTCCATCACTGGTATGTTTCAATTATTTAAAGTCAGAATAGCATCTTCTGGGCAGCTAATGACGTCTCAATAGATATACATTATCGAAACATATTGTTATTTACTTAATAAATCAAGCCTGTTGGGGAAAGTAGATGCAATTCAAGTACCAGAAATGAGGAATAATGATGGCATAGATCATTTCTGAATCACTCTAGCCCATTTTACAGCCTGTAAAGTACACTGAATTCCATAAAAGTGACAAATGGTACAACATTGTAATAAATAGCTATAGTTTGTGCATTGTGAATTGGAGCTTAGATTCATATTGAAACTCTCTGTCAAAAAAGAAGAAGATGAATTAAGTATTAAAATCATACTCTGTAAAAGGAATTATATATTTTCCATTTATCTTGATTTATTATATGACATCATGTGCTTAAGTATATGTAACCTTTCCAAATTGAGTTGATTTAATGTGAAGGGAAAAAATGTTAAAAAAGAAAATTTGGTGTATGTTTAGAATTTTCTTTATTTTCCTGCTATATTTTTATAAAACTTTTAACTGTTCCATGGAAGCTTAATCATATTACATTTTTTAAGTTGAATTCCCAGAAATATGCAATAACATCTACAGGGCTTATTAAGAACAAATGTGCTAAATCACAATTAATATGACTGTTTTTCATTCAAATTTCAACGTTTGCATATTAAGAACACATAAAACTGGCTGGGCGCAGTGGCTCACGCCTGTAATCCCAGTACTTTGGGAGGCCAAGGCGGGCGGATCATAAGGTCAAGAGATGGAGACCATCCTGGCCAACATGGTGAAACCCCATCTTTACTAAAAACACAAAAATTAGCTGGACATGGTGGCCGGCACCTGTAGTCCTAGCTACTTGGAAGGCTGAGACAAGAGAATCACTTGAACCTGGGAGGCAGAGGTTGCAGTGCACTGAGATGGTGCCACTGCACTCCAGCCTGGTGACAGAGCAAGACTCCATCTCAAAAAAAAAAAAAAAATTCCAAAACTTTCAGTGAAATATTAGCTGTATGAAGAGAGTGACTACGCTGAAGGGTGAATCTAGACTTCCAAAATGACAGACCGAGGAATGGGCATGCCTTGAATTTTTCCAAATTTCCTGGAATTTAAGTGATACATCTACCGTTCTATTTATCATTGAAAAATAATTCTTAGAGGAATAAGCACATGTAAACAATATTCTATTGACATCTGCTATTTACTCCCTCAAGTTAACAATACAGCCACAAAATGATTAAGATGAACAAACCCAACTCTTACTGCATTGCTTCCTAAGGAGATGAAGTGGTTTTTCTTAGGCATGTGCATTGGCTCCATTTTTTTTAAAGTTGGTTTGCAGCACACTTCAGGAGGCCAGAAGCTAAACAAGCAAGTGTGAGCGTTAGCCTGTAGGAAAGACAAAGGCACAAAGTGAGGAAAAGAAATGTGTCTTGGTCACCCTCACCTTTCCCGGTGTCCAACTGACATTACACCATCTCTCTGTCCTCTGCTCATCTGCCTCTTGCATGTTGCATTCTTGAAGCTTTCCTCTGTCATTTTGCTAATTTCTGGGATGGAGCTCGCAGCTCACCCGCTGGGATAGCAGGAGAATGGGTGTGAAGTATCAAGGGCTGGGTTGGCCACAATGTCCTCCTTCGCCTTCCAGCAATCGATTCCTTTGTGCTCCATTTTTTCCAAGTGTATCAAATGGATCCAACGCTGTCCTGTGCGGAGTAAAAGAGGTATTCTAATGATATTCTAATGGTATTCAAATGATATTCTAATGGGAGGTGTAATTTTATGAATACTTCTTGCATCTCATCTCCACAATTAAAGCATAAATTTTTTGGTTTGAATTCTGTCAACAGAGACTATTCACTAGGCCCCTTCTCTACACAAGGCTAAGTTGCTATATATGTCCTATTTTATATAATTATCTAACCAAGCAGAAACGTAAATATATATCTTCATTTAGCTTATGAAGGAAATAATTTCCAAGCTCACTAAGACCATAGCAGAGGAGAAAGACTCAAGACCATGGTTGTCTGATGGCAAAGCACCTACTCTTCCCCCTATTTCATATTGATTCTCATTAACAACTAAGGTTATTTAGAAACTATATATTCCATGATATAAGGTACCCGGCAGATCACAGGCCTTCATAAAAGTTTTAAGTTAATAAATCAACCACTGAGGGAAAAGGTTTTTTCTCTGAAGTCCTGGGTTTTCCACTGGTACCAAGGTATTAATAGTATCTTATACATAGTAGACATAAGGGAAAGGAAAATAGAGGAGAAAAGGAAAAAAAATTGGGGAGAAATGAGGTAGATGAGTGAAGGAAGATGAATGAAAAGAAAGACAAAAGGCAAAGCAGGGAAGGAGAAAGAATATCTCAGGAACGATTTCTGTTCCAACCATTGATAAACTGGTACAAGGAGTCTACTGCTCTCAGGCTGTGGTGCACTGTTTGTTTTGTTTTTGAAATTATAATGAAAGAAGAGAGAGATTTAAAGATCTTCACTCACCAGAAAAGTTTTGTCTCCTTTCATCCATTAATAATTTTATTTAATTTCAATCACTTAGAGTGGTGTGGACTAAGGATGCTCTTATTGCCTTCAGGGAACACTGCAGAGGCCTGGAATGAGTTATATAAGCAATATACAAGCAAATGTCAAGTGTAAGCCTCCTCTAAGCTCAGTGGGGCCTCGTGATGGAGGTTATAGCAAGAATGGCTGTGAGCCTCTGGTTCAAGAAGGGCTAATCCTGGCTGTGTTCCTGTTCTGCCAAGACAGGAACTCTGTCACTATCTCCTTAGCCTTAGTGGACTAGAGCATTAGCTCTTGTATTTTCTTTTGCACAACAGCTGCTGGGCTTCTCTTTTAGGCCTCAAAATGCCTGGTATAGTGCGTGACATGAAATAAGTCCTCAGCAAATACCTATTGGATTGGATTGATTAAGTGGGAAAGAATGGAGTAATGGCTTTGTCTTACCACATTGCCCACCTGATCTGTTCTTTCTTTTTGTCCCAAGCACTTAAAGCATTCTTATTGAGTCATGGTGACAAGCTACTCTCTGGATAAGGCTTCTTGAAATGGATTTTAGTCAAGCTTAGCACCAACGGCCATTAGGAAGCCAACAACACAACACATTTCTCCTCTGTACTTCGCAGATTATTTAGTGAACTCAGCCATGCTTCCCTTGGAGGAGTGAAAACAGACATGGAAACTGGGGTGAGGCACACAGCGCAGCATACTTCTGTCCTGGTGTGGACCTCTGCATGAAGAAATGTGATGTGCTAAATAAATTCCTATCCCCAGGAGGCTTGTCTTCTTATCTCAGACCTGCCACCTATAAACTACGTGACTTCCTGGTGTTATAATTTACTCTTCTTGTGCCACAGATTCCTTGTATTTAAAGTGGATATTTGCTAAGTGTCTGCTATGGGTCAGGTGCAGTGCTAGGCACACATGGACACTTAACTCATAGAATAGATTCATTCATTCATTCATTCATTCATTCAATGTATATTATTAAGTACCTCCCTCTGTGTTCCAGACACTATTCTGGTTACTAGAAATACTGCAATGAACAAAACAGATAAAAATAAAATATCTTTACCCTTATGGGGGTGGATGTCTATAATTCAGACATATGAGAAATGGACTCTGTGTTCAGTAGCCATGAATACTAAAGAGAAAGAGAAAGCAGGCGAGGGAGACACAATTTTCAGGGGTTCAGGTTCAATTATCAGAAGCGTTTTTTCCTTATCTCTTGTCTTTAGATAGCCTGCTTGGGAGACAATTCACTGAGCAAACCATGCCACTGTCAGGAAGAACATTCTGGGCTCAGGGACCAGCAAGAGCAAAGGAGCTCAGCCATATTAACGACTGTGCCAGGATATTTTACTACACAGTGAAAAACACTGTTTAAAATAATGAGGCATTATCACAGAAAAAGAAATGATCACATTTAAAAAAATAAATTTGTATGTAGAAATAATTTTATATGTGCAAGAAAGTTGCAAAGAGAGTGCAGAGAGTTCTCACATGCTCCTCGACATCTTCTTTTCATTAGCATTTTGCGTTATCATGGTGTATTTGTCAAAACGGAGAAACCAACTAAATTATGATCCTGCTGGTTTCTCCACTAATGTCCTTTTTCTGTTCCAAGATCTAATCCATAATACAAAATTATATTCAGGAAAGTCCATTTTAAACTTAGGTGTTAAGTTTTATTTTTAATTCTGATTGAATGCTATTTCCGTGTACCAGGTAGCAGTTGAAAGGCAGTTGGCAAATACTTGTTAGGCCACCAAGTCTCCCTTAAGTGAGTCACACACAGCAGGAAGAACACCAGGCAGGTGGTCTAGAGTCCTGGGTCTTCATCCCAGCTCTTCCTCAACCAAACATGTGTCCTTGGACAAGTTTTCCTCTGGAGCTGAGGCAGATTTCTTCTGTACAAAATTTAGAAATTTAGGTTAGATTTGTAAGATCCCTCCAACCTCTTAAATTCTGCCCTGGCATTATCATGGCATCAGTATCTTCATACTCAGAAGCATCAAAAATTATGTGACTGATTTCCCTAATGCCAAACGTTGGTTCATTACAGCACCAGAGTGGGCTGAGAGAGCTTCAGCACAACCCTTGCCTCTGACTACCATACTCCACTCCAGGCTCCCTCCTTCCTATCTCCCATCCTCCAACAGCTGGCTCCAGACAGTAGGTGTTAACGGCTGAGATCACTAAATGAATAGGAACTATTCTTAGTATTTTACTTGTATTTCTTATAAACACCCTTATGAGGCAGGTACAATTTTTTTGGCTTATCTATCTTGGTAGACAGAATAATAGCCCCCTAAAGATGACCTTGTTGAAATCCTCTGAAGCTGTGAGTATGCTGTCTTACAAATCTCACATCTGCAAAGGGATTTTGCAGATGTGATCAAAGTAAGGATCTTTTTTCCTTAGTTGGAGATTAGAATATGGGGAGATTATCCTGGGGAGATAGGGAGTTATTCTGGTGGGACTGATATAATCATAAGGGTTGTTTTAAGAGGGAGGCAAGAAGTCAGAGAGCAGAGGAGAGGCTACATTGCTGATTTTGAAGATGAAGCAAGGGGCCATAAGCCAAGGAACGTATGAGGCATCTAGAAGCTGGAAAAGGTAAGGAAACAGATTCTTTCCTAGAGTCACCAGCCTGTGACATAATAAAATTACATTTTTTAAAGCTACTACATTTGTAGTAGCATATTGGCATATTGGTTTCTACATTAGTAGTAATTTGTTACAACCTCAATAAGAAATCAATATGCCCATGAAAGTTAAAAGAATGTGTCCAGAGCTGGAAGGCATTATCCTCAGCAAACTAAGGTGGTAACAGAAAACCAAACACTGCATGTTTTCCCTCAGAATGGGCACTGAACAATGAGAACTCACGGACACAGGAACGGGAACAACACACACTGGGGCCTGTGGGAGGTCGGGGACTGGAGGAAGGGAGAACATCAGGAAAAATAGCTAATGCATGCTGGGCTTAATACTTAAGTGATGGGTTGATCGGTGCAGCAAACCACTATGACAGATGCTTACCTATGTAACAACCTGTACATCCTGCACATGTACCCTGGAACTTAAAATTAAAAAAAAAGAGAGAGAGAGATACTGTAAAAAAAAAAAAAAAAAAGTGTCCAAAATTGGGTAACTGGTAAGTGGTTCAGTCTAGATTTGAGCATAGGCCATACTGCTTCACTAATGTAATGAAAAGGCCTTCCCCATAGTTTTTTTTCTTTTATTGATACACACTATTTTATATATTTATGGGGGCACATGTGAGTGTTGCATGCATAGAATGTATGATGATCAAGTCAGGGTATTTGGGGTATCTACCACTATGAATATTTATCATTTCTATATGTTGGTATAAAGTTCTAACTTCTGGTTACTTTGAAATAATCAAAATACGATTGCTGAGTATAGTCACTCGTGAATGGAACTGGAGGTCATTATGTTAAGTAAAATAAGCCAGGTCTATAGGCTTTTTGTGATGCTTGAACGAAGTACACAGAGAATGCAATGCTTAGAACACACAAATATCATTGAGTTCTGTAGTTACCACAACAATTTGTGGCTCTAGTCCACGATTTCTCAATCCTGTCACACTCACCCACCCATCCCATTATCGCCTCAATCCCGAGCCTCTGTCCTCGGATCTGACCTGTTTGACTTTTGTAAGACGACAATCAGAATTACAGTGTCAAAAATGACCTCATGCAATTGTACAGCAACTTATGCTATTCACCTTGCATAAGTAAACGCGATCATATTTAGTTTTGAGTCAAACATCCTTGGGAATGAGTTAAAGAATGATTCGCCTTTGCTGTAGGTGTACCTATCCCTCTCTCTTGCTCTTTCTGTTCATTTGCCTTCTGCATTCTACCTATTCTTACATGTTTGTCTCTGTATCACCAAATCTATTTTGGTCCCTTCACTTCAGCCTATTTCTTGTTTTTGTAGCAGTCCAGAACAAAGCTACAATTTATTATTTAATACATAAATAGAATTTATGTGTTTTTAATATAAAGATCAGAACTGTAGGAGGTTTTATATTTTCCTTAAAACTCCAGGCAAACAAGATTTTTGACTAAATTGCTTTTTTATATATGATTCTGCTTTTTCTCATCTTATATGTTAATAGTCTTGGGTATGAAAAGTACTTAAATTTAGAGACATGGTAATTTAGAGACAGAGGCCTGGTTTAGATATGCTGACTTTTTAACACTGAGAAAGTCTCTTAGAGTCCCTGAAGATGAAAGTGTAGATTTTAGTTACTAATTCACCTCTTGTGCTTGTTATCCATATGAGGAGCTGGTAAGGGACAAATCCTGCAAGAGTGAGAAAAAGCACCCATTTTTCTATTTGCTCTACATTTGGGCTTAAATTGCTGCTAAGTCATTCCCCGAGGGAAATCTGGAGTGAGTGCATGTTACAAATAAACACTCCCAACTTTGCTTTCCACAGCCTCAGCATTTTCAGCTCCATAAGAGACGCTCTGAACAAGCAAATGTGCTTTTAACTTAGCTCTAAAATATGTCCTGATAGGTGGGAGCTATTTTTAAGACAACAGCAAGGACCCGGCAGACTGATATTTGCTGGAACCCAAATTGCCTCACATCTTCTCTGACTTTGCCCAACAATGAGGCCCATCAGGTTATTATTGTCCCCTGAGAAAATATATTTTGCATTGCACTGTATGTTACTGCTCCCCTTAAAGATGTTGGACATTTTTAAGCTGCGTAATGAGGAAGAGAAAGTGGGTGGCAGGATAAAGAAGTGGGAAAATGGTAAAGAGTCCTGCATGAGAAACAAAGAAATCTTTGCAAAGTGAAACAAGAGCAAAAGAGTAAGATAATTTAAACTAGAGTGATAAATCACACTCACACACACACACACGTGTGCACGCCTATCAACCTATCAGCCATCTGTTAATCAATTATTTATTAATTATCTATGTAGCCATCTATGTCAACTGTCAATCAATGTATCATTTATTTATCTGTCAATCTATCATCTACCATGTAGGAGGCAGGAGGGAGAATGCTATATTTGAACTAAAGCAGAATAAAATAGTAAAACTAGTCTCTGTGTTTCTTTTGTCAAAGAGGGTGAATATGCCATGAAAGTCTAATGGGGGATGAGAAGTTTGTCTCCTTCTCTTCTTTCCTCTCAGCAGCACCCCCTTTCCCACTTCAAGTCCTCCTCAAGGCCAGGTGCTATATATTGAAAACAGATTTATAAAAACTATTCAAAATATTCCTGAGAGACCAGGTTTGTCACCAAAGACTTCCCAAATGATAACAAATCATTTTGTTATCATATTCTGAAAAGCAGAAAATGTGGACTGGAAGCCAGGAAACCTGGAGTGTAGTCTGGGTACTATATCTCACTCAAAGATAAATGGGAAAGGGCAGTTCTCCAACTTCAATATCACCGTGGGGCCCCCAAATCCAACCAACATATCTAGAAGCTGTCTGACTAGATGTTCGAATATAACTCAAAACAATCCAACATAAGATCCCTTAGGTAGGAGCTTTGGCAATGTGTCCACAGTAGGCAGAATGATGGGGGAACTTGAAATTATGATATGAAAAGTAGATGAAGGTGGCCGGGCATGGTGGCTCACGCCTGTAATCCCAGCATGTTGGGAGGCCAAGGCAGGTGGATCACGAGGTCAGGAGATCGAGACCATCCTGGCTAATATGGTGAAACCCCGTCTCTACTAAAAAAATACAAAAAAAAAAAATTAGCCGGGCGTGGTGGCGGGCGCCTGTAGTCCCAGCTACTCAGAAGGCTGAGGCAGGAGAATGACATGAACCCGGGAGGCGGAGCTTGCAGTGAGCAGAGCTTGCACCACTGCACTCCAGCCTGGGTGACAGAGTGAGACTCTGTCTCAAATAAAAAAAAAAAAAAAAAAAAAAAAGAAAAGTAGATGAAGGAATTAGAGATGTTTATCCTGGAATAGAAAAAATTCATGGATGGACTATATAAACTCTGTGAAAGGCTGTCATGCACAGGAGGAATTTGATTTGTCCTATTCTATTGTAAACTGGTGGTTCTGACACGGCTTCCAGGGACTCATCTACTGGATCATAGTTAGACCCATAAGTAAAAATGACTGCTAGCTGTATACTGCTTAAATAAGAACAGTTTGGGGTGATACTTGATTTTGTTTGGATTCGTGCCCCCACCCAAATCTCATGTTGAAGTGTAATCTCCAGTGCTGGAGACGGGGCGTACTGGGAGGTGATGGGATCATGGAGGTGGTGTCTAATGGGTTAGCACCATCCTCCTAGTGCTGTTCTCCTGAGAGTGAGTGAATGAGTGAGTTATCGTGAGATCTGGCTGTTTAAAAGTGTGGTGCCTCCTCACTCTCTCTTCCTCCTGCTCCTGCCGTGTGAAGTGCTGGCTTCCCTTTTGCCTTCCACCATGATTGTAAGTTTCCTGAGGCCTTCCCAGAAGCCAAGCAGATGCTGTCATGCTTCCTGGACAGCCTGTGGAACCGTGAGCCAATTAAACCTCTTTTTATAAATCACCCAGTCTTGCATATTTCTTTATATCAATGAGAGAACAGACTAATACCTTTAACATACGTGTAATGCCATCCCCTTTCTCTCATGATATGCCACTTCATAGAGGGCAGACGCCACCGCTAAAACTTATGGAGGGAACCAGAAAGTGGTAGGGTACGTCTCTACAGAAAAATGTGCTTTCTATTGATGAAAATTCTGACAATTAATTGAATTGCTGTGGTAGGTAGTAAACTCTGTCACTTAAGGTATTCAAGCAGAGGTTTGAATGAACTCTCTGTCACTCAAGGTATTCAAGCAGAGGTTATTAATTAATATAATACAATATTTATACTACATATATTGTGTATATATTCTGTATATGTAGTATATAATATTTATACTACATATATTGTGTATATATTGTATATATATAGTATATAATACAATATTTATACTATATATTGTGTACATATTGTGTACATGTAGTATATAATATTTATACTACATATATTGTGTATATATTATGTATATGTAGTATATAATACAATATTTATACCACATATATTGTGTATATGTAGTACATATATAATATATACAGTATACATATTGTATTATATTAATGAATAACCACTACCATCCAAATCTGTCTCTCACATACACAAACATGTATGCACAAGGAAGAAAATAAACATCATGAAAGGGCAGGGATCCTTTCTCATTATAAAAATAACATCATCTTTTGTAAACAATTTAACTTTCAAAAGATAATACAGTTGGAAGTAACCAAATTGTGACTCTATAGTTAAATACTTTGAATTGATCTAATAATATAGAATGTAAGGTGTTACCTAGATGAGTATGAAAACAGAATGAAGCAAACTCACCAAAACATGAAATAGGCCCCCCAAAATAATACAACTTGTTTATGGGAAAGAAAACACATTGTGAAGTAGACGAAAAGATCGTATCTATCATTCTATAATAATCACCAAAATTAATTCCTCAAAATCTCAGAGTTGGTAGTGGCATGAAGATAAATAAATGCCTATTAGAACATGAAAGGTTCAGAAATATGAGAAACATGATCAGAAGAGGCAGATCTCTCCACCCTATTCAATCTGTCCAGCTCCCGTGACATGTGCTAAATGAGAACTATTGTGTGAGCTTTCAGGGAAAGGAGTAAACCTACAGCGAATGATAAAGTCTCCAGATATTTGAGGTTAATGAAGGGGAAGGAGGAGGAAAAACAACATTTGTGGAGAGGCTACATGTGCCAGCCATCGTGATAGGCTTTTAAAATGTGATATTTCTCAAAACTGGTCCATGGGGATGACACTGTTATCTCTTCTTACAGATGAAGAAACTGAAGTTGAGTGGTCATGCTGAGATTCATATCACAGCTTTTAGAAGCAAAGCCTGTGCTCTTTCTACTCTACCGTTCTCGAGAATTTAAAGTCGTGTAGAAAACACAGGCGTGGAACCTATAATATTTAATGGACAAACAAGTGTATTTTACTTTTTCATTTAGTCTTTGTTTGTTTGTTTATTTCTGAGACAAGGTCTTGCTGTGTTGTCCGAGACTAGAGTGCAATGGTGTGATCATAGCCCATCGCAGACTTCACCTCCTGGGTCTAATGATCCTCCCACCTCAGCCTTTCAAGTAGCTAGGACTACAGGCACATGCCACCATGCCCAGCTAATGTTTCCAGTTTTTGTAGAGACAGCATCTTGCTTATGTTGTCCAGGCTGGTCTTGAAATCCTGACCACAAGCAATATTCCCACCTTGGCTTTCCAAAACATTGTGACTACAGGCAAGAGCCATCACACCTGGTTATATTTGTGTTTCAGAAATTAAGAAGGTTTGAGAAAAAATAAATAAATGAAAGATCTTCATTTGGTCAAGTCCAAATGAAGTCATAACTTACAGGCATCTTGGAGTGTGAACAAAGAGAAAGCACCGATAGTTCCACACAATCAAAAGGGGATTTGGAAAGATGATCCTGAAAAAAACACCTGGGCAGGGTTCTTTATAGGTCACTTTGCAGAACAAGAGAAGTACAAGGAAAAGAGAAAGATATGGTCCCAAGCTATCAAACGACGAAGCAGAAGATAATCCAAAAGCAGGTTTCTCAGCTCAGGAAAGCAAGAACATGAACAATCTCTTCAAAGGGAAATAGATCTTGGGCCAGCTCACCTAGTTCCTGAGTTCTAGAGAGTTTTAAGGGCTGCTAGGAAAGCTGTCTTGATCTTGTTAGGGCACTACCCTGGGGAGAAAACACTCACATATGGAAGAAATGCAATAGCTAATTCTTGACTAACTGATTGATAGGATGGGAACAATGAAGGGAATGAGGGTGAGAGGCAACTAATATTAACTAAAAAGTAATTGCTGTCTTTTCATCAGGAGTCTGCTGCAAAGGTTGCCTTACTGCAAACAAAGTGGCTGAAAACAGATAATCCTTTGCTAGGACATCTCCACTTTTCCAAAGGATGGAGGCATCAAAGAATGATTACTACATTTGATCGTGGTGAAAGAGGAATCATGACTAATACCAAGAGAGGCTCAAGCAGATAAACTGCTGAAAGAAGTATGGCATTTTATTCCAAGTGGATCAGAAATATCCTGTTTTATGCAATGATGGGGAAGAAAATGAAAGACTCAGGACATTTCTGGGCAAGGGACAGTGGTGTCAGTGAGAAGGGGCAGACCATTTTACCACTTTATATTACCCGCCTCATGTGACTAGACCCAGTCTGCAAGCATCAGCACTGTGATCCAATAATCTGTTACAAAATTCATAGGTTTTTCCCCCTCCCATTCAAAGTTCCCCTGGGACCCCCTATGGAAAGAAATAGGAAGAGGAGAGCAAAATCTCCCTCTCTAGCAGGGTCAGCATCCCCGCCCTGCACAGCGTCAGCGCCGCTTGCCCACCACTCTCCTAAAGACCCGTCATTATGAAAGGAAAAGAGAAGCTAATGGCTGACTTGATGGAAACATTCTTGGCACTGTGGACAGGCCTGCTTGGAGGCCCTGTCTGCTGAGCCTTGGGAATGTGAAGAGGAAAGGTAGCTGGTTAACATTGTTTAACACAGAATTAAGTCATAATCGCACCTGAGGCATATTCCAGATCTTTGTCCCCCCAGCACCTGTCACATTTGATTTAAAGATTTCTCAAAGTGAAAAATGGTCTCCATAAGATAAAGACAACTCCCCAATAGCAACCGCAACACAAAACTGCTACTTACCACGATTTTCCAGGGAAACAAGGAAAAGGGCTAGATTATACAGCAAGCATTATGTGAGAGAATGCAACTCTTTTTCTTATACATTTGAAAACATTGGAGGGAGGCAGTGAAAGTTTCTCCAAGGGCTTTACTGGGAGAACATGAAGTGCTGGGAGACCCAGGATTTCCATGAGTCCATTGGGCAGGGCACAGCGAGGCAGGCTGCCTATGTGGGTTATACCTGCTCTTAAGTAAGGCAATGGAAGGTAACAGAAGCCAAGAAACAGGATCCATAAACTGAATAGTTCTCACTCCTCAAAGCCCAACTAAATAGCAACAGCAGGGAGACGAAGGGGCTTGAAGAATAAAGATGAAAAATGCATGCTCCATTTATTAGTATTTGAGTTTTCAAAAGTTGTATGAAAAGATGGGAAGCAATGGGACATTTGATGACGCTGAAAATGGAAAGTGGGGATTTCATCGGTAAGAGTGATTGGTGTGCAATTTAGGAGAGAAAACCGAAGAAGAAGGAAGCAAAAGAAAAAAATAAAGACAGGAGACAAAAGAATAGCTGGCATTAGAGGGGAAGGCTGGGCTGGCATGTCACAGGATCATGTTCCCTCTATGTTGAGATGTGGGTGGCTCAGTCTCTGGGGATTATATTCATAACCTATATAGAAAAATAAGGCAAAGCCAATCAGAAAGGGCATTAACCTCTGGAAGACGAGGATGTGGATGAACTATATGCTATTATTGTTTGGAAGTAATGCATTTGCACTTCAACTTTAATGACAGAGGATGACAAAAATTAGAAAGGTAGTTTCTAGTCTTTTCCACTATAGTAAAGGACTGATTTCTTATAGGGAAGTAATTTCTCCTGACACATTATATTAGGTAAAGATTGCATCTTATATGAATTAATACATTTAAAAACAAAGAGAACTATTCACCTTTTTTTGATTTGTTTCAGTTTAAGGGGCTAAAATCTGTTAATCCGCTACTATGTGCTGTCTCCTTTGGTTATTTTATTTGCTCTTAACCACAAATTTGGGGTGGTAGTCTTCTGAGATTGGTGGAAAACTCATGATTTTCTCAAAGTCATGGTGTTCATACAAACACTCAGAAATCACCCTCATTGGGTTCAGGGAAAGGTAGGCAATGTTTCATTCCAAGCCTGGCCACTGGCTGATTATCATCCCCACCCCCTCCACTTATTCTGCCTCCAGACAATAAACTTAAAGGTGAAGGCAGGGAAAGGGGAATGAAGAGTTCAGGAATATCAGAGATGCGTGATGAAATAATAACAGATGAACTGGTGATTATGATATCAAAAGCACCACTACAATTGTTCAGGATGTAAAAGAACTAGGATAAAGTAAAACTTCTTTATCAACAAACTGCTGGTTACCCCCAATGTAGAGTTATAAAAAGGAAGAGATGGCAGTGCCAAGATGGTGGTGGTGGGATATCAAAGTCCTAACAGTAAATAAATGGCACATTCAGTGAGCTTAAATTAAGAGAGTTATACTGAATGGACTGTTTACAAACATGTGGGAAGAGTTAGAGGATAATTAAACATCCAGGGACCAGTAATAGTGAGAAATCCAATTTTTCAAGGGGCAGAGATATTAAAAAGTGATTATCACATTTGTTTGTGTCACTACCTGTGGTCTTGAAGAGGGAAGAGGAGGGAATCGTAGTACTGGAATTTAATGAGAGCTATTGCACCAGGAGAAAGGTGGCTGGAAAGGAGCTACATTCTTAGAGGGACACAGTGAAAATCTGTGCCTGGCAAGAAGGAAGCCTGGGGATGGGGTGAACAAATACCCCTATCTCTCTGTCTCTCTTTGATCCAACCTTGTGGTTTTCTTACAGGGGGACAAGGGACTTTGAGTAAACAGCCCACAGAAATCACCCTCTTTGGGTACAGGACAAGGTAGGGAAGAGTGGAGAAAAAGTCTGGAGTGGCAAGCAAACAAACAAACAAACAAAAACTAGCCCACAGGACTGTGACTGAGCTAATTAGCACACCACTCCTTCCAGGCCACCCTACAGAAGCCAACACTAAACAAAAACACAGCATCTGCTCTGCAAGACAGACTCAAGATATGTTCTTTGGCATGTCTTTCCAACAAAATTACTGCCTCTGGGTCATCCTGTGTAGAAATTCTGGAGCTACCAATGAATTGGGAAGAGTGTTTTTTTTTTGTTTGTTTTTTGTTTTTTCATAGAAGGATGAGTAAAGAAATTTCACTTGTTTTAGACAAGAGGAAGGCAAGAAGACATAGTTAATGGGTACGGCATGGTAAAAGGAGTACAGAAATTAAGAAGAGCAGGCAAATAGATGTGATGGAGAAAAATATATGGTATGTTATCAAGAGGAAAGAGACAGAGAACAACGAATCATGATTTGGGAATAAAGTTGGCAGGACTGCAGAATGGTGATATGTATGTTTTCTCCCTCATCTGTGCAGCAGCTTTCAACACTGAATTAGGAAAAAATGTGGATGGTGATGTATATTACTTTATTTACACCTCACAGCAACCTTGCGAGATAGGTTATCCCCATCTTATAAATAGGGAAGTTAAGTAATTTGTCAAAGAGCACACACTTGGTGATAGGGAAAGCCAGGAACCAACCTCGCTTTTGTTTGTTTGTTTGTTTGCGAGTTCCCTTGGCCAACAGGCCTTCCTGTAGAGAACATTGGGAGGACATATAAATTGAAAGCAGAGTGGAGGTGGCCAGTATCACATACCTGGGACCCACCGGACTCATGGGCTTCCAATAAGAGTAACCAGAGGGGTCCATAGAAAGTCAGAGCTGCTGCCATTGATGACGAGGCCGGAGGGGCTCTTTTTTGCCATACTTTCTTAAAGCACCATGGCCCTATGCTCTTAAACATGTCTCTATTTTTTTTTAAAGTAACAGGCATGACAGCAACTGTATTGGTTTACTAGAGTTGCTGTAAACCACACTCTGGGTGGCTTATACAACAGAAATTTGTTCTCTCACGGTTCTGGAGGCTGCAAGTTTGAGATCAAGGTGTTAGCCAGGTTGGTTTCTTCTGAGGGCTGTGAGAAGGAGCCTGTTCCATGCCTGTTCCCTAGCTGCTGGTGGTTTGCTGGCAATCTTTGGAAGAAGCATCACCCTGATCTCTTGCCTTTATTATCACGTGACATTCTTCCTGTAAGCCTCCCTCTGTTCCCAAATGTCCCCCTTATGAGGACACTAGTCATGTTGGATTAAGACCTAACTTAATGACCTCATTTTAACTAATTGTATTAGTAACAACTCTAATTCCAGGTGAAATTACATTCTAAGATACTGCAGGTTGAACTTCAAAATATAAATTTTGGGGGGATATAATTCAACCTATAATCGCAACCTATAAATTTGTCAACAAGTTCTAAGATAAATTGGCAAAAAACATAATAGATCTACGGTAGATAACACAAAGGAAAACCATGGACATTTAGAACACTGCTAAGAACTATGATAACCAGTATCTGTACAAATGTAATTGGCTCTGGTGTTGAAGAATCAATTATACAAATGTATGTAATGCACAAGTATATTTTATCATAACCTCTGAGAATAAAATGAAATACCATATGTGACAGCACTTTACAAGCTGTGTGGTATTCAAATTAAGGCATTAGTTTTATTGCTATTACCATGTCTTTATTTATATAGGTAGCTTATTTTTATTGTTACATTGGGCATTTCACATTTTTATGGTCCATTTCTTTTTATTTCAGTTACATCCTAGATTAATATCATCTATGTCTATTTCTTCTTAGGAAACTGAGTTTCTCCATTCCTTTTTTTCCTTGATCATTAGAAAACATCTTTCCCAACTCCCATTTAAATGCAAAATGGAGTCCTGGCACTGGGTTGCTCAAATAGCCAACTCCATCTAAACTTAGCTCACGACAGAAGGAACTTAAACTGTCAGCAAAATCAGCACACTGACTGCAAACCAGTTCTCATAGAGATCAATTATAAATTGAGACGGTGTTCTGGATGCTTTAGTCAGATTTGGCTGGTACCCCAATGATCTCTGACTCTATTTCTTCAGATACTAGTATGAATTTTCATCTTCAATTATAACCTGCTACCAGGATGGCATATACCTGATCCTCTTCTATTTATTATTTATTTTGCAGAAAATAAAAATAGGAAAAAAACCCTATGTTTGTACTTTTACATTTAACTCAAAACTCAAATATTAGTGAATTCCTTTGATTTATGTGAAAATTAAAGTTGGATCTAACATAGGCATCCAGCCTCCTTTTTTTGACCTTTCGTCATACTCTCTTTGCTACTCTCAAATTTGGTCACCCCACACTGGAGACTGGTAATTTGCAAGTTAATTCATTCATCCAGAATTTATTGAGCACCCATCATTTATCTTGTACTCAGCTAGCAGCTATAGAGGAGATAAGGCTAGTTGTAAGTATGGGATTTGGTGAATTTAATGTTATTGTTTTGATTAATGACTGGGCCCACTGGTTTCCGATATGCAGTACTTTGCAATTTTGAGGGGCACTGACTTGACATATGCGCTGGGCTTTGAGTGGGAGCCCTTTATAAGTGAGGGAGTGGAGTGAACTGCTCAGCGCCCACAGCTCAGTGGCTTGATTGTTTTCCACTTGCCACAGCCTTGGCTCTCCTCAATTTTTAATTTTCTGAATTTTATAGGGGGAAATAATGTACTGTAATGGTAATCATGGAAAGCCTTAAAGTGTGTCTCCAAAAATACTGAAACTCTCTTCTCCTGTATAAAATAAAAAAGGTTTGCAATCTAGATTCAGAGTTTAGAAATAAGTACCTTGACATTTTCAGCCCCTAAGAGAACCTTTTACCCCCTAAACTTTCTGTAGAATTTATAACCTATAACCAACAAAACACCAAGTTATTTCTCAAGCAGCTATGCAGAAGCTCTTCTATTTGGAAAGGGAATTAACAAAATCAGTATAAGACTTGGGAGCTTTCTGCAAGGAGTTTATAAATCTCGTCGGAGAGAAGGGACAGGTTTCTTTTTATAGCATCAACACAAGTCAGGAAAGCAGGAAATGATAAGCCATGTTATTTGTTCCGGAGTCTTTAAACCCAGACTCTACATCTAATCACCATCATAAAAATGCCTTTTTTTTACCTCCAGCTTTATAGAGAGGAGCCTCAGAGTGGGCCATCCTGGAGGAGTGCACCTATCAGTTGAGAAATAGGGATGACAAGGATGTAGGCAGCTGTTGCATTCTAAAATGTGAATTTGTTTTGTGAAAGCCTTTCATTAACAAAATTATGTGCCGAGAAAGGGCAATGACAAAACTGACCAAATTCCTTCCCTTGTAGGTCAGATAACATTTAAGAGCTTTACATGTCTAACAAACTTGAGGTTGCTCAAACTGGACAAAGGAGGAGATTAAAACACTTTCTGTGATGACATAAAGCAGTGCTACGGGTAAGGCCTCAGTCTCCTGCCAGCAGAAGCAAATGTATTTTCTCCATTTAAAAGAGTTGCCTTCTTAACCCACACTTCCCCAGGCATTCGGTCCTGATAGGGCTTGGTTTGACTGATTAATTGTAATTCTGCTCCATACAAGGTAGACAGTGATGAATTGATACATTAAAGATGTGATTAATGGTTACTTTCTATTCAGTGTAATTATCAGGTGATAGTTTCAATGAAAAATGCTGGAAAATGAAACTTTTCACTCTAGATAACTATCCACCCTGTCTGGAAAGAAAAATGGTTCTCTATTTTCAACATTTTACTCTAGATCAAGGCCAAGAGAGACAGAGAGACACAGCACACTGGCTTTGTGAGTTTTATAGAATGAGACGGATTTGGAATAATGCCTGTCTTTAAAGAAATTCTTAGAGAGGAAATCTCTGGATAATAAAACTTTAAATTTTATCTTAATCCTGGATTACTTTGCCAGCTCCTGCCTGGTCTTTCTGGTCAATTCTGGCATTTAATCTATCCTGAAGATGGTTTTGGATTAATTTCCCTAAAGCACCGCATTAATCATATCACATCTGTTTTTTTTTTTTTTTTCGGAGACCTCCAACAACTTCCCACTTAAATTATAGGAAGAACAAAACATCAACATGACCCTCAAGACCCTTTGATAAAAGGCAAACACTCTTTGTCAAACTGTTTCAATTCCTGTGCGCTGTTCTTTCGAGGCTGTCAGCTCACTGCCATCTCAGCTGGCCATGATCCCCCGAGGCCATGCTTTGCTTTGCCTCTTTTTCTACATGTTTTTAGCTGGTAGAAAAAATTGTGGACGACTTAAAAAGGGACCAAAAGATTACCAGGTTTCCTTAATGGAGAAATTTTGTGCTGTTTAGAATGCATCCTCTGATTCATCTGATTCTGTAGGGTTTTGGCATTTCATTGTTTTGGAACTATTATATAATTTTGTGGAGTTAGAAGTTAACTTGCAGAAAATTCATAGAAATATAAAACATCATTTTCTTTTTTTCTTCTCTTTTTTTTTTTTTTTTTTTTTTTTTTTGAGACAGTCTCTCTCTGTCGCCCAGGCTGGATGGAGTGCAGTGGCGCATCTTGGCTCACTGCAAGCTCCACCTCCTGGGTTCACGCCATTCTCCTGCCTCAGCCTCCCGAGTAGCTGGGACTACAGGTGCCCACCACCACGCCTGGCTAACTTTTTGTATTTTTAGTAGAGATGGAGTGTCACCGTGTTAGCCAGGATGGTCTCGACCTCCTGACCTGGTGATCAGCCCACCTCGGCCTCCCAAAGTGCTGAGATTACAGGCATGAGCCACCACGCCCAGCCAAAATATAAAACATTATTTTCTATATACATGCAGATAGGTTCTGTCCAATGGAGATTCAATGGACTTTTCTAACCTGCTGTGGAAGAAGCCAGGTTTTTCTGTGTTAAGCAAATTCATGTTGGCATTTTTGTTGGCCTTTTATAGTTACTCTTTGGGATCTCCTTTGAACTTAGGACATGTTAATTCCCATCTTCCTAACTAATGAGCTAAATAAAATCTTTGACATGTACATTTTATATCTGTGTAAACTCATACTCATGATTTACTTATTTTAAAAATGATCCTTTAATATAATCTACCCAATTTAAAACTTAGACAAGTTTTTAGAGCAGTTTTAGGTTTACAGAAAAACTGAATGGGGCACACAGGGAGTATGCATATATCTGCCACATCCTTTCCCAGTTTTCCTTGTTAACAACATACTGTACCACACCAGAGAGGTACACTTATTCCAATTGATGAACCTGTATTGACACATCATTATCGTCCAAACTACATAGTGTACTTCAGGTTTCACTCTTGGTATTGTACATTCTATGGGTTTGGATAAATATATAGTGACATGTATCCACCCTTCTGTCTCCTACAGAATAGTTTCACTGTCTTAAAAATCCTCTGCACTCTGCCTATTTATCCCTCCTTACCCTCAACCCCTGACAACCACTGATCTTTTTATGTCTCCATAGTTTTGCCTTTTCCAGAATGTCATATAGTTGGAATCATATGATTGGCTTCTTTCACTTAGAAATATGCATTTCAGTTTCCTCCATGTCCTTTCATGTATTGATAGCTCATTTCTTTACAGTGCTGAATAATATTCCATTGTCTAGGTGCGCCATAATTTATTCTTTCACCTACTGAAGGATATGTTGGTTGCTTCCAAGTTTGGGAAATTATGAATAAAGCTGCTATAAATATCAGTGTGCAGGTTTTTGAACAGATATATGTTTTGAACTCATTTTGTAAATGCCAAGGAACTGGATGGCTGAATCATATGGTAAGAGTATGTTTAATTTTATAAGAAACTGTCAAACTGTCTTTCAAAGTGGCTGTGCCATTCTGTATTACCATCACCAATGGACAATAACTCCTGTTGTTCAACATCTTCACCAGAATTTGGTGTTGTCAGTGATCTGGATTTTGGCCATTCTAGTGCGTATGTAGTAGTATCTCATTTTGCTTTTATTTGTATTTCGTTGATGACGTATGATGTAGAGCCTGTTTTCATATGCTTATTTGCCATCTGGATGTCTCCTTTGATGAAGTGTCTATTCAGATCTCATGCCTATTTTTTTAATCAGGTTGTTCATTTTCTTACTGGTGGACTTTGATATCTAACCAATTAAAAATTTGAACTCAACTTGGCTGTACATTAGAATCATCTATAGAGCTTTCAAATAATACAGGTTTGACTTGTGTACGTCCTTATTACTCCAGTAAGTCACATATCACTGGAGGGATGGTGATGGCATACATAGCTAAGTCCCATGCAGAGAACTTCTGATTTGTTGGGGCCTGGGAATCTGCATTTCTAACAAGTTCCCAGGTAACAGGAAGCACTTTGAGAACACTTGCTCTGCTTAGTATGGATTACTAGTAGTACAGTTTGTTAGGCTCTCTTCTTTCTCTATATTAGCCTGTTTTAAATTTAATTGTATGTCCCATATTTTGTTTACAATTAGCTATCTAAGTATATGTGCTTTTGTAATCATAGCTTGGAATTGCGTTTTCTAGGTTAGTTTTCAAAATAATGCTTATATTCTGCTAAGTCCCTGCCTTGTATTTTTGTTAACAGACTGACAGAAATTGGTGCCTGGCCTATGGCCTAGTGGTCTTCAGAAATGTTCTTCCAAAAGCTTTTTAACTAAGAAGACAAAACACCATTTCTACTCAACTTAGCTATTATCCTTTTAAATAAAACTTTTTGTAAAAATATCCCAACACAAACAATAAGATTAAACAAAGGATCATAGATTTCTCCCTAGGATTATACTCTCTATTAAGCACAGAATTGAATATATGTATAATCAGATTTTAAAATGAGTTTGGGTCTGCCTAACCTAAAATGTAGATGAGTCTGCCTCTTTCTAAAATTTTAAATCATAGTTTCTTGCAGAGAAATCTGGGGATGTTTAACTGAAACTTTGACTTTTTAAATTTGAATTTTCTGAGGTTGCAGTTGATAATATTTAAGGTGAATTTATTTGGCTATAACTGAATCTTTGCACTAAAAGAGAGAAATACCTGCTATTTTAAATAAATCCAAAACAACATATCTGCAAAGCTGAATAAAGTCTATTTTCTCTCATATAAGATAACGTATTTCAAAGATGATGAGATACGGAGTAACCTCTTGATAGCATTTGGTTCCCTCCTCATTGATGTTCCACTGTTATGAATCCTTGCTTAATATAATGCTCATTCTCCTTCTAGGCTTTTCTTTTATCTCACTATAAAATATTTTTGAAGCAAAAGTCCTTCTGGAGTGAACACACACATGTATGTTAAGACTTTAAGGTATTTACCTGTTAAGAAATATTTTTTTAAAAAAGAACAAACAGAAAGCAAAAAGAGAATCACGAAAGATTCAAATGAATATTTCTTATTCATTTCGAAAAGCATGAAATTTCTATCTTAGCATTCATAGATAGTATTCTGAGCATGCATTTTACCCTTTTGCGTGTTACTTTAATTTTGCTTTGAGACAAAAGCTGAAAAAGAAGTATAGTATATGTGTGCATGTATGTGTAGTTTCTTCTCTTTTTGTAGTTAGTGAAAAGAATTTACAGATAATGGTATATCAGTTAAAACCAAGCTTAAATGTAGTGATCACTGAGGGGCAAATTTCTGCTTTGCTTAGAGTTGTTAACAACCTCAGGTCACCTGTTACATACCTTTATTTATTTGTTTATTTATTTATTATTATTATACTTTAAGTTTTAGGGTACATGTGCACAATGTGCAGGTTAGTTACATATGTATACATGTGCCATGTTGGTGTGCTGCACCCATTAACTCGTCATTTAGCATTAGGTATATCTCCTAATGCTATCCCTCCCCCCTCCCCCCACCCCACAACAGGCCCCAGAGTGTGATGTTCCCCTTCCTGTGTCCATGTGTTCTCATTTTTCATTTCCCACCTATGAGTGAGAACCTGCAGTGTTTGGTTATTTGCCTTTTTTTAAATTGAGAAATCAATTATGAATATTTACAACACTAGGCAGCCAATGACTCAGATAAACTGCATTTGAACTTGTCGTGGCCTGACAAATGCAGGCTTTAGACTTTATTGTTAGATATTAAGAATGGTTCACTTTTATGAGTGAAAAATGTGAACCATCAGGAAACCAGAAATAGTCTAGGCTAGAACCTTAGCACCACCATGAAGACTTGAACATTATGTGAAGGGGAAAGTTTGGATCTCAAAGTGGATTGAGCTAGAAGCCCATCAGGATCCAGGTTCAGCATCTGGGCTGTGAAGAAAAATTATCAGACTTAGAACATTAACTGAGAAAGCTTGTGTTAGCTTTTTATTTTTGCATAACAAATTACCACACACTTAACTTTAAAACAATGAGCGTTTATTAGTTCATAGTGCCGCAGGTTAGAATTTTATCACTGCATAGCTGGGTTCTCTCTTCAGCGTATCATGAGGCTGGAATGAGAATATCATATGACCTACACTCTCCTTTGGAGACTCTAGGGAAGAGACCGCTTCCAAGCTCTTTCAGATTGTTGACAAAATCTAGTTTCTTGTGGTTGTAGGACTGAGGTTGCCAGTTCCTTACTGACTCTCAGCTTCTAGAGACTGCCTGCATTCTATGCCATGTGCCTCCAGCGCATTTCCCTCTCGTTGACTCTCTCATTCTTCTACTCGCTTTGATTGACTTATCTGTGATTGCCAGATTCAGACTTGAAGGGCTCATGTGATTAGTCCAGCTCCACCCAGATAGTCTCTCATTTTTAAGGTCAACTGACTTGGACTTTTAATATCATTTGCAAATCCCTTTCCAGCGACACCTAGATAAGTTTAATTGAATAGTTGGGAGTAGGCAGTACATCAGGGGCCAGGGACTCTGGAGCCATCTTTGAATTCTGCCTATCACTGAGCTACAAGTTCAAACTCAACTGGGCAGCAAGCTGTCGAGCTGGCAGACACCCAGATCAAGGAAGCATTGCTGCAGAGTGGACATCCGATGGACAGTGGAATCTTCAATATTTCAACAGCTACACAGTGTCCCATTAGAAATGATGGTGGCGATTACCACCAGAATTGGATTTTCTCTCAACTTGATGTCCCTAGAAGGTCTGAATATTTTTGGACGGAGTATGACACCAACATGTGGGAGCAATTTCAGGTTGGTAAAGCCTCAAGAAGGGATAGAGAGTTTCCTGACAAAAGGACACATAGAAAATTGAGAATGATGTGACTTTGTATTACAAATACACAGAGGAATTCATAACATATAAACATTGTTTTATGGCCCAGTATGATGGCTCACACCTGTAATCCCAGCCCTTTGGGAAGCTGAGGTGAGCAGATTGCTTGGGCTCAGGAGTTCGAGACGAGCCTGGGCAATGTGGTGAAACTCCATCTCTATAATAAATACAAAATTAATTAGCTGGGTATCATGGTGAGCACCTGTAGTCCCAGCTACTTAGTAGGCTGAGATGGAGGATCACTTGAGCCTGGGGAGGTCGAGGCTCCAGTGAGCTGGGATCACACCACTGCATTCCAGCCTGGGTAACAGAGAAAGACCCTGTCTCAAAAACAAGCAAGCAAGCGAACAACAACAACAAAATACCCACATTGTTTTATTAACTTGCTATAAGCTCTTGCCCCACATCAACCCTTGATATTTGCCATATAATATGGGAGACATATGATTAACAGCAGAGTGGGGTTCAGCATCCCTGCGTCACGTCTTACTCACTGCATGATGTGGGCAAATTAATCCTAAACCTTAGTTTTCTTTTCTATAAATTGGGAAATAAACTAGTACCAGCACATAAATTATGAATAGTAAATAAAATACAACATGTAAAAGGCTTACAGCAGACTTTAGTTAAGTACTTGATAAATAGTCACTATGTTGAGATTAAGTTGTCTGGTTCCTAAAGTTACCAAGCCATTGCTATGGTTTGTATACGGTTTGTTTGGCCCCACTGAGTCTCAGGTTGAAACTGGATTCCCAGTGTTGGAGGTGGGGCCTGGTGAGAGGTGTTTGGGTCATGGGATGGATCCTTCATGAATGGCTTGGAGTTCTCTTCAAGGTAATCAGTGAGTTCTTGCTCTCTTAGTTCCCATGAGAGTTCCCAAAGAACTGATTGTTAAAAAGAGCTTGGCATCTGCCCCATCTCTCTTTCTTCTCTCTTGCCATGTGATCTCCACGTACTGGCTCCCCTTTGCCTTCCACCATGAGCAGAAGGAGACTGAAGCCTTCTCCAGAAGCAGATGCTGGTAACCATGCTTCTTGTATGGCCTGCAAAACCATAAGTCAAACCTCTTTTCTTTATAAATTATACAGCCTAGGCCGGGTGCAGTGGCTTATGCCTGTAATCCCAGCACTTTGGGAGGCCGAGGCGGGCAGATCACGAGGTCAGGAGTTCGAGCCCAGCCTAGCCAACATGGAGAAACCCCATCTCTACTAAAAATACAAAAAAAAAATTAGCCGGGCATGGTGGCGCGTGCCTGTAATCCCAGCTACTTGGGAGGCTGAGGCAGGAAAATCGCTTGAACCCAGGAGGCGGAGGTTGCAGTGGGCCAAGATCGCGCCATTGCACTCCAGCCTGGGCAATAGGAGTGAAACTCCATCTCAAAAAAAAAAAAAAAAAAAATACACACACACGCATGCACACACACACAGACACACACAGCCTCAGTTATTCCTTTATAGCAACACAAAATGGACTAAGGTAGCCATGTAGGTCTTTGATCATTTTTAAACTGATTTTTTTTTTCATAGAATAGGATCTACGTTGAGTCATTCATTTACTGTCCATTTGTTCATTCAGTTATCTAAGTCATATTTATCAAGCTGCAGACAAAGCAACTGAGATGCCAATTTAAATGAGAAACAAATCCCTGGAGCTTGTGGTGCTTACAGCCTAGAGATTCTAAAGGGGATCATTCGCACTCTCACTCCACTTCATTCTCACTGAGATTCCAAGAAAAACTTAAAGGGAACATAATGGCAGTTTTAAAATAGAGCAATAAAGCAATTTTCTCACATTCCCTCAAACACTGTAAACTCTTGCAATTTAGAGACATAATTTTACACATTTTTGATTCTACCTAAAGTTAGCATGGTGGGAGCACATAGTACATTGATTTAAACTAAAAATACTAGAAACAGGTATTGTCTTTAGGAGAATGAGCAATAATATTTGTGAGGACCAGTGTCTAACGATTAGGCATCATCTTAAACAAGAAACATATTGATTTATTACATGAAGGTTACAGGCCTAACACAAAAGTCAAAATGAAGCAACATTTACTGCAATCTATGCTTTTAAGTAATGCCTCTCAACAAGGTCCCAGGTGTTTTAGAAGCTGCGCTATTTTAGCACAAAATAATATACTGCTGACTTTTCCTCATTGCTTTTGAAACAATATGGATCTACTTTTGTCTCATTTACAGAACAAATAAAAAAGCCCTAGATTCAGTGAGTCAGTAAATAAGACCCATTTTTAAGAGAAAGCTGAGATCCTCAGAAAATAATTGGAGAGAATGACAGGGGTTTATATACAAAGGCGTAACTCATGACATCATTAGTATTTGTAGAAAATTACAACTTAACTACATCACTAGCAAAAAAGAAGTGGTTAAGTAAATTACCAAATAGTCACAAAAGTGCCATATTAGGCAACATTTACGAATGTTCATGAAGAAATTTTATTGGCATAAGGAGAGGCTTAGGGCAACGTTAAATGAAAATAAAAGCAGACTTTGGTCCTATAGCATTGCAGGATGACTATAGTTAACAATAATGTATTATATAATTTCAAATAGCTAGAAAGAAGATATTGAATATTCCCAACACAAATAAATGATAAATATTTGAGGTGGTGAGTATGCTACTTACCCTGATCTGGTCACTATATGTTATATGTATGACATCACTATGTATACCATAAATATGTACAATGTCATTTAAAAAATTTAAAAAGAGTTGAAAATACACATAATATTTGCAATTATCATAATCATATTTAATTTTTTTCCTATATAAAGGGGCTACTGGTTATTCCATTTCAGCCGAACATCACTTTAGAAAAACAGTTGGTGCAGTGGTTGAGTGCAAATTGAAGGATGTAGTAAAGGTCTCCATAACCATCTGGCTGAGAACAGAAATGATTTAGTTACGGATTTTTGTTGTATGTTACTGATTGGCACTCAGCATCCAACCCCATCTCTTTCAGTTGCGTTCTATAGAAGTAGGAAACCTAAAACTCATGTATCTGATTCTCTCTGGAAACTATGGCACTAGATGTTAGATTCTACAAGTTAGATATACAATTATGCTGTCCGGTAGAAAGGCAAAGGTTTTTTTGGGGGGGGGGGTAGGGGACGTACTGTTTATAAAAACTGGAAATAAACAAGATTTTATTGTAGCACCTTACTAGTGAGCATCCTGTACATTTTGTGAGTGTTGAAGGCAGGGGAAGTTTCTTGAACCGGGCATTCCACCTCAGTCTAAAACCAAGTGATGGCTTGAAGCAAAGGAAAAAGCCCCTCAAGTAGGTCAGTTTTATAAAGTTCTGGGAGTAATTCCTGGAGGCCCAGCCTGTGGAGTGTTCCTCCTGTACCCCAGTGAGGCTGTAGGCACTTGCTGCTCGGTGTTAACCCCCTTCCTGCTGAAAATATCACGTGGTTTCTCTTTTCTATCCTAAACCAAATGAAGACAAACAGATATAACGTGAATTCTGCTATTACAGGGAATATTGTACACCTTTCTGTAATGTCATTGATTATGTTTTTGTCATGCATGTGTTTTGAGCTCCTTTTCCATAAAAAAGTGCTCATGGTAAGCATATACAAGAATACACATTAGTGGATACGAGGAGTGAGTAGAAAGCATGCTTGAGGGTGGTTATAAGTGTGTCTGCTACAGACTCTAAAAACCATTTCAAATATTTTCTTAAGTCAGCACTAACTATACATACCAAGATAATACATTGAATAATTATCTTCTGGTTACCAAATTTTTCATTCAAAAATTAATAAAGGAGAAATAGGTATATATTCTGGAACATTATTACCTTAACCAGATACTGTCTCTTTCTCTTTTCCCAAAACTATGTATTGTTCTCTAGTTACCCTGGCCAAGATGAGAAAAACTCCAACCTCTTGGTGGTTGCAGAGGCCCTCCATGCCTAAATATTAATAGTTGGAAATACAGTCTTTGTTTTTACTCAAGCCAGCAAGCATTTATCAAGTATATCTACTGGGGATAAAATAGATGCTGGAGATCTAATGATGATTCAGATATGACCCTAATTCTTTAAAAAAAACTTTCACTATCTTGTGAAAGACACATACCATGTAGTAGTGTACTGGTAAATGTTTATCAACCAGTTTTCTAAGAAAAAAATGTATGTGCATATATATGTGCATATGTTTATTATAAATATTATTATAAATAATTGCAGCACAATTTACAAACACAAATAAAAATAGAATCCTCCTTATTGTAAGTTTTATATAATGAATTGCTCCTCAAAGTATGCTTTCATCAATTTTACTGAAATCTTATATCTGTAGCCAACTGATGGTTGCAATTGAGGAATGAGTGTAGTCTAAAAATGAATGATAGTTTATGTTTTTGTGTATGTTAACACTATGCTAACAAGTAAGATGAAAGGGAAGCAATTAATATGAATCAGATCTTCACTCATTCATCAATGACATGAGCAATTGCTTTTCTTAATTGGGTAATAATTTCTAAATACTGCAAAGCATTTTCTGGATTTTTTGTGTTATTCACAATGTAACAGCTAAAGGCACAATACATGTTAAGTTTAATGTGAAGTGTTAACATTTTCTCAATCACTTTCTTAAGTCTATACTAACAATATAACAGTAATCAAGTTCTGCTTTGTAATGTTTGTCAGTTTCAATGGTATAAATACTCCCATCATGAACAATTGCAAGCTGCTAATGGAATGATACTGAATAAGGAGTTGGAAAGAGAGGCATAGTACAGTACCTCATTATTTTAGTATTCCCACCACACAAATAAAATAGAAACAAGTAACTTCAAAGGCATATATAATAGTAAAATGTAATAAGCTAATTAGGGAGTAAGGAGTTTTGAGCATTTATTAAATTTATCTTTAATACAATTTAACTGTAATTTCATAGAGTTTACTTTTAAATAATGGCTGTATTTAACAATTAGCTTTTGAAATTCACTAAAATGTAAGGAGTGGCTCTTGTGAGCCTATAAGGGCCATCTCTAGCACAACACTGGATATGTGATTGGTGATAAAGGTGGAATGAAGCATGAGGAAAAAATAGTCGTCTGTATTTGGGGAAAATCAGGAAATAAATCCTGAATAGGAGCCAGCCAGGCAACACTGGGAGGTGTAGTGAGGGGACATCCCATGCAGAGCAGGGAGAAGGGTTAGTGGCAGAAGGTATCACAGCCCACTTAAAACCTTCCCTCATCTCTTAGCATTCGAATGGGGTAAGGTCTGCAGAAGCCAGATTGACAATGAACCTTCTAGGTCAAACTGAGGTGTGAGACTTTCATCTTGTTTGAGACTGACAGCCTTTCAGAAGTTTTAAAAGCAAGATAATGCATTTGCATTTTGAAGCAATGACTCTAGCAGTAGTATGGAGCACAGACAGTAGTAAAGCAAAGTCATGGGTGGGAAGGCCAGACTGGTCCATCAACGCTGATGTTGGTCCTCTTATTTGTCTTTGGTCAGCATCTTTGTGCTTTCTCTTTACTGTCTTTTTCTAATTTGATCCTCCCATTAGCAAAGGTCAAATCCCAAATAAGTGAGAGTTTTTCCACCCAGCCATCCAGATTTAGAAGGCTCAGAATGTACCCAACCTCTTCCTATTTTTTTTTTTTTTTTTTGAGATGGAGTCTTGCTCTGTCACCCAGGCTGGAGAGCAGTGGTGCAATCTTGGCTCACTGCAACCTCTGCCTTCCTGGTTCAAGTGATTCTCCTGCCTTAGCCTCCTGAGTACCTGGGATTACAGGTGTGTGCCAACACGTCTGGCTAATTTTTGTATTTTTAGTAGAGACAGGGTTTCACCATGTTGGTCAGGCTGGTCTCGAACTCCTGACCTCATGATCTGCCCACCTTGGCCTCCCAAAGTGCTACAGGGGTGAGCCACTGCACCTGGCCAACCTCTTCCTATTCTATGTTGACTTTATACAGCTACATCCAAAGTGAAGTTGTTAACCAAAACATCATTACAGTTACAAATTTAGGAAGAAAAATCAAATAATATTTGATGTTATTAGGAAAAGTGATACTAGAGACTTGAAACATACTACCCTCAATGACAATAGTGATGCATGCAGACAGTGTTGAGAAACTTAGAGAGTCGATGGAAAATTTAGTTTATTTTAATTTAGGCTGTATGTAGCTCAAACATATGCTGAGCTTTTATAATTAAATGGAGTTTCTTTCGAAAGTGTGACAGCTCTTTGCTTTCTTTCTACAAGATTGAAATTAGAGTTGGAGGACTTGTGACTTCTGAGGACAGAGAAGAATGTAAGCAGCAGAAAGTTTCTGGGAAACTTTCTAGATTATGATTTGAGGCGATTATTTCACTGCCTATACCCCAGACACCTGCTACTTCCTGTTTGATGGTAAACTTTTCCCTTCAGTTTTTATAAAGAGATATGGCATCTGGGACAATTGCTTGGTCACATGAATTTATTTGAGGGAGGTCAGCATTTCTAGACAACTTTGATATTTAGGTGATGGAATGAAAGTCAAAAAAACCAGCATTGAGATTTTAATTTGAAAATACTGAGTTAAGTCTTTAGTGTTAATAGAGCTATGTTTCCCAGTTTTGGGATTTCATGAGGAATATGCTTGTAGAGCTGAGGAATGATGCAGGCATTATGAACAGAATTGAAACAAACCATATAAAAAAAGCTCTCATCAAAAGAAAGGAAAATAGCAACAAAACAAAATAAATAACTCTTCCCCCTGAAAAAAAAACCCTCAAAACGCTTGAAAACATGTTCATGCTGAAAAATAATCAAATACATTGAAATTAAAACAACAATGAGATATTCTTATATATATTCTAATGAGTATATCAAATTGAAGGTTCACAAAAATATATACTCTCATCTACTACTTTTATGGTGAACACTTTTACCATATACCTTAAATGTTTATGTGTCTTGAAGGTACACCAGTCTCTAGAATTCATGTTCATAACTGGTATATAATACTGCCTCTTTCTGTAAACCGCTATGTGTTGTTGGTCTTTTTGTGATTGGTTTATTTAGAATTTCATTTGTGTTCTACAACCTATATTAGATCTTAATCTCTTCCAGATAATACAAAACAAAACAAAAAAATGCTTTTTCTCTCATGTTTCTTTTAGTAATGAGACTTTTATCAACAGTTAAACATTTATTCACCCCAACTTCATTCCCCAAACCACTGGAGGCAGCCTACCGCAAAATCAAATAAGTTTAAAAGGACAGTAAAAGGACGAAAGTTTAGGAACAAGAAAAAAATGAATCATAAGAAGAAGGCTGCAGCATGAGAAGAAAATTAGAACGGTAATATAGAAACTGTAAGGAACTCTACCAATGGAACAGCAGAGCCACGCAATTAATAGACTGGGCTTGGAAGTCAAAGGGAAGGAGCCTTGACCAGCTCCACTGCTTTTATTCACTGAGTGCTAAGAGCAGCTTTGCATAGGATGCTCCACGAAGAGCTGTGAAATAAGATGTAGACCTGAGGACTGCCATAGGGTCCCTTGAGGTAAATGCACTAACGCGTGTCTCTGAAGCTGATTTCCTCACTTTAGAACTTCTAAATCCCCGCAAATCTCCCTCCAAATTTCATTCTGTCTCTACTTTCTAATATTCATCGCAGTCGGTCTTTTAAAAATATTTTTTAAATTTTATTTTATTTTTAATTGACAAATAATAATTGTATC
Source organism: Homo sapiens (assembly GCF_000001405.40). Classification (NCBI taxonomy): domain Eukaryota; kingdom Metazoa; phylum Chordata; class Mammalia; order Primates; family Hominidae; genus Homo; species Homo sapiens. Next base: position 114,593,633 of record NC_000002.12, read on the forward strand.
TATTTATGGGGATACAATGTGATGTTGTGATAGATGTAGGGTTCACATCCATTGTCTTTTGCTGTAGCCTAGCAAACGGGTCTAGCTTTCCAGCACCAGAGCCAGAGGAAGCCTTGCTTTGTGTGGGGGATTGGCGGGGAGAAGTGAAGAAAGCAATGGGGATGCATTTGGTCTCCTCTCCAAGCTCCCTTCCTTCCTTACTTTATAGCATGCCCACTTGCAACAAGAATCAGCCTAGGACACCCAAAGTGCCTTTGCCTCACTGCTGTTTGCTGCGGTTGTGATCTTTCTCACTGGAGTTGTGAAAAAGCAGAAAGTGAGTCCTCAATGTGTCAGGCCTGCTGAGCTACTGTGATGGTTAATACTGAGTGTCAACTTGATTGGATTGAAGGATACAAAGTATTGATCCTGGGTGTGTCTATGAGGGCGTTGTCAAAGGAGATTAACATTTGAGTCAGTGGGCTGGGAAAGGCAGACCCACCCTTAACTGGGTGGGCACCATCTAATCAGCTGCCAAGGAATATAAAGCAGGCAGAAAAATGTGAAAAGGGGAGACTGTTCTAGCCTCCCAGCATACATCTTTCTCCTGTGCTAGAGAATTCCTGCCCTAGAACATCAGACTCCAAGTTTTTCAGTTTTGAGACTCGGACTGGCTCTCCTTGCTCCTTAAGCTTGCAGACAGCCTATTGTGGGATCTTGTGATCATGTAAGTTAATACTTAATAAACTCCCTTTTACATATATATATATATGTGTATATATAAACTCCCTTTTACATATATGTGAATACATATATGTAAAAGGGAGCTTATATGTGAACACATACATATGTAAAAGGGAGTTTATTATATATTATATATACATATATATTATATATACACACACATATATGTGTAAAAGGAAGTATATATTATATATACATATATTATGTATACATATATACATATATATCTCATATATATACATATATATCTCATATATATTTATATGCACATATATATATCCTCTTGGGGAGAGGTCAAAAGAAGCAGGGGATACAAATCTGACTGCAAAAAGATTGAAGGACAGTCTTTATTGAAAGCCTTTGGTGGGGATACAGAGGAGTGAATTATATTGAGAGATAACTCAGCTGAATTTTCTATAAATTCATTGTTGCTATCTTCCATTTTCCTAACCACCTGCTGACTTAACCTGGGTTCTTTCTCCATTTGCTCTCTGACTCTGCTTACCTTTCCTGTCTCTGTGGTGCTTCTCGGTCTTTCTCTCATGTTCCTTCCATTAGTCTGTCTGACTGTCTCTCTCTGTCTCCCCCAGCCCCCACTGGATCTTCCTGCATGTTCTCTCCTTCCAGATTATTCTCTCTTGGTGTTTGTTCTATGCTTTCTTGTAAAAAAACATGTTGGCCTCTCTGGGCTTTTGTAATTAATACATCTGGTCATAGGGGAAAAGAATGCTTCTAAATGTTATTTGTTTTTCCCTGACATGTATCAAATTTTAGTTTTCACTCTACCTAAAGTCCCGTCTCCAGTTTGAATTCACCACTCTTGCTGGTGGTTAGATAAGCAAGCAACAGACAACGTACACACAGACCACATATTGAGAAACAAGGGAGCCTATTTGAAATTGCAGAAATTAAAACAACAACAAAAAAAAGATGCATAAGGAGCTTTCTGAGGAGTACATCGCCTACCCACCACCCCACTTCAACTGGAAATCTGTTTCCAGTCAGCAGAAAACTGACCAAAGACCCATCATCAATTATACTTTGTGAGGATGGTTGTCTCTGAAATATGCAGAGTGGCCCAGAAATTGTAGAAAAGAAGGGTTTGGAAGGTCCATGCCTATAAAGCCAACAAGACACTTTCTGCACCTCAAGAAAAGTAGTCTCGCTGTTATTGTATTCTGTCTGATCAATTTTCCTTATTTTAATGACACATAGTTTTCATGTTTTGTAATATTTTTGTCATCACACATGGTAAAAAGCCAACCCATATAGTCTGAGGTGGAGGATGGGAAAGCATAAGACATTCATACAGTGACCCTTCAAACAGTCACAGATGACATGGTTCCTGGACAGTGGGGCATATCTCCCAGATGAATTTCAATGAAAGCAATTCTATAGAGAGCAGAGACCATTGTGGCCTAAACAAAGAGCTTTTCAGTGACCCAGGAAGAGCCAAGTATACTACTTCAGGCACCTGGAGCAATGGATGACCTGAATGTCCTCAACACAATCCTGGATCATTATCTTTACTTTCAACCAGATTTTGATAAGAGGAGATGTAGTCAGTGATTTGTAATCCCACAGTGGTTTGCCAATGGTTGCTATTAGCAGGAAATCAATTCAGAGATGTCATTTGAGGATGAAGCTCCTCGGTATTTTGATGCCTTTTTAGGAAGCTAAGAGGAGCTCCACTACCAGCTCTTCAGAAAAAATCTCCTGAGTTGCCTAATTTCACCTGAATTTTTGGAGCACACATTTAAAAATTACTTGTGAATCAAATTCAATTTGAAAATATGCAACTTTTTTAGCTCTTGCTTTCTCCCTGAGCTATTTCTTGAAAATTGTGGAGGAATTGCTTCTGCTCATTGGGCCCATTTACATGAATTATTTATTTTTATATGTATTACATATTTGTCTCTCCTCCCTCCTACAAGCTGTTCCATAGCAAGACCTCTCGTCCCTATATATATTCATGGTGACATTACAGCCATCTTCACCCTCTGATGTCTAAAGGAAATGGAAATTCTGAGGGTCTTCGAAAAGCAAAAAGCCAGGTTTCCTTTATTCTAGATTTCTAGAGGATTTCATAGCCACTAAATCTGTAATAACCAGAAGTAACATACATGCATGTACCTGGGAAGTTCAGTGATAAGATAAATGCATAGATGTCTTTACCCATGAGTATATAATGCATCATTTTAACTATATTTTTCCATTTTTCGGTGTTCACTTTGTAGTCATACAAATACTAGCCATTGCTCATTGAGTACTGTATGTCAGGAACTATGCTATGCATTTGTGTAAATCATCACATCTCTTTCCAGTTATCCTGCATAGTATTGTTACTCCATTTTTTTTTCCTAATGATAAAACTGAGGCAGAGAGAAGTAAAGTAACTTTCCCAAAGTTACAAAATCAGTAAGTCATGATTTGGTACAAATATGCCAAACTACCAATCTGGGCCTTTTAACTCCACTCTGCTGTTGTTACATTATCCTTCTCTTGCACATTTAAGCCATATTATTTCAATGAAATTCTGCAAATACTTATTGAGCACTTGTTATATGTAGCCATTGTCCTAGTTACTGGGGTCACAGAATGAAAAAGTGGAGCCAAATTATAAGGAGGTTAGATTCTAGTAGACAAGTCAGAAAGATGAACAGATGAATGTCCTACAGGGCAGTACAGGTATAATAAGTGTTTACCACTTAACTAAAGGTGGCTCAGATCAGAGAAAGACTTAGTACATTATGGTGCTTCAGGATGCTCACTGGTGGCCAGGCAGAAAAGAGTAAAGACAATGGCATTCCAGCAAAAGAGAGAGGCATGGGCAGTGTCACCTACTGGTGAAATAATGCAGACAAAAAACCAAGAAGAGTAATTTGGTACTGTTGGGCCATAACAGATACATAGGGGAATGGTGGGAATAAGGATAGAAAGTGACTGGGGACAGACAATAAACATAATTCAGTCTTACAAGTTTGGATTTTTCCATGTAAGTTACAAAGACCCATTCAAGGAATTTTAAGCAGAGAAATAATCAGAACAAGTCATGCTCAGAGTAAATATAGGACATCAAATTGTTTATCAAGAAAAACAGTGTTTTTTATTATACTTTGTGTTTTACTGGCAATGACATATTCAGTAGATCTCTTTTTATCTCAGTTGATATTAGACATTAGAAATGAAGGCTGCGGCTATATTTTAAAATGGTAAAGATCTTCCATCTGTCTAGATAAAATTTTGTTCAACGTTTCAGTCACTTAGGTGATGGAAATTTGGCTCTCCTCCATGAATCCCACTTTCCTTGACTCCTTCCTACTACAATGTCAATTCTCCTGCCCTTTCAAGGTAGAGAAAAGTGTTTGTAGTCTCAAAGATACCAGATGGTATCTTTGCCTCCTTTTGAAATTCATGGCACTTATGTTATTCCACTTTTCCACTCAATGTCTTTGTCACTTGCCTATATCCTAGTTGCTACCAGTGTCACAGAAAACTCTGAAACTTGATCCTTGATTCTCCTTTCCATTTCAACTCCCACCATCATTTTTGACCACACCAATATCTTTGTATGCAGTACAATAATCTGGGAGTTTGTAGAAGGAAAATGGTACTTTTGACTTTGGGGATTAAGAGAAGTTTTAAGGGAGACATGTTCTGTTGCTCTGCTCTTCCAAAGGTAAATGAAACTGGAATTATTAAAAATTGGGAGCAGAGGCCACATTTCCTAGTTGGAAGAAACAGCACAAGCAATGGCATAATATGAAAAGGGTGGCAGGAAAGCACATAATCCTGTGTGATTGCATCATAGAGGATATAAAAAGGGGCAATATGATACAGGGCTAAAGTGGCTAACTTGTTCTACATTTTAGAGAAACTTGTTTTAATATCAAGAGAAGGAGACTGAATTTCATTTGGCTGGCAGTGGTGGCAGGGAGGTGGAGATTTTTGAGAAATGTAATGATCAAACTGTGCCTTAAGAAGGTGAATGAATAATTTTTTAGGTTGGGAAAGAGGATGGAGAGAGGGAGAAGATAGAGTGCAAACTGCTGCTAACTATTTTGCTTGTTGTCCAAAGTGTGTCTAAGATCATCTAGGCAGAGGTAGCAGGAAGTAGAAGGAGCACAGTGTCTATAACTGCGTTTCAAAGAATGCCAACACTTAATAACTGAATAAGCTTGGGTTGGTATTCAAGTGAACTTGAGGAGGAGTGCCTGACAGGAAGGAGGGAAACCAGGGAAATACTTGGCAGTGGCAAGTAGAGAGAATATGCTCTAGGTCAGAAGCACCAATAGTGTTAAAATGAAAACAAGAGGTCAAATAAGATGTGAACTGGACAGTAAATATTAGTTATAATAACATGGAGATCATTGATGGTCTTAGCTGGTTATTAGATCATTTGTTAGCTTCATTGGGGGCAGAATCTGGGAGAATTTGGTAGAAGGAAGTGCTGCAAAGTGGGAGACTCTTGAGGGAAATTTTTAAATAAACACTGTTGGTATAATTAGGAGGGGCAGATATACATTCAAATCCTGCTTCTCAATTAATTTTATGTGTGGCCTGACTTCTCGAAATCTTAGTTTCCTCCCGGTGGATAAGAGAATGGAAGCCAATGGGTCATTATGTAGAATAAATGAGATCATAAGTCAATAATTGGATGAAAAGAGTTCTGCGTTTGCTTGACCTAAGTATTCAATAATGGTGGCAATTACTATATTATTTGAATCTGGACAATTGTTACATATTGGAGGAGGAGGTTACAGGTGTATACATAACTTGTTAGTTATGTTTTGACTGAGAATAAAACTGTTATCAAGAAAAACGAGGAAGTCAAAAAGATAATCTAAAGAAGAGAATGAAGTAGGTTTGTAATTTTTTCCCTTTTAAAAATATGCATGCAATGAAATGTGCAGATATTTTACATTTCTGTGGGTTTTGACAAAAGCTTATACACATTTAATTCACAACCTTTGAGGCTATATTCTATTTCTATTACTTTAAAAAGTGCCTTCATTTTCCTTTGCAGGTCACTCATTCTACCACCACCTGTGGGGGCAACTACTGTTTATTTCTATAACCATAGATTAGTTTTTTCTACTCTAGGTTTTTTGGAGTGATATAGTACATACTTGTTTGTTTCTGGCTTGTTTGAATATACTACTTTTTAAATTTATCCCTGTGGTTTGGGGCACTGATCGTTTGCCCTTTTTTTCATTGCTGGGTTTAAATATACTAAGTATACCATATTTTTTTTGTTTGTTTTAAAATCTATCCACTTGTTTATGGACATTTTTGTTGTTTCTAGTTTTGCGCTATTTTGAATAAAATTTCTGTGAACGTACACCTTGTATAAGTTTCACTGTATAAGAAATCATCACATGCCCAAGCCATGTAGATAGTTCCTTATGTATTATTTTGTTTTCCCAATAAACTTTATAGTCAGCTTTTATGTTTAGAGCGGGTATTCATATAGATTTAATTATTGTTTGTGGCTAGAATTCAGTGTAGTTCATGATTTTTTTCTATATTAATATTAACATGTTTCAGTGTAATATTTGAAGTATTTTTCTTTCTCCATTGAATTGCTTCAAATATTTTTATAAATTTGTCTTTTGTTTTTAGAAATATGACTATTATGTATCTAGGGTCTATTTTTTTAATGTGTATTCTGTTTGGGATTCATTGAGCTTCCTCTAGGGATCAATTTTTTTTTCCCAGATCAGATTTGGAAAGTTTTAAGCCACCATATCTTTGGATATTTATTTCTCTGCCAATCTCTTTGTCTTCCTTCTGAGATTCCAGTTACACAGATGTTAAACCACGAAGTGACCCAGGGGTCACTTAGATTCTGTTAATGTTTAAAAACTTTTTTCCCTCTCTGTACTGATTTTATAATTTTTATTTCTGTGTATTGAAGCTTACTGATTGTTTCTTCTGTAATATCCCATTTTCTGTTAAGCCCATAAGATAATTTTACATTTCAGATATTATACTTTTTAATTCAAGATTTTCCATTTGGTTCATTTTTATGGATTCCATTCATTTGATGAGAATTTCTATTCGTTCACTCATTATAATATCCATCCTTTCCAAAATCATTGAACATATTTATAACAGCTGGTTTAAAGTCCTTCTCTATTAATTCAAATATATGTGATTTCTCTGGGCTTGTTTCCAATGGCAATTTTTTTCTCTTGGTTATGAAAGAAATCAAGGTACTTTATTATCATTGGAACCATGATATAAATATTGCTGTGATTTGACTTGACACAGCTACAAGCAATTTTGATATGCCTTGGCATCATTAATTTATTCTAATTTAGTGTTTAATGTCCCAGTAATAATATTTCTAGCCTAAGTTGGTGTAGAATAGAAACCTCAGCTCTTATGCATTGGAATAGAAAAATACGATTACACATGATCATGAAAAGCAATGATGCCTGAATATTTGGATTTGAACTGTTTTATCTCACTTAAACTGAGAGTGATAGGTTAAAAGAGTAGTGCTGCATTGAGTAAAGGCTATTTTGACAGAATTTGTTGAACCTGTGTTTAGAAGTTAAGAAAGAGAGGAAGAAGAAACAGGAACACTTTAAAAGAGTTGATGCCAAAGACAGACACATAAACAAAGGTGAGATGCTTTTCTATTTCTCTCCCAACTTACCTTAGAAGGCTGTGCTGTAGCAAACGACTCACATTTCCTATGTAAAGCCTGTTAGAAACTTTTTCAGACTATTGAATCGCCACAAAGAGAGCAAGGTGATTTTGTATAACATCTTATTCAGTATTTACTAGATAGCTGATACATGCTTGGCACTCTAATGACGTTGTAATGGGTGGGCACATCCATGGTTCTTCATCGAGTTTAGAGACTGGTTAGTGTATTATTTTATGCTGTTAATTTTACAATTGTGTAGGTGCCACCAAGTCCTCTAATGAACAACCTTTGCTTTCTGATTCTAGACCAAAGATCTTCTCACATATATCTATTTCTTACATCTATTTCTTATTCCATAATCTCTCAATCTCATGTTCTTTCTGTAAGGAATGAGAATGGAGATAGAGTTATATAGAGATCATAGAATCTTGGATGTGGCTTTACAGTTGTGTTTTTTTCTTCTGTTTTAAAGGGATTGGGGAGGGAGGTCTTATAAGTATATGGTGTTTCACAGATACAACACTCTGGGATTCCATTTCAAGTTTTAATGATAGTATAAGCAGTACATTGAAAGACAGCCAATAACATTCATCTCTTGAAATAAGTATGCTGCAGGGCTGAAATAACTTTGGCTTTATTGCTTTGAAACTTCGTGAAGCTTGGGTTAAGCTCTTGGCTATGTTACATCTGAGAAATACAGACCTCGTTTCACCTGTTCCACACTACAGCTGCAGTTTTATTTGGAAAATTGATGAGGGCATTAAGTTCTGAAGTCATGTTGATTCTAATGTAAATAAATGGTGTCATTACTTCATAGTTGGGAGTGCCACTAATGCAGACCTTAAAATTAAGGGTTATCTTGTTGATTGGGGGAAAATTAAAGTAATCAACTTTCAAGGCTTTAATAAATGAGATTGCACACTTAAAAATCATTTTCAAACCAGCTTTAAAAGTAGATGACTAGAAAATCAATAGCAATAATACATACCTATGGAAACAGAATGGGCTATATTTATTTTTAAGGATAGTTTCTTGTGTTATTTGGTTTGAATTTATTAATAAGGGGCTTAAAAGTAATCATATAAAATATTAAGTATATTTTCATAGGAAAATACCAATGGTATTTTTTGTGGCAGTTAATACACATAGAGCCATGAAAGTTGAATTTTCCAAAAGAAAAAAATGATGGTACAGGTTCAGTACACCTAATGTAAATTCATGAAATCAAAGTATATAAAGGTTTTTCTAGGAAGTTAGAGGTAGAGAGGGCTCAATTCTATTCCTGTATGTAATACTTGTTAATGTGTGTGTGTGTGTGTGTGCATGTGTGAATTTGTGTGTAGCATTTATTACATTATAAAATATAGTATATAACCTTAGAAACTAAGCTCTTTCCAATATTGGAATATAAATTGCTTTAAATATTTGGACACAATCACTACCATCACTATTATTATCATCATCATCCCAGCTCATATTTATGTAGTCTGAGTCTGGGCCAGAGAGATTCCATGCTAAGTCCTATTTAGTATGAAGTGGGCTCTCAACCTATATCTGTGAATTAATCTTTGTGTCACCACAAGTGTCCAGTAGGCTGATCTGAACAAAATCAGTACTCAGGATATGCTTTGAACTGTTAACACCAGAAGGCAAGGGCAACTTTCACTTTTACACACATAAGGGAGAGTGTATTCTTCAATTTCATGAGTAGAGAGTGGTGTACGTGAGAATAATTTATAAAGTGATGTCATAAGTCCCTATGTGCCTGGGAAACACAAACCTGCCTACTCCAGACAACAACTGGGTGGTTTTTATTATTGTTGTTTGCTTTTACGTTTGAAGCAGACTTGTGTGGCACTTCAGAAACAATATGAGATATTTAGCAGTGTATAAATTTGAGTTTGGAGTTGATTCAGGTCGAACTTTCAACAGTAATCTGATGTATATGTAATGGGATACATAATTAGTAGTGTGCTGTATTGTAAACATGGCGGAAAAAATGTCAGAAGACTACATGCTAGACAGTCCTCATTGTCTGTCTTGCCATCCCCAGTTCCTGGGGCCCTGGACTAAGCAGGCACAATGGGTCTGAGCCAGAAAAGTCCCCATTGTAAGTATAATCATAGTCATTGTAATAATAAAAATGATTTCCACTTGTTTCAATTTACTACATGCCAGACTCTATATTACATACTTAACATGCATATCTCATTTTAATAACAACACTGAGAGATAAATAGGTTCAATTTTCATACGAAAAAAATGGAGGCTGAAAACTTGGAAGTGAGAATGATATGATATAATGAAAATAAATGAAATTTGACATCAGATAGGCAGCATTGCAACTCATGATTCACCATCTATTATGTGATCATGGGAAAATTACTCAACTTGTCTGCGTTTTAGGTTCTTAAACCATAACGTCGGGATTACTTTTGTTCTCCTATTCTGAGGATGCATTCAGATATGTATGTAAAACTCCAAACATAGTACCTAAGACATAGGAGGGCATTTGCAAATGTTGGTGGTCCTGACCTCCCACCATTCCTTATTGACTCTGCAGAGTTAATGTTGACCTGGGAAGTTTTCACCCTGGCTCCAGTAAGGAAAGTGAAAATGACTAATGATTTTCTTTATCCAGTAAAGGATGTGGAGGATGGGGCGGTAAACTTGGGTACTTTTCTACATCCTCCTCTTTTCCTGGCAAAGTCCCAGTAAATACTTATGATAGCTTTGTGTAAAAACAGCACCTGTAGCCAGACATGGCACCATGGAAGGCAGGTTGGTGGGCAAATGCCCTCTAAGTGTAAAAAAGAAGGAGTGTTGTGGGTCCCCAGATCACCCACCAGATTTGATGATTTGCTAGAAAGGCTCACAGGACTCATCTTGTAGTCATATATATAGCTACAATTTGTTACAGCAAAAATATAGAAAGCAGAATTAACAAAGGGAAAGGTACATGGGGCAAAGTTTGGAGGAAACTGGGTGTAAGCTTCCTAGAGTCATCCTCCGGTGGGGTCACACAGGATTGCTTAATTTCTTCAGCAAGGAGTTGTGACAACACATAAATGCCTTCCAAGGAGTCTAATTGGAGTCTCAGTGCCTAGAGTTTCTATAAGGGGCTGCTCACCTAGGCAACTTCTCCATGTACCAAATTCCAGACATCCTGAAGTGTTCAGCATAGACCATATGGTTTGCATAAACAGGCAAGGCACGAGGAGCCATTCTTATCAGGGAATGGTGGGAACTCTCTTCAAATCCCACTTTCCAGACCTAGCCAAGGACCAACTTTGCAAGCAGACCTTTATATGGATAGCAGTCTCAGGCCTTCTCAGTTTATATTAACTCATATTAACATAGTCTTAGGGTGGGTTACCTCTTACCTGCACAGAAAGACATAGTTGCGTGCCAGGACACAAGCATAGCAGAGCAGGAAACAGATGGAGTTTTGCCCTGACCCATCTGCGTGTACAGATACCTTTAGGCAATGAACAATCTACCAAACCATGGATGGCTTCCCTGCCTACTAGAGAAGCCTCACATGGAAGAGCACGCTGTGTATGACCTCATTCTGCCTTCACTCTCTGGTCCTTTAAATGTTGATTGATCAGCCTTTTTTCACTGACCCAATTTGCCTTCTCTGAAGATGCTTTTTGCAAATACAGCAGGTTTGATGAATGCTTAGCAAGAAGTTTGGATGACTTCTGCACTGGTTTCTGTCTATTTGGGGCTGATTGGAAAACTTAAGACACTGAATTTATCTTATACTTGAAATTCTGTAACCACTGTTATTTATGTCTCTGTGTCTGTCTCTTTCTTTAATCTTTGTTTTGTTTTTCTTCAGTAAGCAGTTCTGTGAGGTAGTTAGGACTATGATTGGGTAGTTGAGGCTCCATGTGGTTAAGTAATCATATCAGAAGAATTTGTTGGAAAGACTCAGACCAGAATACAGATTTGCTGTTTCTTGAATGAGCATCTCTTCTGTTGAATCAAATTAATACTATAAAAGTAATTTCATGGAAAGAATAATCATAAAGAGGCAATATCAGTCCAAATACAGAAAGGCCTTGCTTTTCTGACTTTCTGTAGTAGTAGCAAACCCAGTGGAGTTCTGAAGAATGTGGTCATTGCTATGGATTGATGTTAGAGACCAGAGCTAGATTAGTCAGACTGGTCAACTCTTCTAGAGTGACTGGAAACTTAAGCATCTAAGAACAAGGGCAAATCAGTACAAATACAGTTAACCCTTGAACAATGCAGGTGTGAACTGCATGGGTCCACCTATACGTGGATTTTCTTCTGTTTCTACCATCCCTGAAATAGCAAGAGCAACCCCTCCTCTTCCTCCTCCTCTTCAGCCTACCTGACATGAAGATGACAAGAATGAAAACCTTCATGTTGTTCCACTTTCACTTAACAAATAGTAAATATGTTTTACTTCCTTATGATTTTCTTAATAACACATTTCTTTAGCTTGTTTTATTGTAAGAATATAGTATGTAATACATATAACGCACAAATATATGTCAATAGACTGTTTATGTTATTGATAAGCTTTCCAGTCAGGGATAGGCTACTCGTAGTTAAGTTTTTGGGGAGTCAAAAGTTGTACTCAGATTTTGAATGCACAGGGTTTTAGTGCCCCTAACCCCGATATTATTCAAGGGATAACTGTAATCAAGACCTGACAAGTCCTGTCTAGTCATCAAATCAAAAGTTCATGAGTGAGGAGAGATGTAGGAGAAGAACTTAAGGATGACAGAATGAATACATTAAGGAATAAAGTAGCAAGTAAGGAACAGACTTCAAAGTAAGGATGAAGGTCCAATTGTTTTGCCAAGAACTGGGCTTGGGTGTTCACTTTTCATCTCTAAGTCTGTTTTATTTTAGCCCATATTATCTCCCTCTTATTTGGATATAAGATGTCCAGTAAGTGGGTAACTTGCCTGTTTGGAAGCCACTACCTGTTATGAACAAGGCTTAACTTGTTCATATTTCATTCAGTATCTCCCAAATGTTGAAATAACGATTTGGGCAGGAGAGTTAGTTTTATAAAGACATCCCACCATAAAAGATATTTAGTATTCAATAAAGCTTGCAGTTCTTTACCTTAATGTTGTGTCTTAATATATTGACTCAGGTCTCACTTGAAATCTGAAACATGGGTTCCATGATCTATACACTTAATAAGCCTTTAAATAATGAAACAGGATATACTTGAAGGGCCAGCTGTCTTTGTTTCTATTTTATGCCTGCATTTTATGGGCTTGATCACTAGGACTCAGACTGGTCCTTGGCAACATTGCAAAGTTAGCGAAGATCTTTCCAGCCCTTTCCTGACTTCCTGCTACATGGAAATTTTTTCTCTGACTGCCTGATGCTCTCATGCTGCTTGTATTTCAGTGTCTGCCTTATCCCTAAAGGATTTGCCTGCCCTAGAGTTGTCTTATGTACCAGATCTAGGTTTATCAATATTCTGGGAGTCATTTGTTAAGTTCTCAATGTATTCCTTCTTATAGAGAAGTCTCTTATTCACAGTCTCATATATTCGGACCAGTCTAGAGTACAATGAGTGGGAATGACAGTCTGGAAGGGGAGAAGACAAATGCAATACCATCTGGTGCCCAGAAGAACTTCTGCATACTTAATCAGACCCCAAAGCCTTATATCATCAGCAAAGTGGGAAGCTTAGTATCTCACATTCACATAATTTTTAGAAGCCATTTCATACCTTATAAATTTTGTCGCATTTCAGCAAGAGTTCTTGATATGTATTTAAACCTGGACTCTCTTATCTAAGTGCTGTCATTGGGAAGGACACAAAGTGTTACTGGGTATTTGAGACTTAGTGTGGTTAAGCATATTGTTGAAAAGATGGGACTATACTCTATAAATTGTGAGAATAATCATGACTTCTCTATTTCCCCGCCTGGGATATTCAAGGAGAGAGTGCTAAAATGAAAAGTACCATAAAAGCTCTGGAGTAGCACTGACAGGATGATGGAGACATCACCATGGTGAAGGTTGTCCTGGGTTGTGAGATACCCTTAATTTGATACCTTCTTCCTAAAAGATTAATTCTTACAAAGTTTGTCTGTCTCCAAAATACAAGGGCCCTAATATGGATCAAACAAATAACAGGGTTCTCACTGGCTTTTATAGAAAACATAAAATGTCACTTGAGAATGAGAAGTCCAGAGGGAACACAGTTCTCCATGCTGGAAACAGAAGACAGCAAGAAAGAAAGATAAAGTGTGATCTAAAGAAGGACACACTGCTCCTGTTTGTGTGGATAGATACAACTGAGGGAAGAGACAATTTGTAACTGGAAGGATAAGGCAGATTTATGGGTGTTTATGTGCCTATGTGACAAAAGGGACCTTGGGGTGTAATGGGCTAGATTTAAGTATGAAGTATGACTGCCTCATGAAAATGTTCATTCATGGACCTTAAATCTTGCACATAATGAGGACAAGAAACTGTAGCTGATTCATGCAAATGTCTCCTTATATATTTCTTAATATTGCCCATTTTCTTGTTCACTGGATATGTGAGACTCTGGCTTCATCATCTCATCCTAGTAGTCAACAGATTCCTTCACAGCATTTACTGAGTCCAGCTCTGGGAATATGCAGAAGGCTGAGGTAGGCCTTCTTTCAGTCTGTCCTCATAGTCATCAAACCTGAGAGGGAAACACCTTTTCTTCTTTGCCTTGTGTTCTCTGCATCTTACTGAGAAGATGTTGTAATGTTATGCTTTTGTTTGATTTTGTTTCCTCATAGAGACTTTCAGACTCCCACTATGTGGTTTGGACACGAAGTCAGTCTGAGTGCCACCGCACCAACCCCAAACTATTGTTTCTGGACCCAGTGTGGTCTTTTCTTTCAAGGAAGAATCTTGTCCATCCAGTGCAGGGGTTGGAGGATTACAGAAGTTCTTATTCCTTTATGTATTATGACCCCCAAGCTTGTGAGCTGGTCATGAGCCTCAAGGTTTTCATCCACTTTCCATCTCATTAGGCTTTCAGCCATCCCTGCAAATAGCACCATCTTCCTAAAGCCCTGGTCATTACTCCGTAACTCTCCAAACACAAGTATTTACTGGTCCTGACTAAGAGACTTGGCTTATAGGGGATCTGAGTGAGATGTTGGCCCTTATTCTTAGTGAGTTACAATCTTCTGAGCAGACAAATACGCAGGAAATAATAAGAGACTAACAGAAGATAACCAGGTGGTTTGGATGATCAGTGCCATTCAATCTCTGCTCAAAGCTGACATACTTACCACTAACCCACCAAGTACAGATTTGTTCTCCAAATTCAGAAATGAACAAATAATTAAAAATAATGGTAAGATGATCCCAGAAAAGATTAGTGTAGAAGGAGAGGGGTTTGAGGAGACGGTGGTAACAGCAAATAATTTGCAGCTCGAGAAAGATGATCATGATGATTTCACATTGATCAAATTCTATTTCTATCATATTTATATGAATTATCTCATTTGATCTTCACAACCCTAAGATATAAATAATTATCTTAACACACGAATGTACAGTTTGGAATCATTGTACCAAAAAGACACATACACTCATATGTTCATCACAGCACCATTCATAATGGCAAAGACACGGAATCAATGATGCACCGGGTAAAGCAAATGTGGTACATATACACCATGGACTGCTACACAGCCAAAAAAAAAAACAGTGAAATCATGTCCTTTGCTGTGATATGAATGCAGTTGGCGGGCATTATCCTCAGCAAATTAACACAGGAACAGGAAACCAAATACTACATATTCTGACATATAAATGGGAGCTAAATATTGGGTAGTTAGGGCATAAAGATGGCAACCGTAGAAACTGGGGATGACTAGAAAGGGGAGAGAGGAAGGACGGCAAGGGTTGAAAAACTAACTATTGGGTACTATGCTCAGTACCTGTGTGATGGGATAATTTGTACTTTAAATCACAGCATCACGCAATATACTCAGGTAGCAAACGTGTGCATATACCCCAAGAATCTAAAATAAAATTTGAATAAATAAATAAAAGGTTAAAAAAAAGAATGTAGAGCTTGGAAGGTTTGATGAACCGTCACTTTCATCGAGAATACAACTCCAGGAAGTGAGAGTGAAGTTTCCAGAAAACAAAGCAGAAAAGCAGCAAGAGCCACAATGAGGGTATATTTTGGAGTGGCGGAGACCTATTCATTGCTTGATCAATGGAAGCATATTTCTCCCCAGGAATCTGTATAATCTATATCTCAGAACTTTCTCCCAGGGGTGGAAAAAGAGATAAATATCCTTGACTTGTGTCTCCCTAGGCCAACATTTATCCCCTGGGCCTGAACTGCTTCCGTGACAGTCAATTCATTTGCAGATTCCCAGGAGCCACAATAGTCTGTAGGGAAGCCTGGGATGGGAGGTGAGAAGCAGGGGGTGGGGTGGTCCCAGCGGTGCCTGTGTGAAGTGGGTCTGACCCCACACACAGATGGGACAAGAGTCAGGAGGTGAAGCCAAGAGGATTTGAAACGAGGCAAAAGTGATACCTAGTCCATTACTGTTTTCTTTGTTTTACAAGTGAGGAAATCTCAGGCACAGAAAGCCAGGTAAGTTGTCTAAAGTTGAAATCTGAGATGTGATAGGGAGGACAATGTAAACACAGAGATTCCAAACTATCGCATCCAAACTCCCAACTACTAATTCCTAATGGAAAGGGTTCCTCTTGAAAACTTTCAGAGAATGACCTACTAGGTGACATAGACTAAACCTTCAAAGAGCATCAACAAGAATTGTAAGAAACCTGTGAGTGAGAAGCACTTACTGAGTTACCAGAGGACAGTGGGAACTAAGAGGGTGTCTTTAACCTGGAAAGCAACCAGTGAAGCCAACCACATCCTTCAATCCCACATCCTTTGATGCCCTCACCTCTCACGCACAATAGAGATCTGAGCTGCAATTTGGCACCCTTAAATGTACTTGGCTATGTTCCAGAACAGAGAAAAGGCAATGTTCGTATCTGTTTCACGCTTGCCTCGTGCCAGAGACTGCTCAGTATTTCACGGGAACAACACTTCAAGGAAGTTAATAGCATCTCCATCTTACGGATGACGAAACTGAGGCTTAGATGGGTAAAGGATGTTCTTTGCTTCCCCACATTGTTTTTCTGGTATATATCACAGGCGTATGTTTTGTTTTGGGTCTGTATTTGCCTTCTAGAATGATATTCAAGAGGTGGGGTTATAAACCCTGGCTGGGCATTAGAATAATTTAGGGATCTTGTTAAAATTACAGAACCCCAAGCTCTACCTGAAACCTAAGGCATTAGACCTTTTTAACCTAGGGGAACGGATATCCTAATGTGACCATATTTCACTGGGGATCTGATGGGAAGCCAGGGTTGACACTCAAAAGAATGGACAGAAAATAGTGAACATGTTCCTGAGCTGCATGAAAGAAATATGCAAGATTCAGAACCAGGGCTGGGGGAAAAGACAGTCCTGCTCTTCTTTGTACAAATCAAATCACCTCTGAAGAGGTGCTTTGAGTTTTGGGTAGCTTACTTTAAGTAGCAGAATTGGAAGGAAGAACTGTACTGGGGAATAGGACTGTGTCCAGGGCACCAAGACAAAGCCAGACATAACCCAAGAGGCTGACAATTTGGGGAAGTCTGGTGACGGCAACTCTCTCACCCACAGTTAACAAACAAACAAGAAATATTTTCTCCGGGCTCAGTCTCTGTAGTTTTGGCAGCAGGGAGTCAGCGTCCTTCCTGAAACATGCCCTGCTGTGTTCCTGCCCAGTCTTGCCAGCAGCTCAGTCTGCATCTGGGCTTTTCCCCACCCTCTGTTGCCTAATCCACAGCATCCTTATCCCTCCCCTCAGGCCACCACCACCCCCCTTCTCCCACGCACCCAGGCTGTGTTTTAGCAGGACAGCTATTTTCTGCCATTCAGCACTGAGTGATCATCATCAGGTACAGCTTCCCAAACACACAACTGCGCTGCTTGTGTAGCCTCAGGTATAATTACGAAGGCTGTCCCAGCACTCGCTACCTACACTATACTTAATGGGGAGGGATGGTCTCTTGTTCTCTATTAAATATTTTGAAAGAGAACCCGTAGGCATGACAAGGTTCAGGCACCAAGCAGAAATGGGAATCGGAGTGCCCCTGCTCTGACAGGCAAGCACAAGTTTTAATTATCTGCTCATCCAGGATTTAAAAATTTTCGTTTTACTATAAAAAGCAGAAAAGGAAGACAACATGATTTCATGTGCTTACAGGAAATGAAATTGGTTGAGAATATTGTCTGCTGTCACTTCTCTCTTATTTCTTCCTTTGTAGTGTTTATTTTTCCTGTTCTATGAATAATAAATACTGAAAATATAAAAATTACAGAAATGCATAAAGATGAACAACTTATGACCCCACAGTTCAGACAAAACTTCTATTAACATTTTTATATGTTTTCATCCAGTCTTTTTCATGCACACTCACACATACCCACATAGAGACAAAAGAATTGATTGTATTATGGTAGTTTAATATTCTAATTGTTTTGTTTTGTGTTACATTATGAGAAAATATTTATGCCAATGGATACATTTGAAAAACAACTTTTCTAATAGTTCTATATTTCATGTTTCACTCTGATTTATTTCACTTTATTTCCCTGTTATTGGATATTTAAATTATTTCCAATCCTTTGTTGATAACTCTTAATAAATTAATAAATCACCCAAGATATTAATCAAGCTCATCCTATGTGTTGTCACTGTTCATGTCAGCATTGTATGAAGAGTGAATGGGCTTTGGTGACTGAAATGATAGGACTAAATACTGATTCTACCACTAGCTCAGGGCATCTAGGAAAGTCATTAAAAATTTACTCATCTGTAAAACAGAGCTCATGCTAACTGCTTTGCTTATTTTTCTAATTTTGTTCTCTCCATTTCCTAGGACAAACAAACAATGTCAGATAATCTCTTTCTACATATTCTTACTCATTCTGTTTCTCTGAAGTTGCAACTACACATATACTCACACAATTCCTTTGTTAACACTACCTCATTCTCAAGGTCAAATCCAAATTCTACATCAACGTCTCCCTCCACTGGTTTTCTTCATCTCTGACCCTTCTTTTTCCAGGCCCTGCACGGATGGCATCAAGGTACTTTCATTGACTCTGGCTCTTCACCTATGACTTCTTATGCCTTTGAGTCTGCCATTTCTTTTTCATGGGATTTTCTCCTGACATTCCTGCATCCCTTTTTATCCAGCTCCTCCTCATGACTGAGAAATCATCTCTAGCCTCAACTCCTCTTGGAAGGATTCCAAATCCCAAACCACAGGCAGGGCTAAGCAACCCTCCTTGCTGACTCTTAGGGCTGAACCATTTACTCAGTAAAAGAGATGCTCTATTTTGAACTTTCTCAATTTGAACGTTTGGTGCTTTTTCCCTCATTTCTGGCAACATTTCAATGTTTCTTTGCTTTCTCCTTACTATATCTCTAGATATTTCTTCAGCTATACATGGTCAGATGACTGGAGTTCACTAGAGGTAAGGCTATCCTAAACCTCATTATTCTATGGTATCTATTGACAGCGTATGAATGAGTCTGTGAGGCTTATTACCTAATATTAGAAATAAAATAAATCACCGAAAAACTTGAAGCAAAGTAGTTAGCAGTTCATAGAAAAATCCTGAGTTAGATTCCTGGCTCAGTCTTTTACCAGCCATGTGGCATTGACTGAGCCTCCAAGATGTATGTTCTTTATCTGTTTACATGAAAATCATATTTGCTAATTCTTAAAGTTATGTATATAGAGTTATTTCTAAATGACATATAATAATCACTTAATGATAATTTTATGAGAAACTATTTTCAGCTACCTGTTATTTTTACAAAAGAATCACATTAAAAGATGCTGTTAAAACTATGAGAATACATGAGATATAGGTGGTTATTAGTATTTGGCATTCACACCCAAATATCTAATCACTAAAATTATTATTAATAATGAAAATGAGGCAGATGATCATGACATTTATCCCCAAATCTCTAGCACCTTGCACAGTTTCTGGTACGTATTTAGCTCCCAGAAATAAACACTGAATTGAATTTATGGTAAAATAAATTTTTAGAGGCTTTGATATTCCATTTTTAAGCATCCAATCTATTCTATACACACTCATATTAGCATATTTATGTGACAATGAAACTATTGCAAACAGAGAGAAGATTATTAGGTTATGGATATTAAGTTAATGGGGAAGATATAAAATATTTAATAGCTTGGGCTAGACCACATCTTTTAGAAGAAGAAACTGAGGATGAAAAAATTTCCGTGAACTGCCAGGACACAAAATTTGAGAGGGGCGGAGTTGGAATTAAAACCCAACCTTTTCTCAAGCCAATTAGAATGGCAATTATTAAAAAGTCAAGAAACAACAGATGCTGGTGAAGCTGTGGAGAAATAGGATTGCTTTTACACTGTTGGTGGGAGTGTAAATTAGTTCAACCATTGTGGAAGACAGTGTGGTGATTCCTCAAAGATCTAGAACCAGTAATACCATGACCCAGCAATCCCTTTACTGGGTATATACCCAAAGGATTATAAATCATTCTACGATAAAGACAAGACACATGCACACGTATGTTTATTGCAGCACTATTTACAATAGCAAAGACTTGGAACCAACCCAAATGCCCATCAATGAGAGACTGGATAATGAAAATGTGGCACATATACACCATGGAATACTATGCAGCCATAAAAAAGAATGAGTTCACATCCTTTGCAGGGACATGGATGAAGCTGGAAGCCATTATTCTCAGCAAACTAATACAGGAACAGAAAACCAAACACCACGTGTTCTCACTCATAAGTGGGAGTAGAACAATGAGAACACATGGACCCAGGAAGGGGAACATCATACACCAGGGCCTGTCGGGGGTTGGGGGCCCAGGGGAGGGAGGGCATTAGGACAAATACCTAATGCATGTGGGGCTTAAAATCTAGATGATGGGTTGATAGGTGCAACAAACCACCATGGTACATGTGTACCTATGTAAAAAACCGGCACATTCTGCATATGTATCCCAGAACTTAAAGTAAAATAAAATAAAATAAACCCAAGCTTTGCCTCCCTAACACAATTTAGCTTTCCTTCATACTTCACCAGACTGATTTATCTACTCCACATCACCGGATTTTTGCAGGTCTTTCAAAATCTCATTTATGCATCTAGGATAAACTTAAATTTAAATTTAATTTTATGTTAAGCATTGATCAAACTTGCAAAGTCCCTCTAAGTATTGTGTTGCTCTTGTTATTGCTGTTGCCCTCTCTCCCCACCTCTAATCCAAATTCCTAATGCTTGGTCTTTCTTTTTAAACAAAGAACTTGTTTTCATAGAAATGAATCTCTTGTGGATTTTTATGTTATATGTCAAGCTCCCTTATGAATCTATCCAAAACATCCAAAGAATAAATCCCAGGACAGGAGGAACTTGTATTCACACATCTAATTAACCTTTAATTGTCTATTGTGACTGCTTTGCAGTTCAATAGTTGCTTGATTTTTATTGCCCGCCTAATTAGTGTGGTTAAAGTGGCTTTTTAAGTCAGATTTTATTATATCAGTTTGCTTACGCAATTTCGGGATACTCCGGGAAGTTCCAATAACATTGTGATTCTTAAGTGCTATATATGTATACACATTTGTTGTTTGTTTGCTTTTTCTCCTCAGGAAAAAAAGTGCTTTGACCAATTTCTCCCACTAGAGTGTATGAGTAGTCTATGAAATTCCTTAATGATAGCAAAAGCCTTTTCATTAATTGTGCATAAATTATCAACACAGCCAGTCAATTCTAATTAATCATTTTTCTACCCAATAAACCACCAGATTGACAGATTTAGAATTCTGAAACAAGGGGAGCAGTGAAGGAAACCACCCAAAATACTGCAATTTAAGGCAAACTAACATATATGCACATCTCTAAAAATCAGATTCTACAGCTGTAATTTATTAGTGAGTCCATGGAATGTAGCTAATTGAGTATGCATCTATCAGGGGATGGTTAAGATTTAAAATAATCAATTAGATGTACAAATCTTATTGCATACCATGGATCTTTTTTCTTCTTTTTGTTTGCTGTTTTATTTTCTAAGTAAAGAATAAACTTGCCTCCAATTATATAATTTGTATTTTCACATGTTAGCATTCTTTTCTTGTTCCACAAACTTTCTAAATTACTGAAAATTATCATGAATGCAATTTAATTTTCTACATACTGAGCACTATGGTTGTCTCTAATATTGGCCACGGTTGTAGTTTCCCTTAGACTCCCTGAGCTCTTGCTTTATTTTCTTTGTCTCTATTCTCTTGGCTTTAAAATAGAGTTAAGCAGTTTGAATTATTTCTAGATCTCTGTCTCTCTCTGTATTGGAGAGACAAAAGATCTAGTGCTTAGCAGAGTCCTCAACTCATCACTAATAGTCAAAGTATTCAGTGGCAATTGCCCTGTGTATGAAAACAGCAGTGCAATACAGAGTAAAAGTACTGGGGCATGCTGTCTCTTGCACAGAACAGGAACCAAGAGTAATGGGTTCTATTCCCTACTCTATGTTTGATTTACTGGTTAGCCTTGGGCATACGATGCTTCTTACCCTTTCAATGCGTTATTCTTTCCATCTGGAAAACAAAGATAATTGTACTTGTAGGGAGGGAAAAGGGAGAACCTGACATAAATTAGTTTGGATAGAAATTATTTGCAAGATTCAAAAATGATTCTGAAATGTAATCCATTCCACATTTATTGGGCATTTCCTATGTTCTAACAATTGTGCTGAGTGCTAAAGAATACAGAGTTTGCCATTACATTGGTGCTCATTATCTGATAAGGTGTAGCCATATAATGGTAATTATAATATAATGTGAAAAGTTAATATTGATGAGCCCAACTATCTATTTCTAGCAGAGAGAACTGAACTAAAATTTATTTGAAACATCTTCTGTAACTGTTGGCTCATCATAAATCAAAGTGAATTGCATTTATAAGGATAGTTTGTCTATTAGTAATCTGAATGAAGGAAGACAGGGAAAGACATCTGGAAAATTACCACAGTAGACTGGATTATCGCTTGTAACTCTTTCTTCCCCATTGTGAAAGAATTACACATGAATTGTCTTTACCACTTGACTTTGTAGCGACTCCCATTACAATTGACAGAGTGTGCATCCGTCTTCCATTGACTGTGGTTTTGGTGTAATGACTTGCTGTACCCAGTGGAATACGTTGGGCCAATGAGGAGACATTGCACCAGTTCTGAGTTGAGTCTTGAAGAGTCATGGGAAGTTTCTGCCAGCCTGATGGGATTTCCTACCATTTGCCAGGACAAGATCATGCTTCAAGTAGCTTTGCTCCTTGGCTTATGATAAGAACAAAGAAATGCTGCACAGACTGAACTCCACCAAAAGCCTGGATTCCAGTCTAACCCAGATGATACCAGTCTAGACCAGCTGACCCTCAGAAACACTTAGGAGAACAACATAAATGCTGTTGCTGTAACCTTTGCAGACGTGGGGACTGTTTGCTCACAACATTATCACGGTTAAGGAAAGAAGCTGGTTAATAAAACATCTTTTTGTAAACTCAAACAAAATTATTGACTAAGGAAGTGGTCATCAATAAATGATAAAACTATTAGGTGAGAGGTTGATGGGAAATTGAGTCTTTACATGGTGTCAGACTGTAACTCCACAGTTTCTTGCCAGGCAGAGAGAACAGACATAACATCAATGGAGAGATCAAGCTTTCACTACCTTAGTACAGTGAGTCACTAATTATGTGACAACCAGACACCATAATACAGCATATGATGACACATCAACTTCTCAGCATGACCTATGAAGTGTTTTTGCCAAAAGTGATTAACCTGAAATTAGCAGAGTCCTAGGTCCCAACTCTCCCTTTACAGGAAATACAAGGGATAGAGATAGAAATTAAATACCACCAGTTAACATCAGAAAAATTCATCAAGCACACGTTCTATAAGACAACTGACTGGTTACTTCAACAAGTCAATGTTACAAAAAGAAAAAGTGACAAAGGAGTGGAAAAAACCATATTACAATGCAATGTGTGATTCTAGAGTGGATCCCAGTTTGAATGAAAACAGCCGAGAAAGACACTGGAAGACAATTGAGGACATTTACGTATGGGTCAGCTTTTAGAATCACTCAGAAATTATTATATGGTTAGGCTTAATATACTTAATATAGTATTGTAGTTAGTAGAAAACTGTCCCAACTTTTAGACATGTATAAGGAATTATTTAGAGTTTATAGCTTATATGTAAATAATTGACTTGAAATTACATAAAAACAGATACTAAAATTATGGCAAAGATGTTAATGCTGATTAAATTTGGAGAAAATATATTAAATGTTTATGATTCTATTCTTTCTAAATTGTATATGTTTGAAAAATTCTAAAATAAAAATGACCAGTGGCAGTGTACTTAGGACTCATGCTAAAATCATTTGAGATGTCACTCTGTGTGCAATCTGGCCCTATGTTTAGTGTTGTTTTTAGTGTTCTCCAATTATTTCACTCATTTAAAGGCTGTATCCAGAAGGGGTCAGTAAGCTGCATAAAGATAAGCACCAAGTTTTATACTTGTTTTCACTTAGCCCAAACACTCAGTGGGTATGCGAGTAAATTCATTCCATTAAAGATGATAGAAAGGACTTTCTTTTCATTATTTGCTATTACATTATGTGACTATTTATTGCCCTCCTTTGTTCTTATCAGAGGAAGCAGAGACTCTGGTTGTGTGTCTCCTTATCCTATGAATTAGTTGATTAAATCAGTCCAGGCAGTACCCACTTGAAGCAATCATGAAGCCAGTCAACCGGCTGGTTAGAGCTAGTCAGAGATCACCCACCACCACTGCTCCAGATTTTCTCTACATGTCAGATAATACAGAATGGAAGAAAACAGACTGTGTGTTTAAATACCAAATGGGTCCACGCAGTGTATTTTTTAGGTCTCCATGATGGGCCAAATATATTTAGAAAGGAGAACATTATGACTTAAATATGTATCAAGAAGCTCTCAACCTTGGTTTCAGTAATAAAAAGGTGTCCATCATGTTAATATCATTGGATTAATTGCACCACTTTTTTTTGAATCCTCTAATCAAATGTCTCATGCTTGTCATGTAATTGTTGAAATACCAGACTTGATTGACAGATATTGCAAATTCCCCAAGGGTAAATGTTTCCAAAGGAAAACATAGTCATTTCAATACAGCAATTAATTATAAACAGCCATTAATGACAAGTACACAGGTCTCTCTCTCAACACAGAGGTCAGAAAAGTAAGGTTTTTCCTGAAAGAGATGAAAAGTTGTGGTTACCATCATACAGATATAATTTTTCAAAATATTAATGAAAATGATACAATCATTTATTTTCACCCACCACATTTCAGGAAACACACTCAATACTCTAAGCATATTTTTTAACAGGGTTGTTGGTGTGGGGAGGCGGTGCTTTTGACTAAAAGTCTTGTATGCTAGCAACATTATTTTAAATAATAATACTAATAATAGTTCAGGTGGGGATTAAAATATAATCAAAACAAAAGTAACAAATCAGTAAGTTGGTAACATGTGAACTGAAGCCTTACATGGAAGACTACATTTTTCAATGGTTTTTTGTTTTCTTGGAAGGGCATTAGGTAAATTTAGCATCAGATGTCATCAGTATAAAATAATGTAAAATATTGAATCAAATACCCTGAGAATTCAAGGCAGAAGTAGCACTATATACATATATAAGAGAAAGAAAGGGAGCAGGGCGGCTTTGCGTTGTAATTGTCTGGATGAAAGTCGTAATTTCTACATCACTCTTAATGTACAGAATTAAGGTCCAGAGTCAAGTCTGGACATTATCAGGAATTGCCACTACTGATTAGCAATAATATTTAACAAGGAAGCAATGGACCACACATGGGAAAGGAAAGACACTGTTGTGAAATGTTGACAGGAATTTATTTCTTGTCCGCAAAACTGGCCGAATGATTTATATATTGTAGTTAGGAATCAGACGAGAACCTTATGACAATTGGGAACAGTATGGATTATGATGAGGAAACAGGAAGCGTTTCAGAATATGTTATCCACATGTATTATAAGGGTGACTTTTAAGGAAAAAAAGAAGTAAACTTTTCAGTGGCAGTTTAGAAACAGTTGAAAACATGCAAATACAGTTAACAGTAAGCACAGACATATTTAAGTCAAAGCTAGAAGTATTTTAAAGAACCTAAATATCTATATGTGTGTGTATATATATACATATGTGTGTGTGTGTGTGTGTGTGTGTGTGTGTACACACACATATAGTGAGAGAGCCAGGTGAAATCCAAACATCAGAATGTCTTCAACATTTTTCCAGACATCAAAATACTCGAACAATTTTGCCTCATGCATCAAAAATAAGAATTCTATCTTGTCTCTCTTCCCACTCCAAACCACAACTCTGAAAGGATTTTCCAAAAAATTGCTTTTATCATGTTACACCTGAACCAGATAAAATAAAATAAAATTAAATTAAAATAAGCATTGATGGCAGCATATCTCACCACTCTACCACATCAGGTCTATGATCGCCAGGTAGGGCTCTATTCCAACATGCTTGTCAATATATGATTCTCTTAAACTCTATATGAATACATTTTCTTCAGTTTCTACTTGCAGTTCTTCTGCAGGGGGCTCAGATTAAAGGATCTGGGTGGAGGGACAATTTCTATAAATATCATCTTTATCACCCCATCCCTACTGGCACCACATTCACTCCTGTTACTACTAATACTACGATCATGAAGCTTACTTTTAAAATTTGAACTAGCTTTCTCCAATCCTTTCAACTTTAGCCAAAAATAAAAGCCTCATAACAAACTGACCCATTAGGGAGGTTCATCAATTATTACTTAAAAAGGTCCTAAAAATCTCGGTTTAAGTTGGAATTCCTTCTACAACTTATTATGTTAAATTTAATTGTTGACATGCTCATCTTTTTTTATTAGACTATAAAATTTCAATGGCAGAAATTATGTGTTGTTAATTTCTCTTCCTCAGTGCCCAGCTAATACTTAGGAAAGCATGTTATATAAAACAACAAGTCATCAACAGGCATATATGTTACAAAAAAACTCAAGGCAAGGAAAATAAAGAAACACAAGTGGGTTTTTGGCATGTCATTTTCAGGAAAAAGCAGTGAGTAGATCGGTTTTTCTAAAATGAAGCCCTCTGAGTTGGCATGTAGAGAGAGAAAGAATTGAGGTGGCTGTTAGGATGTTGCCTACAGGCTGTTAATTATCGCCTTATTTGAAATAATCATTTTACTATTCAGAACATTAATTTAATTTTAATGGACTGACATTATGATGGTTTAATTGAGGTTAAACAGTGAAGTCTTATATTTAATTAAAAGTAAAAAAACCTATTATAGAGTATTATAAAAACCCTGTATGTGCCTGCCAATTTTTACCCCAAGAATTAGCTAGAAACTCTCTTTTCAATTGACAGTGAAAATTTGTTCTGCAATATCTATTTGGTTTTACGTATTTGTTTTAAAGAGTATATTCAGAGAGTTTCAGAGAAAAGTACTAGGCCAATTAATTGGCAAATTCAAAACTTCAGAGTTTTGGCCCTGCCCTTCAGCCCCACTGCAAAAACCTTTATCTATACTTATAATGGACTTTTCACTGCAGCTGAACAAAAATGCCGCATCTTGGTACCTTATGCATGATTTTCTTATCCTAAGATATCTGTGTATAGCTTAGAAGCTTTGTCTTTTGACAGTAACTACATGACATTCATCGAATCTGGTGGAATTGGTAAAATAAGAATATTGTATCTCTACCAAGAGAGTATCAGTGACTAAATCTTATTTTTCAATTTTAAGTCATTATTAAGATCCTAAGAAAAGCCCAGCCAAAATATGGAGACAGATAAGAAGCTCTGTGGGGTTCTGAGAGAAGAGATGAAGCTGGCCCAACCATTGTCTGATTTTTTTGCTCTCCACTGAGAATGAAACACATGGAAATAGGATTGAAAATGAAACAAGAATCAGCATTGGACTAACACAGCTGGATGTTAGGCAAATGCTTATTATGTGTAGTGTTTACTTTTCCAGAGGAGAGGGAGACAGTTGTAATACTTAAGAACCAAACTTCTAGAAATCAAACATAATTCTATTTATGCTTCTCCATCCCCCAAACAGTAAAGCTCACCTTTGTTAATGTTTCTTGCTTTCTCAACTGTGTTTCTTGCACTGTGCTAATATGCCTTTTATCTACACTATGTTATTTAATTCTTTTATCCACCATGTAAGTCCCTCACTACAAGTTCTATAAGGCTGTGTAATTTGCCCAAATTCACACAGATTCTAAATGGTGAATATTGGGCTCATATCCAGGTCATTCCCCAAAGTCTAACCTCTTAATGACTATTTCACCTGCTAATGAATATTCCTACATTAAATTATAATACTTCATTGCAAGTAGGTTTTTTGTGTGTGACTGAATCCAGTGGAGTTAAAAGGGATCTTCAAAAGGCACTCCGAGCACCCTTATAGTTTCAGCAAAATGACATGAAACCTCTCTCCTTGTACCTCTCAAAACTCTCCTCCTCTCTAAATAAATAAATAAATGGATAGAGGTTTTTTCATTTTATAGCACAACTTTCTTTAGTTAACCATTCCAATATTTATTACCTCTTCTGCTTGTGCCTGCCTCCTTGTGTGTAATTCAATACCCTCAAAATGCAATTTGATTCAAACAGCTGGTCCAGGGATGCAAAGTGCCTGTCTTATTCTGGGTTGAGCGAGTGACTAGCCCTGGGCTGGCTGCTGTGGCAGGGCACAAAGAAATGACCTCAGCCCATAAGGAGCTTAAAAACTAGTAGATAAAATGAGGCATTTACACATTCAGCATATAGAGGCTATATTGCCTGTGTGTAATGAAGTGGTAAGTTGAGTAATAGACTAATACTAACCAGATTTCAGACAGCCCACTTGAAGAGACAGGAGTAGCTGAGGGTGTCTTCCTAAATGAGATGAACCCATCATTGGCCTTGAAGAAAACTAGCTTTTATTGAATGCTCTCTATTTGGCAGAAAGCGTGGTATATGGTAGATACTTCACTTATACTTGCTTATTTGATCTTCACAAAATGAGCATTATTATCTTTTTATAGTTTATAGAAAATATGGTTCAAAAGAAAGTATTGACTGTGTAAATCCACACAGTAAGTTTTTGAATTAGGCCCTGTCCAACTTATCTGAATCTGTCCATCTATCCATCCATCCCCATCCATCTATCTTTTTTTTTTTTTTGCTTTTTGCATTACTTTACAATTGCCTCCATGATTGCTATATCTTGTGCAGTAATATTTACAATTTCTTGCACAGAATCCGTTGCTTTTTTGCTAATAGCTCTTCTGCTTTTCTTTGTAGGACTGTCCCACCTCAGTTCTCAATGTGTGTTCTTCAGGTAGGGCTGAAATCTTCCCATCAACTCTAGGGGTGAACAATCAGCAAAATAAGCCTCGCTGAACACAGCGATTATTTCAGCTGGTATAATTGGTCATTTATGTGTGTTGAGAGAAAAGGGCCTTCTTTCTGTTAAGGATCTCAACTCTGAAAATAGGAGTCCATGGTTTTTAGTTGCCACCTTGCTACCGAAAAATGAGAGGGTATTTGAGAAAGACATCATCAGAGAAAAAGCAAATGTCAAGTGACAGGGACAGAAAGATTTGGGCACTAGCATTTGCTTGCCTGGTCATGCATAAATTAACTTTTTATTTTTGTCTCAACCAGTTGGATTTGATGTTCTGCCATATAAAATCAAATGAGCCCAGGCTTACATGGAGGGTATTCCAAGAGGGGTTGACAATTTGGAGGTGACAGGATGAACCAAGGTTAATGATGAGGAAAATGACACGTTTTAAATGAAGGCATTAAAAATGTAAGGCTAAAGTGAAGTAGAGGTGTTACATAGGAGACAGTAGAGCCCAAATCCCTTGCACTAGCTTTCATTCTTTGCAATAAAGGAGAATTCGGTTGACCCATGAGGATGGTGCAGTGACATTTAAAGCACCACAGCAAAAATGCACTGAATATTAAATGCACTGTAGAAATAATGTGCATCGTATGTTTGTGATAAAAAGAAAGATAAATATAATTGTAGAGACTCTATCACAAATAGAAAATCTCCTGTGAAATACACTTATAGAAACGGTCAATGTTTTATGCATATTAAAACATTCTCCAAGATGATACAACTGCCAGCAGCACCATAGTTCATTTTAAAAGACAAATACATTCTAAAAATAAAATAAAACTAGCAAACACATTATTTGTTCAAATAGTATTTTGAGGTCAACCAAGATGCACTTCTAGTTCCTTGCAATTTGAGGGATTTTTATAAAACAGACTTTCAATTGAGATTTTGAGAAACACCAAGGCAAGTTAAAATCTTCATGACTTTATTCAACAAAAAGGTGGCAGCAATTTTTTAAATTTTGTGTGAAAAGTCCTACAACAGCAAAAATGACCTATAAAATAGTTCAAATAACAGCCTCATGGCAAAATGACTTTTTCATTCTCCTAAGAAAAGTCAAACAAAGTATAAATCTATTCAAACAGATGGACTTAAATTGCAAGCATTAATTCAATTCAAACTTTGGTGCATTGTCTAAAAATCGCTGTTGAGAAATAGCTTTAAGTCTGAATTATCAAAATTAGTAATTAAAATTCCTAAAACAATCCAATTCAACAGTTACTGAGCAATTACTATGTGCCTTACTCTATTTAGTATTTAAAATACAAATAAAATTCATCCAGTCCACCAAGGAATGGCCTTAGTATCCTCGTCTGTCATATAGGAATGATGATGGTACTCATAGGATTGTTAGAATGAGTAAATTAGTTTAATATACATAAAACACTTAAACAGTGACTGGAGCTTGACAAATACTCTTTAGAGGGTCATTATTATTGCTCTGTGAATAGGTATATTCACAAAACTGTGGAAGCATTGAAGAGGTAATGGTTAGTTCTGTCTTGGGACTAGAAAAGTCTTCACCAAGAATAAATAATTTAAGTAAACCTTTAAGGATGAGTAGAAGTTCACTAAATGAAAAAGTGTGGGTGGCCTCTCTAGGGAGAGACTGATGGGTCAAAATTCTAGAGCCACAGTAGAACTTGATATGTTCAGGAAGTGATGAACAGGCTGCATTTGATTTGAAAGGGTACTGGAATTTTATTCTCTAGGGCATAGGGGATAATCAAATTTGTCTTTTTTGGCAGACTAGTGGTATAACAAGAATTAGTTTTAAAGTTGCCCCTAAATTATCATGTGAATATTATCATGTGAATATACATGAGTAGCATCATATGAAATTAGAAGCACCTGGCTTCAAACCCCATCTGTCACTTAGTGACTTCTCTTTCCTGAAAATATAAATAATAATACTTAATTTGGAGACCTTTCACTTAAAAGAGACATTTTTAGACTCCCATCATGTGGCAGGCACTCTGTGGTGCTTTTCTATATATATGGTGATAAGTATATAAGATTTTTATATTATAAAAGTGTCAGACAATATGATTACTAATGTGTTAATATCCATTTTAAAGTTTTTTGGTTTAATTAATAAACATCAGGCTTGGTTACACTCATTAATGAAAGAAAATATGAAGCATAACATAAGCAATTAAAATAGTATAACAATAGGATAATAAAGCACATCATCCATCTTCAACAGCCATCAACTCACACCAACCTTGGTTCATCTGTTGCTCCACTTACCTCCTCTACTTTCTGGATTAAATTGAAGCAAGTTCCAAAGAACTATTAATTCATTTGTAAATAATTAAATATGCATCTCCAAGAGATAATGACTCCTTGAAAATATCCTAATATCACATCTAATAAGGAATTAACAATAATTATGTAATATTTTCAAATATCCAGATTCTGCTCAAAATTATATTAAATTTATTTGTCTGAATCAAGATTCAAGTAAGATTCATATGGTAGTTGGCTGACATTGCTAAAGTCTTTCTTGATCTTTTCATCTCTTGTTTCTGTGAAATTTTTATTTTGTTGTTGTATTGTTGAAGACACGAGGTTGTGTGTCCGGCAGTTTCACCAAGTGCAGATTTTGCTTATTATATCTTTGAGGTGTCTTTAACAAGATCTTCTAGCCCCAATACTTTCTGTCAGTTGTTGGTTAGATCTAGAGGTAGGATCAAAGTTAGATATGTCTTTTTAAACAGGAGTACTTCACAGGCTTTGCTGTGTATGTTTATCAGGAGGCACACTATGTTATTTGATCTTTAATCTTGAGATGATTGGTAATTATCATTTAGGACTGACAAAAAAGCAATATTTTAATTCTATCATTTCTTCTTCTTTTAAGTTGAAGTACTTCTATGAACAGAAATCTTCCCTTATCAGCTACTTGGTTGAGATACAACAGGTAAATTATTGATAATTACCCTTTATTTATAAGCTTTTAAAATCGTATGTTGATACCTCAATAGTCTCCAAAGGTAATCAAAGAGCCTTTTAAAATATCATTATGAATGAATAAATTGAGAAATATCTGAGAACACCAAGCTTACTAGAGCTCAGATATTTTTCATCTTTGGGCAGTGAAAGCTAAGTCAGGTAGGCTCTTGAATACTTTTGGGAAGTTTCTTGTCAACATATAAGATATTCCAGACTCATGTCATATATTTCCTTCTGCAGACCTAGAATTCATTATTTCTCCAAGAAGCCCTGGGTTTCCTTTTAGTGGAAAATAGAACCTATCTAGAGACCAAAATCTAGGAGTGCAGAATGCTTATTGCTATTGGGTTGTTCATTATTTCTAGGTCTTTACATTGACAGAGCAGAGGATACTTTTTTTTTTTAGAAAATAAAATATATTATAAATTTATACTGATGACTACAATTCAAATTTAGGGTTACAGTATTTTAATTTACCCTCATCAATCCTTCATTTTTTTTTTTACTTCTATGTCAAAAATCTTGGTTTTCAGCAACATAAATGTGATTACTCATTTGCCTTAATCCACACTACATATAAAACACTCACTACAAAATTACCACCACCAATATAATTATCAAAAACACAGTTTATGGTTTATAGTTCCTGAAGTTTATTTTGTCCTTAGGGTATATCTCAGTGTAGATATACAGTGAAAATACTGTGCTTTATAATCATTTGCAATAGTTCTTCCTTCTATAGTAATTCCACCAACTGGATATTTAATGAAGTTTATCTGTTTTCTTTACTTTCAGAATTTAGATATTGTTTTTCAAATCTAAATTACATTTAATAATCACATAAACTATATATGTGAACTCAGAGTCAAATCTTCAAAGACTATTGAGACATGAAAAATGTTGGTTGAGCTGCCACGTTTCACCAAGGGAATTTGGCGGGGTGGTCACTAAATTCATGCATTTTTGAAATTTCTAGTTTTAGAAAAAGACTGAGGGCTCACCCATCTAGAAGCAGATCTAGTTTGAGAATGAAGAAAGTTGGCTGGCACCAAGCACCAAGGGACAGTAGCAATGTGAAAACACTTCAGAAACTGCTCAGATCATTTTTGCTGGAAGAAAAAGTACACTACCAAGTAATATTTTAATAGGTATTTATTTCATCGGAAATTTTAAAAAATCAGCCACAATTTTCTTCTACCTTTGTGAAATTTTGCGTGTGATTTACGAGTTGGCATTAAGAGATCACTTAATACTTGCTGTTCTGCCCTATTCTTTGGCATTCTATCATAAACATTTTCCGTGTGGTAGCATATTCTTCCTATTTTCATTTTAATGGCTGCATACTATTTCATGGGGTGAATGGACCTTAATTTAATTAGTCTGCACTACCGTAAAATATTTAGGCAGTTTTCCCTTTTCTTTTTTTTCTGTTACAATTATCTTCCAGTGAACACACGAAGCTCCATAAAAGTAATTTTAAGCGCTTTGCTTTAGCTGTGGCAGCAGTCGCAAGTCGTATTTTTGATCATCTGGGTGCACAATACTTTACCAGGTCTTGCTCACCAGTTAGATAAAATATTTGCTAGTTATGATGCAAGGAAGAGCAAAAATAGTAAATATTATTTTGAACCAGCTGCCAAGAGAACAGATGGAATCCCACAGTATCCAAAACATTTGACCTGAAGTTGTCCTCTGTGACCAGATCCATTTCTTCTCAAAATACATTTTTCAAGCAGTAGTTCCCTGACCAGTAGAAAATGCTGCTTTTATCTTTCTCTTCTTTTGTAAATCATACTGTATGCTATCTTGTTAAAACACCCCATGCCAGAGAAGTATGAATGAATAAATCTTCCTGCAGATCTAGGTTTCCTTCAGGCATAACTAAACCTGGCAAACACACTGTTAAAATGACCAGCCACAGCACTGGACCCCAAGAGAGCTCTATGGTCTTACATAATAACTGCACAACAATCAAAGAGGCCAATAGAGGGGGTGAGCTGGGATTTTTTTTAGGTAGGGGGAGGGAGCGGAAGTAAAAACAGAAGAAAATATGAGCTGCAGGGCTAATTGGATGTAATTTGGAGATTTCAAAGAACACTGACTACAAGGTTTGAAGAGGTGCAGTATTTTTGAATGATGAGGCACCAGAAACTCCCTAGGTAGCATTTTGAATTTAATTTAAATGAGAATCCAGTATTTGTGCAAACCTGGGGCTGTTAGGATGCAAGACTATCTTGGGATTGGCATTGGCAAACCATGCACAGAGCTGTGATGAAGAAACCCTGTCAGAAGACGGTGCATTATGGCTTTAGAGAGTGAATTTCTAGACAGTCAAGGTTGTGTGAAATGGGGTACTTTCAGCATCCCTAGAGATGATGTCTTGGTTGGTTGGATCTTGGATTTTGCAGATTACTGATGAAAACATTTTTTGGAGATATAAGGGACTGAAGGCATAATATGAAATCTTACTTTCAAAAATTTCTATCAGTTAAGTTCAAAGAGTCATTTTGGGGCTTATGGGGATTTATAATATAAGTTTGTGACAGGTGACATTATTTTCTTATACTGGGCCTTGAATTAGATTGAATAATTAACTGTGATTTAAGATTTGAAGAGGCCAGTATTTTCTAAATACTAAAACAGTGGTTTTGGACGTTTTATGCTTCAGAGATTTAATTCCTGCAAGATTAATTTCTTTGTAAAACCCAAAAAGTATCTATATTTTGAATCAGACATCCAGATTCTTTAGGAAGCAATTTTTCACCAAAGATAATTGCTGCTGAGATTTAAATGGATAGAATCCTAGTCACCTTGGAGCATGAAACATGTCTAATTGTCCCATCATTTTATTAGAATATTATTTTATTTAAAATTTTGCCAACTTCATTAAGACATAAAGACCAAGTGAGAAAGAGCAATTCATCTAAAATAATTAGCTGGAATTTTTCATTCATGGGTCTTTTGCCAACCTTAATCATTAACCTGGACTTTAACAACTTGTGCATTCTTGCTGACAGCCTGACTCTCATCTTGAACTCTCCAACCCAACTGAAGTTTTTTTCTTGAGATAAACTGCACACTGACTCTTCAAGTATCTGAACGGCGGGGGAAAGCTTAGACAAATAGATTAGTAACAATGCTCAGGTGTGTTGAGAAATGGGCGAACGAACGGCTGTCCTTGACTAACTCTCTGGATGCTCAGAGAGACATTTTTATTGTTTCGTGCAGTCCTTGTTTAATACCATGTTTTGAAATACACTGCAAAGTTGACAAGACGAACAGTGGAGAGGTGGAGGTCTTCTTATTTCTTTGTCTTTGTGGCAAGTGTCAAATCTCACTTTTTCCCTAAGATTCCTAGAATGCACAGCTAAGAGGAAACATGAGAATTTATCTAGAATAATGGCTTAACAATTATTTCATCATGACACATGAGACAGCTGGTGGATCATGTTGTGCACCTCCCATGGGTTATTTTAAATAGTTCCTCAGGTGTTTGGAATGCGCAGCCAAATTTGTGAATAACTGGCTGGTGGAAAGAAGATGGCACCATATCCTCGTTGATAAGATAAAAGCTTTAGAGTAGAAAATTGCTATCATTAATTTTCCTTCAAACTTTCTCTGCCCCCTCTTGCCTCTAAGTCAGATCAATTGTCAGCCTGCTTCTCTGCCTTCGCTGAATTGACAGTTGCTAACACACTGCTAATGGCTAACTGGGACTTATTGATTACAGAAAAACGTTTGGCTCATTCAAAATCAAAGTGATAACATGTTTGAAAAGATGCTTAATATATGTATTTAAAAACAGCTCTCACAAAAGATTGGTTAAGGGCTTTAAGATACAAAGAGCTGTTATTAACAAATAAAGTGGACTTGGGTCGTTAACGGGTAATGTATAAGAAAATTAAAATGGGTGATAACATTTTAAAAGAAGTTTGCCTTTATTAATAATAAGATAAATATAATTTCAAACTATAACAGCATAGCACTGTGCATTAAATCTCATTTAATTGGCAAAAGGGCAAAAATGATGCCTGGCAGTAGTGAAATAGTGAGGTTTCTACATTGCAGAGGTGTTGCTAATTGGCACAGCCACTCTAAAGAAAGATTAGACGATATGGACCTAAATTCATTAAAATGTGTATACCGTTGAAGCAGCATTTCTAGTAGTTAGCATAAGAAAATAATTTGTCAAATATTCAAAGATGTTTATACACAAATGTTCATAGTAACTTTTTAAAATATTCAAAATAAAAAAAACCCTCAGTGGACACCAATGAATAAGTTTTGAATATCCTTTCAAAAGACTATGAGATAGCCATGAAAATCAATGATACAGATGCAAGTGTATCTATATAAATAAATCTTTAATAAATATACAGTGTTAAGTAAAAACACCATACTATAAGACCATATGTATGTACGTATGTGTACATATATACAAATATACATACATATCTATGTAACTTGATAAAATTTGGACGATTATAAATGAACATATTAGCAATATGCTCCCTGAGATGATCGTTTTTTCTCTCTCTAGTGCTCTATATTTTATAATTCACTTCTAAAATTTTAAAAGAACACATTATTAAATTTCTGAAAATGAAAAATTCCTTTACTTTAGACAAATGTAACAAGAAATTATACTATTTCAAAACTTACTGGTCGTGACCTCTTAAGAGTTTATTTCAGTGTCTTTGAAAAGCTCAGAAAGACAACTGGAACTAGAAATATAGGCAGGGGTTTTTTATTCTGTCCAGTTCAGGATAATACTAATAAACTAAAATAATTCCAACGTTATAGGACAAGCAAAGTCTGATTTGGAAAGGTCAGTTTATGAAATGAGAGTCGAGTTAATAGCAATTCTCTTCCCCCTCACCCCATTCCATTATAATTTGATCATTTAAATGAGAAGACAAATATATTATTATTACGAAAGATGTTATTAGGATTCTTCCCATCTCAAGCTTGGTTTAAACCCCAAGAGAATAGCTGCCAACCACATCCAGATTCCAAAGAGAGGCCTGTGGGTGCCAGATTACCAAAGCAAGGTTTACCAATGAGATAGCCAAGAGCCAGTTTTACAACCCTTAAACCCTTAGCTGACTGTCCACCTCTGATCTATAGAAGGGATTTGACAGATTGAGAGAATGTGGTGTAGATTACAAAAGAGTTTTAGAAAAGATTTGTAAGGATACTGTGTGCCCCCAACCTCTCTGCCCTTCTGGTCCCCACCCCTCCCTACCATGTGGGAGGGATGAAGATGCTTCTCCCTGATTTCAAGTCTAAAAATGGGAGTCTCGATTGAACTATCTGGAACATTTGATATGTGTCTCCCTAGAGCTAGGGTGCTGTTGCATTGGTATCTAGTTGATGCCTGAGAGATCAAAAGGCTTGAGATTATGGCTGGCCAGTTATTCTCATTCAGGACAAAGATTTGCTGCAAGGAAAACTGCTTAAATGCCCAGAGTTTATCAGCATATAGTTTATGTTTTTTAGGGACCAAATGTGACCAAGATGGGAGGTGGGGAAGGAGATTCTGGAGTTGTTTTAAAGGGGGTGAGAAAACCTCAACAGAAAGAGACCTGTGTTGAATGCCTACGGCTGCTGAGCAGAGAGTGAGGAGCTGGAAGAGGTCATTTGCCAGCTCGCAAGTAAGATGCTGGAGTTTCCGACAAACCCACACATTTGACCCACTGTGAGTCCCCTCTAAAAGCATGCCTCCTTCCGAGACAGCACCACTCACTGCAGGCCACGTTCCCCTGCTCTACCCCGCCTCTATCCTGAAGAAACCTGTGAATGAGGGAGGAGTTAACAGGAGAAAATGAGGAGTTTTTCCTCAAGGCCAGAGCTAAAGGAAGAGACATGGTTTCACTTTAAACTAAGTTGAGCATTTGGATGACTCTGTTAATGATCTGAGAGTACTTTTGGGGACTAAAGGGACTGGAGAAATCTTTATGATCTGAGAATGACCAGAAAACTCACAGGGCCTGCCTGCGTGTCCAGTGTCAGGAAAAAGACTAGCGAAAGACTCTCTCTCCTTTATTTGTATTTATCATTTAAACTAAATCATACATATCAAGACACTTCACTTCTAAAATGTACCATGCACCTCTTAAGAATAGGGACAATTGCTTTCAGGACCACACTACCATTATTGGGACTAAAAAAAAATCAATTATCAATAATTTCCAATCATCTAGTGTCTGGTATATATGCAAAATTTCCCAAATGTTGCACCAGTGTCTTTGTAGCTGTTGTCATTTATTCACTTATGTATTTAATTAGTATCTAATCTGGTTCTAATTATGTTTCTTTAGTCTCTTTTGGTCTAGAATATTCCATTCGTTGCTTTTTATTCCACTCCATTTTTTAAAAATCCAGGATATTCTTTTTATAGAATATCCCATAATTTGTATTTGGTTGATTGTTTCATCTTGTTGCAATTAAATATCTTCTTCTATCCCTTATATTTTCTGTAAGCTTAAATAAGTTAGCTTCGGGTTAAATATTTTTTCTCTGTCTTTTTTGCAAGAATAGATAATTGGGAATGCTTTCTTATTATGTCATATCAGATTGTTCTGATATTAGATATCTAAGTGTATCCACTTGGCTAATATTGTTACTTTACAGTTTTTCCTTTGTAGTTCATAAGAAATCTAATTCTGTGGTTGGGGAATTGTGAGTACTCTGCTCCCGAACCATTTCTCAACTAATGGTTTTAGCACTCATTAATGATACATTCTTAATAAATTACAATACTATGGACTTGAAAAATGGTAATTTTATAAGTACTATATATATATATTTGTATTTATCAGAGAGTTTTTCTCTAAAAGAAGTTTCCTTTTTGTTTTCCTTTTCTTTTGTTTGAGCATAACTGTGTAACTATGGACTTAGGGTTTTTTTTTTTTTTTTTTTTTTTTTTGGAGAAGGAGTCTTGCTCTGTCACCCAGGCTGGAGTGTAGTGGTGCGATCTCGGCTCACTGCAAGCTCTGCGTCCTGGGTTCATGCCATTCTCCTGCCTCAGCCTCCCGAATAGCTGGGACTACAGGCTCCCACCACCATGCCCAGCTAATTTTTTGTATTTTTAGTAGAGACAGAGTTTCACCGTGTTAGCCAGGATGGTCTCGATCTCCTGACCTTGTGATCCACCTGCCTGGGCCTCCCAAAGTGCTGGGATTACAGGCGTGAGCCACTGTGCCCGGCCAGGGGGTTTTAATTTATATCAATGGGTTTCAATTAATTACCATTGTGATTACTTTTGCTGCTAAAATTATCCCAAATTTGACAAGGAATGTTCCTTCAGGCTGGCTCTTACATCCATTTTTGAGAGGCCTAATAAATACTTGCTCTCTCACTTATTCCAGGATCTCCTTACCTTACAAACCTCAGACATAGAATTAGCTATTTCTCCATATAGCTCTGGTTCTTTTCATGGGCAATCATATTTAGAAAACAAAATCTGGGTGCTAGATGTGCTTACTGCTATTGGGATGTCATTGCTTCTAAGTCTTTTTAGTGGGCAGAACTAGAAGATATATTAAAATGGAAATCAATTACTTTGCATTGATATTTTCATTAAAAATTTAACATTATAGATTTGTTTTCTCCTAACTTTATTTATTTCATATTGGTTTTTCTTTCTTTTTTTTTTTTTTTTTTTTTTTGACAGAGTCTCGCTCTATCACCCAGGCTGGAGTGCAGTGGCACGATCTCGGTTCACTGCAACCTCCACCTCCCAGATTCAAGTGATTCTCCTGCCTTAGCCTCTCAAGTAGCTGGGATTATAGGCATGCACCATCACATCCAGCAAATTTTTTGTATTTTTTTAGTAGAGACAGGGTTTCTCCATGTTGGCCAGGCAGTCTCAAACTCTTGACCTCAGGTGATCTGCCTGCCTTGGCCTCCCAAAGTGCTCGGATTACAGGCATGAGCCACCGCACCTGGCCAGCTGGTTTTTCTTTTTATTACACTGAAGATCTAACTTTTTGTGGATTTTATTTTATTTTTTATTTATTATTATTTTTTGAGATGGAGTCTCATGTGTCACCCAGACTAGAGTGCAATGGTGGGACCTTGGCTCACTGCAACCTCCGCCTCCTGAGTTGAAGCAATTCTCCTGCCTCAGCCTCCCGATTAGCTGGATTACAGGTGCACACCACCATGTCTGGCTAATTTTTTTGTATTTTTAGTACAGATGGGGTTTCCTTATGTTAGCCAGACTGGTCTTGAACTCCTGACCTCAAGTGATCCGCTGGCCTTAGCCTCACAAAGTGCTAGGATTACAGTCATGAGCTGCCAAGCCCGGCCTTTTTGTGGATTTTAATTGTCTTAATGGGTTACAATTTGCTTTATCCTAATTGTTTATATGTGTGTATTACTATTAAATTTACTGAGTGAAATTTAGATACAACATCTTCTTGGAATACAAGCTTTGCAGATAGATTTAAAAATATACCCCACTAAAATGTAGAGGTAATACTGTCTTCAACAGATATTTGAAACAATTCTTTAATCTGCATGGTCTTATCAATTAAGTTCATTTGGTAAACCAAATGAATTGATAAAACCATGCAGATTTTGGCACTTCTGCCTGTGTTTTATCATCTGCTATCTTTTTCTTTTAGGTAAGATTTTGTTTCTCAAATATGAAAAGCTTTTACATAGTTCAAAAGTTAAATGAATATAAAAAGTATATTCAGAGAGGTCTCATTCCTATCCTGTCCTTTCTACCCAAGTCCCTATCCTTATACAGAGCCATTTTTTTAAGTTTTTTTTTATTTGTCTTTTCCTATTACCCTATCATTAATTGGTGAATGAGGCAGAGGAGTTATTTGCCTGAACACACATGGCCACAGAGTGGAGGAGATAGGATTTAACCCAGAGCAGTCTGGTTGCAGAAGTAAACCCTTAGCTACTTTGCAAACGGCCTATTAAAGTAAGACTGTGGGGGAAGACAGGCTTTGAAATTAGCAGGTTTTATCACTTGCTATCTGGGTGACTTTGAGCAAATTCCTTAACTTCTCTGAGGTTTATTTTACCCACTTATGAATTAGGGATAATAATGTTTACTTTGCAGAGCGTAACAAAGAATAGAGATAACTTAAGCAAATTAAGTTGTAGATTGTCAGGCACATAGTAATTACTCAGTGAATGTTACCCATTATTATAACTAGTAAAACTATAATAGTACGACTCATACAGAAGAACACTAGAAACTTTTATTGTTCAGTTGTCACTGAAGTATGTGTTGATCTGATCTATGTTATTTAGTAAGATTAAAATTTTCTAAGAGTTGATGAACTTGAACAAAAAGCAAACAAGCCTGGGTTTGATAATTTATGGTTTCAAAAATGTTAAAATAATCTCAGAGGGCTTTGCTGATTTTGGTTCATTTTTCAAAATAGAAGTTTCAATATTTTAGTGGAAAAGAATGTTTTACTACTACTAGAAGTCATATAGAAACAATAAGGTAATTTCTAGCTGAAGTGAGTTTTACGTAAACTTGTTTAACTTCCTCATTGTTTTTTTTTTCTGTTTGCAATATAAGATATTCTTATGCTCCTCATGTTTTAAAGAATTTTTATTCTGTGTTGAACACAAAGAAGTTTGAACCATGCAGAGGTTGAATTTAATTTGTATAAAATCCTCTTAATAGCATGGTCTAATTAAGACACCCATTACATTCATGGAATGCTAATTTAATTTGGAGGGAAATGTAGTTGAGCACTATTGGGTTTACCATAAAATTAACACAGTGGACATAAAATGGATGTGCTTATTAGATATTGTTATCAGAAATATTATATGAATGAAAATCACAATACTGCTATCTTGATGGAAATAATTGTTTTACAGAATAAGGCATACTGTGTGATTAACTAGCTAATTTATATGAAGCTATATGAGCAAGACTGTTAGTGACCGCTTTTCTGAAGACAAAGATTATTCAATCGTTTTTTTCTGACATTAGTAAATGCCTTGGCCCCTGCCTTAGAGAGTTTGTTATATTGGTGAAATTTATCATGGTAGATTGAACACATTGACTTGTATTAAGGCAGCAGATCTCAAACTTTTTATCTCAAAATCTTTATACCCTTAAAAATTGTTCAGGACTCCAAAGACTTTTTATTGATGTGAGTTATATCCATTGCTACTTACATAAAAAATTAAAATGAAGACATTTTAAAAATATTTTTAATTTATTTAAAATAGCAACAATAAAATCTCATATGTTAGCATAAGTAGCATAGTTTTTTAAAACATGAGGATATTCCAAATGTTGACAGACTTCATTGCAAATTGTAAGAAAATTACATTTGTTAATATCACATTCTTGAACATCTATAATTACTGAGAAGCTTTCAATGTGTTGGTGAAAGACACACGTTTCAGAATTTGACTTTTTGCTTAAAAGCTGCCAGTTATTTTCTTCAAAGTGACAGATTCACTCATTCATTTTTTTAAGAAAGTGTCTGCTGAGTACTTGAGTCTAACCATAGTTTATTAGTCATTCTTTCAATAAAAATCATGTTAATGTAAAAAGCAGATAGTTCATTTCACAAGTCAAACATTTGCACAAATATTTTTCCTTGAAATAATCACTGTGCTTTGATATGCAGCAGAACTGCTTTATATAAACTTCCCATTTTGTCACAGAGAATATTAAAAAGATGTGCAACAAGTAGTTGATATGTAAATAAACCTAATAATTTTTATAGCTTCAACAAGAACATTCTTATATAACATTGGCATTTTCTCCTGCCTGCAGGCGAGTGGCCTTGAAAAATACCTTGATTGCTGGAAGAGTTCAGTGCCAAATATTCGGTGCCAAAGACACTAGCAGTTCTACCCAAAATTCCTTTTGCATCATTGGCACCAATGCCAATACAGTGAAAAAGTCAAATAATGTCCTAGAATTATTAGGAAAACTGTTTAGACCTTGAGGAACACTACAAAGTGTCTTGGAGATCCCCAGGGCTCTGTGGACTATACTCTGGGAACGCTGTAGTAAGATCCATGTTTGCTCAGATGTCCTTGAATCAGGACAGAGAAAGCATTTACAAAGAAAGGTGGCTCTGTTTCTGCTACGGATGCAGACTACTCTCCATGCTCCCTGAGAATTTGGGGTACTATGAGCCTTTGTAGGAAGATGCAAAACTTTTCTGGCCCCAAATCCCAACAGTATACCTCCTTAGATGGTTTTTGATATAAGACTTTTGTGTCACAAACAGTCCATAAAGAGGGATTCACTTTGAATATTTGGATGGTGGAGGAAGTGAGGGTGGGTAGAATATGTAAAGAGGCTCAAATCACAAATCACACAATGGTGGAACTTTTGCTATCGCCACATACTTGGAAAGATGACTGGAGATACAAATATAGAAGGAACCATTTGCAAACTAACATAGTACAAATTGTACTTTTCTTAATTCTTTGGATTTTATTATTTACTTTTTGAAGAACATTGTTTTACTTTGGCTAATTTGAACA
Source organism: Homo sapiens (assembly GCF_000001405.40). Lineage (NCBI taxonomy): Eukaryota > Metazoa > Chordata > Mammalia > Primates > Hominidae > Homo > Homo sapiens. Next base: position 114,637,098 of record NC_000002.12, read on the forward strand.
AGATATTTGTTACAAATGGGATGAGATTCTAATATCTTGTATTTTAAGATCCCTAAATAAGCAAGGTTTTGTTTCAAATATTTAGCCTTGGAATAAAACGTTAACACAGTATAATATAAATAATTATATTTCGTTAATGCTTTTTACCACATAGGTGATGATTAAGGGATGAAAAGGGATTTTCATTCAGGATAAGCTGTTTACAAGATTGAAGACTTTAGGAGGATCATCTGATCTGTTACCCTCACTATTGTCCTCCAATCCACACAGGAATTGGTTGAGCATAATTCAGAGCAGGCTGTCAGGGGAACGACTGGGGCCCAGAAGCTAATTAATACAAATCACACTTAAGATTTTATTTCAAGTGCTGTGCAGAAGCTCTTTAGTTTAATTAGGTCCTACTTGTCAGTTTTTGTTTTTGTTTCAGTTGCTTTTGAGGACTTAGCCAAAAATTCTTTGCCAAGGCTGATGTCAAGAAGGGTATTTTCTAGGTTTTCTTCTAGAATTTTTATAGTTTGAGGTCTCACATTTAAATCTTTAATCCATCTTGAGTTAATTTTTATATGTGCTGACAGGTGGGGGTCTAGTTTTATTCTCTTGCATATGGCTAGCCTGCTATCCCAGCACCATTTATTAAATAGGGAGTCCTTTTCACATTGCTCATTTTTGTCAACTTTGTCAAAGATCAGATGGCTGTATGTGTGCGGTCTTATTTCTAGGTTTTCCGTTCTGTTCCATTGGTCTGTATGTCTGTTTTTGTACCAGTGCCATGCTGTTTTGGTTACTGTAGCGCTGTAGTATAGTTTGAAGTTGGGTAGGGTGATGTCTCCAGCTTTGCTCTTTTTGCTTAGGAATACTTTGGCTATTCAGGTTCCTTTCTGGTTCCATATAAATTTTAGAATAGTTTTTCTTATTCTGAGAAAAATCATATTGGTAGTTTGATAGGAATAATGTTAAGTCTGTAAATTGCTTTGGGCAGTATGGCCATTTTAATAATATTCTTCTAATCAATGAGCATGGAATGTTTTCCATTTATTTGCATCATTTCTGATTTTTTTCAGCAGTGTTTTGTAGTTCTCCTTGTAGAGATCCTTCATCTCCTTGGTTAGCTGTATTCTTAGGTATGTCCATTTTTTTGCAGCTATTGTAAATGAGATGTGTTCTTGATTTGAATCTCAGTTTGAACATTATTCGTCTAAAGAAATGCTACTGATTTCTGCACAACAAAAGAAACTGTCAACAGAGTAAACAACCTACAGAATAGGAGAAAATATTTGCAAACCATACATCTAACGAAGGACTAAAATCCAGAATCTATAAGAAACGTAGGCAAAAAACAAATAATCCCATCAAAAAAATGGGCAAAGGGCATGAACAGACACTTCTCTAAAGAAGACATATAAGTGGCCAACAAAAGTGAAGCAAAATGTTCATCATCACTAATTATCAGAGAAATGCAACTCAGAACCACAGTGTGATACCATCTCCCACTAGTCAGAGTGACTTTTATTAAAAAGCCAAATAATAACAGATGCTGGTAAGGCTGTGGGGAAAAGGGAATGCTTATACACAGTGGTGGGAATGTAAATTAGTTCAGCCACTGTGAACTAATTTGTAAACTCCAGTTTGGAGTTTTCTCAAAGAACTTAAAACAGAAGTACGGTTAGACCCAGAAATCCAATTACTGTGTATATATCCAAAATAACATAAATTTTTGTACCAAAAAGGAACATGCACCACTTTGTTCATCGTAGCACTATTTACAATAGCAAAACCATAGGAGCAAGTTAGGCGCCCATGAGTGGATTGGATAATGAAAATATGGTAAATATATTACCATGGAATACTACACAGCCATAAAAAGTAATAAAATCATGCTCTTTGAAGCAACATGGATGTGCTGGAGACCCTAATCCTAAACAATTTAGTGTAGGAACACAAAACCAAATACTGCGTGTTCTCACTTATAGTGTATATTAGTCTGTTCTCACACTGCTAATAAAGACATACATAAGACTGGGTAATTTATAAAGGAAAGAGGTTTAATTGACTCACAGTTCCACATGGCTGCAGAGGCCTCACAATCATAGCTGAAGGTGAATGAGGAGCAAAGTCATGTCTTACATGGCGGCAGGCAAGAGAGTGTGTGCAGAGAAACGCTCCTTTATAAAACCATCAGATCTCATGACACTTACTCCCCATCGTGAAAACAGCATGGGAAAGATCTGTCCCCATGATTCAGTTACCTTCCACTGGGTCCCTCCCATGACATGTGGGAATTATGGGAGCTAGTCAAGATAAGATTTGGGTGGGGACACAGCCAAACTATATCACAGTAGAAGCTAAACATTGGGTACTCATGGACATAAACATGGGAACAATAGACATTAGAGACACCTAGAGTAGGGAGAGAGGGAGGGGGACATGGGTTGAAAAACTACTTATTGAGTACTGTGCTTAGCACCTGGGTGACAGTTTCCATACCCCAAACCTCAGCATCATGCAATATACGCATTTAACAAACCTGCACATGTACCCCTTTATCTAAAATAAAAGTTGAAATTATATTAAAAATTATTTCATAAAACAAGCAAGTTGTCAATTTGCAAAGAATATTTCAAGTTTAAGGCCTTTATTCTGTACTAGGATCTTCAAAAGATACTAGACAATTTATTTTTTCTTTTATCAAGTTATTACCTTAACATAGATTGTTTTCTTAGTTGTGAAATAATTGTAAATTCCATGTATTTCTTTTGGGGGATAAATGAAATTTCAAATGGATTTCTATTGGAATCAGTTGACATCTGGAATTAAAATCTTGCTGAAGTTTCTGTGATTCCATCTAAGATACTAGATTTTCTTTGATTTTTTTTGTTCTTCACTGTTTCTAAAGCAATTATGGTAGAAACAAGACTAAATGATAGAAGATAAATGAGACAAATAGGATGTAGTTACCAGAACATTGGATTGTGCAAAATGGAACATTTCAGCTGCTATTTCTATCACTAGAACATTATGACTTCATGTGGATTTTAGAAAAGTAATAGGTAAACGATTCCCTAGCTCAAGAATCTCTGAGGACAGCTGAAGGCCTGGAGACCAACAATAACTAGAGGGATTCAGATGGGTGCTGGGCTTGCTTGCTGAAGCGTGCTTGGCTGTGTCCTGGAACGCTGAGTAGAGTCTGAAGCTGGTCAGAGAAGGTCATACCCTATTTGGCTTTTGCTGTTGTAATCTTAGAATCATGTTTTCCCTTATTCTAACAGCTTATCTTCCTTGCCCATTTTATTAGATGCCAAACTCATATAATTTTTTTAACCTCTAAATATCTACTTGTATAGGACAAAAATAAACTTTCAGCAGCCATAGTGTATGAAGGAGTATCTGTGATTCTTCCATAGTGTAGATAAAGAGAACTAGAGAGGATACACCTCGTCATGCCTCAGGTCAAGTCAGCCTCCCCTAAGGCTCTAGCGGCCATCAGATTGTAGTGGTTATTTCCTGTTCCCTCCTGTCTCTGTCCTCCCTCCCCTTCATCAGGGCAGCCTGCTGTTCCTCGACATCATGGATGTTGATGGTAGCCCCAGCTTTGATTGTCTTTCTACCAGTCAACCACGCAAAGAAGGAGGGAGAAAACTCTTTTGGAGAATTCCTTGGCCCAATGGACCAGGCATCTCTTTTCCTCAGCTAAGCTTTCCTTCTTGGTATGTTACAGGGAAAGGGGAAGCAGTTTGCCAGACAGCAAGTCAACCCGGTCTTGGAATGAGGGGAAGGAGGTTTCCCTCGGTCCCAGTAACACTCTAGCAGGGCCAAGCATTGAAGGAGTCTGCATTCAACTTGCAGAATCTGTTTAGCACTTTCTACACCTCCATCAGGATGTATTTTATTCTCTGGTTTTAGTTTCCTATCTGGTTTGAAGAGGAGAAAAATAAAAGTCATGAAACATATAGCAAGCACCTGCTCCCTTTGACATAAGTCAGCTTGTTCAATTCTCACAACAATCCTATAAAAGAGCTGCTATTATTCCCATTTAATAACAATAAAACGGTGGCTCAGAGAAGGTAAACATTTTTCTAAGTTCTTATACTTAATAAATCTAAATCCAAATTTGTTTTTCATTCTTCTTTCCATATCACACTGCTATATAGTTACTATGTTATCATCTCACAATCACTGATCAACTCCGACCTTTGTCTTTTTTCCTGATAAGTCACCTTGTTCTTGGCATTGCTTTCCATATTCGTGGCTAGCAGTGTCCTTCCCAGGGTTAGAGGCAATGATGAGTTCTTTTTCTTGTGATTGCTCAGTAGAAAAGGCACGAATGGTGCTGCAAACCTAAGACACCTCCAAACGTTATACACTTTTGCTAATAGCAGGAAAAATGACCTCTGGATGCTGCCAAAGTGAGCACTGCCTTTACGTATGATAGAAAATACAATTATACATTTTAAAATGATCTCACAGTCTTGCTTTCTAACTTGAATTCACTGTCATTTAACTGATTTATAAGGATTCTTGGCCACAACTAAAGTATATTTTAAACTTATAAGTATTCTCTAATGAGGAACTTTTAAAAGTCCAGATAAAAGCCCACTATTCAGTAGTTAGAATAATTCAGTGAAATTAACCATGTAAATGCTCAATGAAGCAAATGATTAAAGAAGGAATGAATAAAAATAAAGATTAAAGTGGATCAAATTATATTTTGTCTTTTTTTATACTGCTTATAGATCATAATTAAATAGTGGTGGCTCAAAAGCACAAAACCAACCTCATCACTTACCAGGTGTGAAAATAATGTTGATGTGTATGCTTAGTTTTAGCGTGACAAAGCAGATACACTTTTTCACTTTTAAAAAAAATCACTCAATGCATCATTCTTTAATGTTTGCTTTTGTGATGATCACTGAATATAGAAAGTCTTTTGATTTTAGAATAATTTTAAGTCTTTGCCTGCTGATAACCTCAGACACAGACCTGCAGCCAGAATTGGTTGAGAGTTCTGCTATCTTCTCCAATGAGGGATATTTGAGTATATACTAAATAATCATATTTATATACTGGCATTTAAAAAACCAAATATTCTCATAGTTCTCTTCAACCTCCTGAGCTCCTTAATATAGATAATATAGATGGCCACATTTTTGTCATTATACAGTCATGAAAAGAAGCCTATGTAGGTCTTATCCACATTTACAAGACAGGAACTGAAGATCAAAGAGGTTAAGTGACTTTCTTAAGTTCCTCAGATAAACATTTTGAAACAGCTGAGATGAAATACAGGTGCGCTGACTTCAAAGCACAAGTTCTTTTCTCTAGAGTGCACTACCCCCAATGAGTTGACAAAATTAAACAAAAACTAAGCAGAATTATATTTTCTTACACATACTTCATACAAGTAATCATTAAGCAGCTACTTGGTACTAAAGTTTCTCCCAGGAGGTTGCAGTGCAGATGGGTAAGTAAGCTGCTGTATGTGCCCCCAGGCCATAGGCATGTCAGCAGCTATGGATACCACAGTAAAATAAATGACTATCGAGAAAGCAGGAGGAACAGCTCACCAGGGGAGCACAGTGATGAAGTGAAAGCTTCACCTTTCAGGAATTCTACACAGCCCATAAAAAAAAAAACTCTATCCCCTCCCTTTCAGAGTGTTTCTTAACAACTGCTTAACACAGAAATCATCAACGTATTGTTGTAGATACTGGGATTAATATGTGCAGAACTTCAAACAGAACCCAGATCTCATGACTCCAAGTAGAGGACCTGTTCCAATAACCCATGAAAATAATCACAACATCCTAATCATGTTTTCATCCCTGTTTTACTTTATTAGTTGTTAATAGGTCCATTGGTCACTGGGACACCCACATGGGGGTTATATACCTGTTCATACACAAGCTATGAGTCTTTGAAGACAGAAGCATATGAGGTCCTGATTTTGCTCTAGTATGAACTCAAACAAATTTTTTTTCAGACTAGTCACCCTCATCTTTCAAAACATCAGATCATTTCAGAGCTGCTTCTAGGACATGTGAACTTGGGCAGAGAGAATTGCTTTTTCTTCACTGTGTTACTGTAGTGTACCAGTCATATGGCTATTCTAAGATCTTTAATCCTCACTTCCTTGTCACCCTCATGAAGGGTCCTTCAAACTTCTTGATGACAGCCAGGGGCAGGGAGGGCACTCCAGGCAGCAAGCTGACACAATTTACAAAAGCAGTTATCTTCTCTCCCGTGAAGCAATGCCGCCTGGTAGAACAAATGGTGCAACCCATGCACACTTAGTTTATCCACCTTGATAATCTAAGTGTCAAGGACAGAGCAAGTACCATTCATAAGACTCTCTGGAGCATGCAGGATACTGACAAGCTTTTTATTTATGACCCAGGGTTTAACCCATGTGAGCTCATACTTTGTCTTCTGCTAAGCCTTCCATAGCTCCATCTCAAGTCCTCCTTTAAGGTGAGGGTCACTGGACTGCATATCATTCAGTTCCCAGCTAGTTTTCTCTTCATTTATTTGTGATTTTACTCAGATTATGATATTATTAGTTTAGAAGGGGTTGCTGTAGTCAGGACAATCAGTAATGCACTTCTAAATACTAGGTAGATCCTCCATTCTTTGTGGTTAAACTCCTTCCAGGTTCTAGTTTGTTTGTTTATTTATTTATTGGAAGATTCATACACTTTGCCTTTCTTTTCACCACCTTGGTTTGGTTTACAAGAACCAAAGCTAGTTTCTCTAAACCCACTTGATTAGTGTGTGTTTGTGTGTGTGTGTATGTGTGTGTGTGTATGTGTGTATATATATATGTGTGTGTATATATATATATATATTTTTTTTTTTTTTTTTGAGACAGAGTCTTGCGTTGTCATCCAGGCTGGAGTGCAGTGGCATGATCTCGGCTCACTGCAACCTCCACCTCCCAGGTTCCAGCGATTCTCCTGCCTCAGCCTCCCAAGTAGCTGGGATTACAGGTGCCCGCCACCATGCCCAGCTATTTTTTTTTTTTTTTGTATTTTTAGTAGAGATGGGGTTTTACTATGTTGGCCAGGCTGGTCTCAAACTCCTGACTTCGTGAACTGCCTGCCTCGGCCTCCCAAAGTGCTGGGATTACAGGTGTGAGCCAGCGCGCCTGGCTTGATTAATATATTTTATTTCTACTACATCAGACACAGATTCTTTTTGCCCAACATACATAACCATGTAGTCCTACCTAATATAGTTTCCTCTGTGTGTGTCTGTGTGTGTGTGTGTGTGTGTGTCTGTGTGTGTGTGTATTATATATACAACTAGTAGGAAACCCCACATATCCACATATCTTTCTAGATATCTTATCTCCCTATTACAAAACTCCTCTCTCTTGATTATTACACTTTATAATTTTACTCCCTATGTCATCCAAAGTGGGACTCTCATTGCTGATGGTCTAAGTCAGTGAGACCCTGTTGCCTTGGCCATATCAGAGTCTCTGGATGCAGGGCCCTGGAATCACCATTTTTTAAAAGCTATGCAGTGATGTTACTGTGAAGCCAGGTTCACATTTTCAGCCTTTAGAAAAGGCCTGTTGACCTAAGTTGGAGAATGCTAGCCTTGTCCCCAAAATTGCCTGTCTTCTGTAGTTATTCAGTCAATATTTATTGGCAACAATCATGCAATAAGCAACTCAAATGAAATATCCTGGCTAATGTGGGACCACTCTGGCACCTCTGAAGTTAGAGGACGTGCTACTAACATTTATCATTTCAGATCTTTCTGATCGAGTGGGTAAAAAAAGATACTGGACCATTTTAGTTGCTATTTCACTGATTTTCTGAGACTAGGCAAACAAATACACAAAGTTTTCTCCCTCCTTCTGCTGTTCAGTCATCACAAAGAAAAATTAAGGCCTTTGTATATACTGAGCAAACTGTTGGGGTAAAGTTATAAAAATGGCAGACAGATCTTACTTTGCCAAATTAAGACATTTAGCAAGTATTGTAAGTGTGATGAGTGACGGGAATAAGTGCGGGACACACTTGCTTTGTCTGACAGATGTACTAACCTGATTTTGATCTGCCAGAGTACAGGATTCATTCCTTCCAGGTGCATTATTCCAAAGTGCTTTTGGCTAAAAGGCCTCTTAAAACCTCAATTTATTGTTCTCTATATAGTATATTTCTATTTGCCATCTCTCCATTATTTTCACAGCTATCTTGTGTCCTAAGTTGGGCCCTAAGAAAAACAAACTGTCCTAAACCATAGGCCAAGATACCTGAAGAACTGAGGTGGTAGGGCATGGATTTTGGGAAAACTTTTTTATGGAAATCTCTGTCTTGGAATTTCTCTCAATTAGCAGTTCTTGTACTGTTTACAGCACGAGAACTGAAAGCATAACCTGCTTCTCTTATGAGGTAAACTGCATATTCTGGGTGAATGTTTTCTCTCCACAAAAGCCATTTCACATGTTTCCAGATCAATTTTGAAGTTGTTTTGACACTTTACACACTTTATTTTAACCTTTTGTTTCTGAGTGTAGTATCCTCACCTGTCTACAGCATGAGGAATTGAAGGCTCTACCCTGTCTGTTTGCCTGGCAGAGCTGGGGTGACTCTGCTGCTTACACACCAGCCTTCCCACTAGACTGAAGCTTGCCAAGGCAAGGGCTCTGAATGTGGAAGTGTTTCCCTTTCCAGGGCCCTAAATATTTCTAACTTGTATGGCACCTGGGAACAAATCAAATTATCTTCTTGACTCCAAATGAACCTCCAGGCCTTCTTAGAAAAGCTGAAAGAGGAATTAAAGGGGGATAATGGCTCATGCCTGTAATCTCAGCACTTTGGGAGGCAAGGCAGGCGGATCATGAGGTCAGGAGTTTGAGACCAGCCTGACCAACATGGTGAAACCCTGTCTCTACTAAAAATACAAAAACTAGCTGGGCGTGGTGGCATGCACCTGTAATCCCAGCTACTCAGGAGGCCGAGGCAGGAGAATTGCTTGAACCCAGGAGGCGGAGGTTGCAGTGAGCTGAGATTGTGTCACTGCACTCCAGCCTGGGTGACAGAGCAAGCCTCAGTCTCAAATAAATAAATAAATAAATAAATAAATAAATAAATAAAAAGGGGGAGAGGGGATCAAAAGCACTAGTCTGCATCCATTCAGAGCTATGTGTGCAATGGGGAGTAAAGCCAGCCTAGAACCTGTGCATCATCCCAGGTGTGTTTCCAGTCCTCCCTTCCCACCATGAGACAAAATGAATGGAGACAAATTTAGATCCTCTAAAATGAGAACAGGAGGCCAAAATGGTGGGAATATATAAACGACAAGGGCACATATCACTTGCTTTACTTTAGTCCTGAGATGCCCAAGGCCAGACTCCATGGATGAGTCTTGGGGCACTTTTGGTCCCACTCTCTTAGCCGTCTCCCAGTTCCTGCAATTCAGAGGAACTCCCCAAATTAATTAATCTGATGAACTCTGTTCTCGAGATGACAGTATCTCCATATTATCTGTTCCCAAGTTTCCTTTCAAAAGGGACAAATGAACAAGGAGGAGACAGCACTAAGTCCTACTCATTTCCAAGTAAAGCATATATATGCTATTTCCCAGCTTGGGGGCAGGCTGGGCACCCTTTCAGTATTTTATGTCTGCATCTTTGAATGAGTCTGGTTGTTCTCTCAAGGGAGTTTTACTTTATGGCTGAAAGGAAACCTGAAGCTGATTTCTTGGCCTTTCTCTTTAACTCATTCCTCTTTCTCCCACCAAGGTGTCTGTAAAGATTCTCTCTGGAATTGCCTCGCTTCCTAAAAGATATTTTAAACACTAGGAGTAGTGAATGCCTACTCATTTTATCAAGGAGGAAACTGAAATTCAAATCAGAGGAGGGCCTTGACTAAAGTCCCATGGACAGTTAGTCACAGTTCACACAATGGAAGTCCAAGCCCAGTTCACTTTCTGCTACACTGCCTTGCTTGCCATAACATCATCTTTCAATTAGCCGTGGTCGTTGCCTCCTATGTATATTCAACAGAATCCTGAAGAAAGCAAGCTGAACACGTTTCCAAATTAGCGAGAGCAGCTCTGAATAAGAAGAAAATTCATGGTAAGTTTATGGGATGGCTCCAGGTGTCCATCTTTCTATCTTCCCTTGTTATCACTTTCCCTGTTTTGGGTGTAGGGGGAGAAAGAATTTCCCATTGGCTGTCTCCTGGGGTGAGCAAAAACTGAATGTGTTTAATCTAGGTTTTCCTCAGATTCCACGACTTGTAATAAGCACATCTTTATACTCTTACCTCTCCAGCTGTTCTCTGTGCAAAGCTGAACTAACTAAAACTGCTGAAAATACCAGAGCTATTTAGGGAATTTCCCTAACTGCTTCAACATTCTTAAAGTGACTAATTTAATTGGATTTATAGGGCACTACATAATAATGATATCCTTTGGCTATGTTCTTAGTGGGTTCTACACCTGTAATGAAATCCATAATGAAAAGGAAAACAGAAGTACATTTGGGATGCAAAACCACTTAATTTCCTGGACAGCCATTAAAAATGTGGCATCCAGTGCAATACCTTAACTTTGATTTTACCTTCAGACACCTATGATGATGATTCTGGTTGTTGGTTGTGGGACATTAGAATAATTGTGTCAGAAGAATTCCCATCGCATCCTAGATTCACACAGCATTTCTCTTACTGGAAACCCAATTCATTAGTCATCTGAGTTGGAAAACTGGGACTCTAACACTGGATGTTGATTTTATTTATTTAATCTTTTGTGTTCTGGTCTTATTTCTGTTGTATTTGGGGGGTCCTGTCTGCTATCTCCTGTTCCTGGTGTTGAGGTGTAGTGTTCTATGGCATTTCTGCATGTCCTTGGACTATTTTCCAAGGAATATTTGTTTAACAAACATCCTTCAAAGATAGAGGCAGTATAACCATGAAATGTCTCCCTCCAGGGCAAGGTTAGACAGGTTTGCTTGAAGCTCCCTTCATAGATTGTTTTCTAGCTTTGGGATTTCTTGGTTTTGGCAAAATATCTATCCTGTGAGTTGTATCACCCTGAGTCCACTTCTACGTGACTCCCACTCTCGTCCTCCCCATGACACTTGAGTGACAAGGGCAACTGATCAAAACAGAAAGCTCATGCTGCCTCCTGTGTTCTCCTTAATAAAGTTCATTGTCTCTGATCCAGGAGTCTCATGTCTTCTGAGATCATCTATGAAACTAGCAGGTTAACTTGTTGGCTAGCAAGTAGGGTTAAATCTCAGACCCTTCACAGTTCTTGACACCCAATTTCTTCTTTTTTGGAGCCTTAGCCTTAGATCTAGATGATTAAGTCCTGCTACATGATCTTCATCCCAGTATTTCTCCCTTGCTTAAGTGGCTCAGCCCATATTTCCAGTACCAGTTCCCACTAAATTACCCACTAAATGTGGTTCCCTCCCTGTGGTCACAAGGAAATAGAGAATTTTTGTAGTTCTCTAGAATGGGCAGGACAGACATATTTGAATGTATTTGCCCATTCTAATTATTTGATAGTGACAGTCTAGGGCTTATGATGGAGGGATTCAGTCGTTGTATCTAAATTCAGGGTGAAAGGATTGCATGATCAATAGGTAGGTATAAGAAATGGTCTAGATACTTAAAGTCCAAAACATCTGCATCAGGGCTCCAGAGTCAGGTGCACCCAATGCTAAATGATATGAAGAACTGGTAATTAGAGTGGTACATACATACAAAGTGAGCTATTTTTGATGATAGTGAAGCCACTATCCATTTAAGTAGGTAACTACTCTGGTTATCACAGAGGAAAATGTGGGAAAATATGCCAAATTTTCTCCAATCCTTTCTGTAATTCCTCTGTAGACGTGCAAGTATGATCCTTCTCATGAGGTTTAAGGGTGGAAAAGCACAACTAACGTGGGCATTAGTGCTATAAAGCCACTGTTAATTTAACAAGTTTATAGAATGTGCTGGTAATTTACAAAGTTTAAAATGGTGACATTTCTGTCTATTTTCCAGTACCAGGAAAATCTGTAAGTCTCCTGAACATTTAACTTTTTAAAAATAAAAACTGTGGTACTTGTTATTAACATATTCTTTGCTTTGCCTGTTAGAAAACCTAGGAGGAATTTTTTCTATTAACCAGAAACAGTTCTCAAACTCTGATACACATTAGAAACACCAGAAAAATCTTAAAATTACTGATACTTGGGTTTCGCCACCCCAGATTCTCACTTAATTGGTATGTAATGGATCCTGAGATTTTTTTTTTCTTTTTTTTTTGAGATGGAGTCTTGCTCTGTCACCCAGGCTGGAGTGCAGTGGCGAGATCTCGGCTCACTGCAACCTCCGCCTCCCGGGTTCACGCCATTCTCCTGCCTGATTCTCCCGAGTAGCTGGGACTACAGGCACCCGCCACCATGCCCGGCTAATTTTTTTTCTGTATTTTTAGTAGAGACGGGGTTTCACTGTGTTAGCCAGGATGGTCTCGATCTCCTGACCTCATGATCGGCCCGCCTCGGCCTCCCAAAGTGCTGGGATGGATCCTGAGATTTTTTGAAAGTTCATCATACAATTAAAATATGAAGCAATGATTTGAAAAACACTATTTTATAGGATTTTAAACTGTCTAGAATTCAGTTTTGGACTAGTATATAGTAGGGATCAAACTTTTATTTTCCCAAATAGCCAACTTTTCCAATGTTATTTATATCTTCTACTTTTATTTAGTAGTTTTTTTTTCATCATTGATCTTTAAAATGATATCCTTATAAATTCCATATATCTGAATCTGTTTCTGGATTCTCTATGTTTTCCACTTGGTTTATTTGACAACTTTTTAACCAGTATCACACCATTTAAATTACTGCAGATTTATGGAGTGTTATAATAACTAGGAGAACAAGTTTTGCCTTATTGCACTATTTTTTCAAAATATTATTGGCCATGTTATACATTTTATTTTTCAGAGAAAAATGTAGGAGATTTCGATCAAGTTTCATCGTCTGATGTTTTGGGCCATAGGGAACCAGTCAGTCTCTGTATTCCAGTTTGTGAAGTACGGTGTTTTGATTGGTCACACCTGAGTCTTATGATCTAACCTTGGAGCACCGTCTGAGAGCACACGATGTGAGAACAAGAAAGGTGGTTTTGGGAGATAGAATGTGGTGTCAGAACTATAGAGTGAGAAAAATTAGAGATGGGGATCCTGTTACCTTGAAGGGCAGGGATGCCTGTTTTGATGCCTGAAGCATCCAAACCCAGCAATATCCCTAATTTTATTTTGCTTTTATGGTACCAAGAATGAGTCCAGGAGATAATTTTAAATGGTAGTGCTCCAAAAAGTGATACATGTACGCTACATGAAGTGGTTACAAATGAACTATTGTTGTTCATGAACTCCACATACCCATCATTAAGTGTGCTTTTCAATACTGCATTACTGTGGCTGCCTTCAAGATTGTGCTGTAAAATTTCCCTACATTAACTTTTCACTTATTCAGAGCATCCCATTAGTTTACATGAGAGAAAAGGAATTAGAAAGATAAGGAGTCTAAGAAACCTTAATAGATGGGAGAATTCTATTAAGTAAGCATAATCAGGCAAGGAGTCTCTTGGAATTGAATTGGAATTTCAAGGTCACAAGTCCTATCAATCCGCTCCCTCTAAAATCACCTTCTCATCATCCTAGCAGATGAGTCCTCCATCCCCACATCCTACATAACTGCTTCAATAAACTCTCATTAAGGATTCCATTGAAGATACCATGTTTTTTCCTATCTCAGGGCCTTGGTACATACTCTTTTTACTGCCTAAAAATTCCCTCACCTTCTTTTTTTCCTTTTGTCTAGCTAACTATAACTCATACATTCAATATTTTCCTGGTAGTATTTTCTTAGAAATACTTAGGGAGCTTAGAGTGACATTCAAGCTCCTTCATAGTTTGACTACCACCTATGTATTGTTTTGGTCTATCTCCTAGTAAGCCAGGCTAGTCACCTAAATGCCCTCCTTTCTCCTATTGTTTATGGTTGTGTCACTTGCATACATTACCTGCTTGTAGAGCAGCCCTCCCACTCAGGAGTAATAGGTTTTATTCCTACGAACTAACATGCACTTGACTTGTACTTAGTCACATTTTGACTAGAATTACAGGGACTTGAAGGTATGTGTTGTGTCTGGATCTGCCCATATGTTCAAGGTATTTCTTCCAAGTAAGTCTGCATTACTCCAGGGTAAGCGCCAGACTTCCTCATTTTTCTACCTTTCATGGAACTTTTGCGTGAGTGGCAAGGAATACTCAATGGCAGTGTTTCTCAAGCTTTACCCTCATCAAAATGACCTGGAGACCTTGCTAAAACACGATTGTTGCAACCACCCCTCATACCCTGTACCCACCAAGCCTAAATCCATCTCAGATGGAGCCCAAGAATTTGCATTTCTTATAAGCTCCAGTGATATTTAGGCTGCCAGTGCTAAAATCACACTTTGAAAACCACTATTCCGTGACACTGTTTTAAAAACTGGTTGCATGTTAAAATCTCCTAGAAACGGTTAATTAAGATTTTTTTTTTAAAGACTGTGCTTGGGCTCCCCTCTAGACAAATCAAGATCTCTGAGGATGCCACTTTTCTCATGAAAAGAAAAAAATTCAACAATCCGCAACTGTTAGGAGATTTTAATATGCAGCTAGTGTTGAAAATCACTGTTCATACAAATGGCAGATGAGTAAGCAGAGTCATGAACAAGAGAGCAGGCTTGCTGGGAGCCTAGGCCAGAGCAAATGTCATAACCTCCTGAGGCAGCGTGAGTTAGGGCATGCATCTCACATTTTAATGTGCTTGCCCGGAAGATGACGATAGTAAATCTGGGATGTCTCTGAAATGCTGCTGGTCTAACAAGCTCCCAGATGATTCCTATCCGTGAACCCCACTCTGATTAGCAAAGTTGGGATATCCATGAAGAAAAAAGGGTCAGTGCGTGCAAGGGATGACAAAGGCAGGTGAGTGAAATGGGGCTTGAGAGCCCACATCCGGTAATCCTTTAGAATTTCAAACATAAGAAAGAAGGGGAAGTGCTGGGGGGTGGGTTCCCCTGTGGAGGAAGTTACTTCTAAGCCATCAGTTTAAGACTTTAAGTGAATTTCTGGGGAAAGCATCCAGTTTTGATAAGTCTGGCCCAGACTAAATATATAATTTCTACCTAATTAAGGAGGCAGGCACACAGGCAAAAAGGTAAATGCAGCTTCTGGAGGCACATCCTAACAGAACCCCAGAGAAATTTTATCAAAGTCTGTGGGCTTTCTCCATCTTCTTAGCTGCCTTCATTGAGAAGTAAATTTCCATGGGAGAAAATTAGGGTTTTGCTTCATTCCCAGTAGCTGGCATTAAATTAGTCCTGTAGAATGTGTTTGGAGATCATGTTGATGAGCAGAGATTGTCTAAGCAGCAGGTGTTACGAATTCATTTAATCATTTAACCACACACCCTGCACATATTTCAGCTTTCTTAGGTTGACTTTTATTTGCAAAACACCTATCTGAAGGTGTGTTATAGTGGATGTATAATTGATGGTGCTTGTCGAATTTTATGCTCTATAAATGCCAGATACATTTTCCCCAAGTATGCTCTTTCTTGATCCATTTCTCTAAAGTAAACATTTGAAACAAATTTAACTCTTGAGGGATTCTGGCAGGACTCACTTTCTCACTGATTTTAGAGCTTGTGTTCAGGTTGGGGAGAGAGCATTATAGTTTCCAGACTCAGCTCAGTGTAAAACCATCGTGCCCAGACAACTCACTTAAAAGGAACAGGAAAGTGCAGTTAGAGAGCCTTTACTCCACCCATCTAGATGCCAGGCTACCACCAATGGGCATCTTGTTTTCCCTCTTTTCTCTCTCATTGGAAGAGAGAGAGAGAGAGAGAGAAAGAGAGAGAGAGAGAGAGTGTGTGTGTGTGTGTGTGTGTGTGTGTGTGTTTTACTACCTGTAGTAGTTTGAATGGTGACCTGGTGACCCTCAAAAAGGTATGTCTGCATCTTGAAACCTGTGACTATGACCTTATTTGGAAAAAGTGTCTTTTGCAGACGTAATTAGAGATCTTAAGACAAGATCATCTTAGATTATCCAGGTGGATTCTAATTCCAAGGCTAACTGTCCTTATAAGACACAAAAGAGGAGAAGGCCACATGATGCTGGAGGCAGAGATGAGAGTGATGCACCTGTAGCCCTAGAAGCCTCCAGACCTGGAAGAGGCAAGGGACGGAATTTCCCTGGAGCCTCTGGAGAAGGAAACTTTGTGGAGCCTGTGGAAACCGATTTTGGACTTCTATCCTCCAGGATTGTGACAGAATAAATTTCCATTTTTCTAAAAGTCACCCAGTTTGTAGTAATTTGTTATAGCAAACCCAAGAAAATGAATATACTATGCATCAGCTTGGGGTCGGGAGGTGGGGCACAGAAAAAGAAAACAAGTTCCCAGGCCCTCCTAAAAGTCATTTTGTTTAACATTTGATCCATGCATTTGTCATGCCCTCCAAAGGGGACTTCTGCAGAAAAGTTCTCAGTGTCCTTCAATAAGATAGAGCCTTTCTTTGCTCCTACCCTAACCTTGAATCAAATACAGCTTGGTGGGCCCTGACGCTAGAGGAATTCTCAGTGGCTGGGCTGGCGGAGAGCTATCTATTTGTGTATAGGGTTGCAGCCAAAGTCTTTAAACTAAAACTAAAACTCTGTGGATTAAATAAAATACTGGACATGCAAAAGAAGATTCTCTTCGGGAATCCCTGTGTACTAGCCCCTCTGTGTAGTGAATGCTATCACTTTTTCTTCTCGCTTTTCTAGATAGGCATCTAGAAAGGTGTTCAATCTCTTGGGGGTAATCCATAGGCCTCCAGGGTTATTTCCAAAAGTCTTGTTGATGTTATCAGTGTTAACACAGAACCTCTTCTGATTAGTGTTCAATCTTACTATGGAATAGCTTTTTTCTCTCAAATATTATTAGAAAATTAGTAAAACATAAAAATGATCAGGTTTGGCCAGTTTTACCCCTACTGTCCTACTGCTATTCAAAGACCTAGCACTTCTGTACATACGAGTAAACTGCACTCGAAATGGTATTCTCTGTTTCTGCTTCTACTTAGGTTCCAAGGCAGGTAAGCAGTCTAACCAGATGACAGGTGAGCAATCTGAGGTGAAGTGACTTCCCATTACATGACTTTTGACCCCCATCGTTGTCTTGGAAATACTTTATGCTAAGTATTAGAAAGAAGGAAAACCTACTGGCTGTTGCAAACAATTTAAAATAACTTAAAGTGGAAGAAAGAAGAAAAAAGCAGAGTGAAATTTTATAGGGTGGGGAAAACCTGGAGGAAACTTTCCTTTGAAAGCCAGGAGTCCAAACTATAGATAGGATAGTACAGAAATTCAGCAATCCCCAAGTGTTCTAGCAGAATTTAAAACAGAGGATGAAACTTGGAGAACTCTGGGCTAGTTGTGACCTTCAGATATACTTTAAAAAAATCAACTAATATTTTAAAATCAGTATTTTCACATAAGATTATGACTTTTTTTTTCTTTTGAAAATTTTGTAAGATCTGGCAGCATTGGGCCTTTATTGCTGCATTGTCAGGAACTGGGCTATGGGTGTTCCTTCCAGTTGAGGGCTGTTTGAGGTCTACTCTGTCATCTACCTGGCCAGTCCCAGCAAAGCTGGATGTAGTTAAACATGGAAGGCACAACTGGACTAGGGGAATTGGATAAGTCCTTGAACAAGTACCTGAGTTAAAACATCATAAGTTAAAAGGAGGGGATACTGGTGTGAGTTCTGTTTCTCAAAAATGGGTGTGGAGTTCTAAAATTAATGTTAATTTGGGTTCCATTTTTTCCAATTTCCCCACTCTCTGCCATATTGTATTCTTTGACTTAGCATTAGACTTAGATAAGTTAGTTAATATTCCTGTAACTTCGGTGCTTCATACACAAAATGGGAACAATTATAACTACCTCCTAAGATTTTAGTAAGACTGAATAAGACAATGGATAACAACGACACAGCATAATGCCTGAAGCATCATAAGCACTTAAATGTTGGTTGCTATTATGATTGGTATTCTTTAAAAAGTGCTATTACTTGCCATTATTGACTTTTGAAACTGGAGGGTTCAAACAAACAAGATGTTGAGAGGCTCAGGCAACCAGTATGGTTGGAAATAATAAGAAAGTTAGTTACCTACCGTGATACTACACTAACCCTTGAAAAAACGTGTGGCGTTTAAAGAAATTTCTGCTAAATTTCTGTTTGGCTTCAGCAAAACCTCGTGTTCCACTTTCAGAGCATGAAAGAGGCAGTTAAGGCAAGAAAAGCGCATTTAGAAGTTTAAAGAATGCAAGTATCCTATGGGTTGAGAAATGAGATTAATCCTTCCTTGACTAGTGCTCTTTTTACTGGCAGGATAAATTCTTTAGGAAAAAGAGTTATGCTGGCTGTGGAAGTAAATAGTGACAGGTGTTCTTTTGTTTATTTTCTATGTATTTTTCAACCCCAGGTCCATTTTATTCTCAAATGTAACTTCTTTTCTTAGTCAACCTGCTTTTTGGTAAAATTGTTCTTAAAGCATTCAGCTTACATAATTAAATATGGTTGTGTGGTTACCTTTTATATCCGAATGTAAGGACCTCCATATAATCTAATTATTTTTTCCATTAAAAAAAGATATTTCACAGACACAAGCTATAGGTAAGGATTCATTACAAAGGAATCTCATTGTTTTAAATGAGCAATTCCATTATTTTTGATTCTGCCGAGAGTGGGACCTAATTCTGTCAAAGAGAGAAGGTTGTTAAGATTTGGTGGTCAGAAACACATGACTTCCAATCAAATTTAGCAGTCCTAACTATCGAATTAGGTGTTGTAAGTTTATGTGGGCTTTCCTAAGGTGAATTGACTACAGGGGGCATAGTTCTATCTAAGGAATAATTAGTTATGTTGAGATTCAATGTTATTTGCATATTTGTGTCTTTGAAATTCCTCTGAAAATGAGTAATTTTTAGCAATTATTCTTGGTGTTTGAGTCCATTGAGCTAGTCAAAAATTTATAATTGCAAAAACTTTGGCCAAATTATCAGATAGAGCTAAGATTCGGTTTGGGGTCTTAGGAATTCCTATTATCTCCTTGAACTTTGGGATGTATCAGTTATTAGAATTTAGACAGTCAACGAGCTTGTTGAAATTTTTTTTGGAACAAGATCAGTGGAATGAATGGAAACAAAGAAGGGCATATATTTGTAGAGGAGGAAAAGGAGTGATTTGCAGAAGATAAAAAAGGAAGAAGATAAAGGAGAGGACGGAAGGGGGAAATAAAATTCACATAAATTGCTTATCACTGATATTATAGAAGTAAACTATTTTATAACAGTATCTGCAATTTATTGTTCACATAGCCTTCAAAGAAAGAAAGAAATGAAGCAGTAAATCACCTTGCCTCAAATTATAATTTTCCTTACTTGTGCAATATTTATTGAGCAATTTTATGCACAGTGTTGTGTTTAGTGGTGAGGATATGTAGCAAATAGGACAAAACTTCCGTTTATACTGGTATAGTATGTTTGTGCACATGTGTGGTGATGGTGCCAAGTGACTGTTGTAGAAGAATAGTGAAGAATGAACAAATTAGAAAGTAGAGAATTACAATAGAGAAGGAAGGCACATGAGCCTCTCAGGAGAGCTTAATTCTATTGCTACTTTCAATGGACAATAATATTTTCAAAAGGTATTAATAACTTCAATACAAGGAGTCTTTCAGCCTAAGTGGTCAAACCAAGTTAAGAGAAAAGGAAAACTAAAAATAAAAATAAAAAATAAGATCAACTTTATAAGCACCGTTTTGATCTCAGATCTTTGTGGTAAGGCTTGGGAAACAGGACTTTGCATATGGGAAGATCATAAATCTGGGCCTGTCAGGGATTTGAAGAGCCCATAAAAGTCAGTACTAGGTGTCTCTGCTGTGCTCCGAATCTGGAAGATTAATGGGTAATTTCGACTTCCTGCTAATTCTTTATACAACCAGGCCTATATCTTTTAAGATCCAAAAGATATATTACCATAAAAAGTTTCTAAGAAAATGTGTAATATAACCTATTCTCCTTCTATTTTCACGTTCTTTCTTTTTCTCCTGTAGTCATCATCAGACAGTTAAAAAGAAATGGATTTTTGTCAACTTGAAACTCAAGCTTGAATAACCAGAAATAGGAATCTTCCCCATTATGTTTCAAAATGATTTTCAGTGTACCCTTTCCTAACTAGTCATAATTTAGCTTGAGAATTTCAAATATTAACATATTAGTCATTAGTTGGTATTATTTCAATTTTTCATTCTTGTTTAAATAAATTCAGCTTGTCAGCTCCATATACTAATTACTGTCAATGGTTTTCTTTTCTCTATAATTTAAAGTCATAAAGTAGTAATAATTTAGTTCTTTATACATAGTTTGAGCATAACCCATCGTGAGAAGGCAAGATGTAATCATCACTAAACATATTTGTTTTTACTAAATAACAGTTTCTAAATTTGAAAAACTTCTCTGTGGGTGATATGTGAGGCTGACACATTGAGCAACACCATGAGCAGATGTAGTAGCATACGTGAAAAAATTGGTTAAGCTTCTTGATGTTTAATGAAATTTAAGCACAAAAAATATATTCATGTATAACTACTTTTGGCTTAATAATTCATGCATTTATTTGCCTGTAAATACTCTTTAAACTTCTGTTATGTGCAAGATATCATCCTAACTGCTATAAAGCTTATAAAGGTGAATCAGGTTCAACTTCTTTCCTTAAATAATTTACAGTCCAACCTACGCATGTGTATAAATAATCTACCACCAGAAAATGCTAAATAATCTAAATGGGGCATTTTTAAAGTGTTGTGTGATTTAAATACGTATTTGTGTGTGTGAGAGAATATGATATATGCATTCATATATTTGAGTTGAAAATATATACACATTTGTGAGACAGATTAGATATAAGCTTAAAATGTGTATGTGTGTGCACATGTGCATAGGAGTATATGTGTGTAAGGGGGTAACAAGGCGTTCACAAATTTCATTAAGAGACTACCATTTGAGTTGACTTTGAAGCACAGATAAGATTTGGAAGTATGGAGATAAAGGATATTTGACAATTTGACATGGTGGAGAGAGTATATGAAGGTATGAGCAGAGTCCAGCAGGCTGACAAATTGGGACCTGTTGAGAGGACAATGATAAGCTGTCTTGGCTAAAAGATAGGAGATTAATGAGAAAGAATAGTGGCAAATAAGTTTCAAAAGTAAGTGTGTTTCAGATGTTAAGTTTTTATTATAGATATTTTGATCTTCAGTTTATTGAAATGGAGTTCTGAGTAGGAGCAAAGGAATACCATAAAGGCTACAAAAATGCTCTTAGTTAAAAGCAGGATCCACTAGGGTTGGGTTGGAACTGAAATAGGTGTTTAAATTTTCAGTATCTTCAGTTTTGTTTGTTTTTACTGTGCTTAGACTGTTGGATCACACATATAAGACTGCAAAGCGCTCATTAAAGTGAAAATATATGCAGACGTTTATACCCGGTATAACAGATAAATTGAGCATCTCTCTACAGGTGTATCCCAATTTTTTGCTATGTATACCCTTAGTGGATACCTGTGATTGAATGTAATTATTATATCTTCTGGAATGTGAGCATACACTGATTGATGTCAGACATTTAGACTGTGCTATGGTTTGGCTCTGTATCCCCACCCAAATCTCATCCTGAATTGTAATCCCTGTAACCCCCACATGTCGAGGGTGAAACCTGGTGGGAGGTGATTAGATCATGGGGTTTCTCCCATGCCGTTCTCGTGATGGTGAGTAAGTTCTCATGACATCTGATGGTTTTTTAACGTTTGACATTTCCTCCTACACACTCTCTCTTCTCTCTCACGCTTCTGCTGCCATGTAAGACATGCCTTCTTCCCCTTCTGCCATGACTGTAAGTTTCCTGAGGTCTCCCCAGCAATAAGCCAGGTGTAACTGTGAACCAATTAAACTTCTTTCCTTCATAAATTACCCAGTCTCAGGTATTTCCCTATTGCAGCATGAAAACGTACTAATACAGACTGTGGCTAACAATAAATTGTATGTGGCAGGAGGGTTTCAGAGTCTTGTCATATAAACAGATATGAGAAGAGGCCGTGGATAATTTAAAATTCCATAGCAAGCAATTTTTTTTTTTAAAGATTCAAAAATGAATTGTAAGAAGGGGTGATAAAAGGACCACCTCACTGGGGACTATTGCTTAATCTTTGCATTGGCTGCACATTGCCTCATGCATTGGAGACAGAGCATTATTTCTGACTTTAAAAAAATCCCCACACAAAGCCAAGTAATGGGGTTTAGTATTAGGCCTACTTCTATTTTTTTTTTCCTCAGAGTTTGCCAAATATTTGATTTTTTCAGAAAACAATCACCCAAGAGTGCATTCATTGCTTCCTGCAGAAATGTGCCCTTTATTAAAAATAGTTTATCTGGGACCTGCAGTGTGTTGAATTGTGTCCTCTAGAAATACATGTTGAAGCCCTAACCTCTGGTACCTCTGAATGTAATCTTTTTGGAAATGGATTTTGCAATGTTAAAAAATGAAGTTATACTTAATTAAAATGGGCCCTAAATCCAATGTCTAGTTTTGTTATAAGGAGGGGGAAATTTGGAGACACTTAGATGTACATACACACAGAGGGAAGAGAGCTGTATAAAGACAGAGGGAGAAACTGATGCAGCTACCAGCCACGTAATATCAAGTGTTGCCAGCAACCACCTGAAGCCAGCAAAGAGGCATGGAACAGATTCTCTCTCACAGTCTTCAGAAAGAGCATGGCCATCAACACCTTCATTTCAGACTTCTAGGCTCCAGAGCTGTGAGAGAATAAATGTATGTGGTTTTAAGCCACCTTGTCTGTGCTACTTTGTTACAGCACAAAGAAAGATGGTACAGGAAGGAAGCTGGTAGAGCACAGAAGAAGCTGGTATAGGAAGCTGGTACAGGAGCCAAGAAACAGGGAAGGAAATAGGTGGGCTATATCGTGTTTCCTGCCTGATCATTATCTCCAATAAACAGATGTGTACATTAAGAGCCTTTGTAACAAATATGCTTAATATTTACAGGATGCATATATTAGCTGGAAAAAAAATTACACTTTTTTTTCTAAAAATATTATGTTCTATCCTTGACACCTGCTCAGAGCTTCTGCAGAGAGAGATTTGTGGGAACCCTGTGTCTTACCAAAAATCAGCAATCACACAAGAGGTGTAGTGTCCTCCACAACCCTAGTTTGTGGGCTTAAGACCAGGTGCCCTGATTAGATCTTGGACATATAATACTAGAAAGACTCACTCAGTACTTAGTATGGCTTGTTCAAGTGTTTTATAGGAAGTGCAAAGGGCTTAGAAACAATAGAACTTACTTGATTCCTGACTTTGAAACTCATTAGAAAGTGACCTTGCACTGCTGAGGAAACTCTCCAGACGTCATTGGTAATAGGAGAGTTTTTAGGAGGTGAACTTTAATGTCCCTTTTAGCTCTGTGATTCAATGACTTAATAGATGAATAATTTTCCTAAAATAAGTTATAAAGAATCCAAATAATAGAACTAGAATTTACAGTTTACTTGGCAGTAAGTACTGGCTCTCAAATAATTTTAATTAGTTCTTGTTGAATTATGAAGTTTATTTTATTTGTATTTTATTATAAATGAACTGCAACTCTTACTTTTAGATGATTTTGCTAAGAATAAAGGAAAAGGAAGTAATTTGAATTTCAAATTTTTAGCCCATCAAATGTGAAATGAATATTTAAAGGTGAACAATAAAATTAGGCTGCATTTTTGAAAAATATTTCTGCTTGCTAAAATCAGAATTATACAGCCACGACCTTTAAAATAAAAGACAGAATTTCAGATAAATGCAGTGGTTGTAGATTATAGTTTCTGGAGAATTCTGCCCCAAATGATATATGCTCATTCATCTTTCCTTTCAAAGAACAACAATTAAAAAAAAATCTTTCAGTCAGTTGAGTGTTCTGGAATGCTAAAATAATATGAATGGCTTCCACTCTTCCATGTTAAAGTGAGTCCCCCAAAGGTTTACAATCTTTGATGTCCAGCCATGCTTGACTTGACATTTGAAAATTCTCTAGTAAGGAATCAAGGTAAATGGAGCATAAGTTTCTCTTAGCAAATTTGGTTTTGTAGATGTCATACTACATGCATGTAATATACATGACAATTACTCCACAGATTGGGGCACATGTGTTAATGTCACGAGAGCATCAGTGGGAAAGAACCTAAATTTTGTAATGTAATCGTAGTGGGATGGCAGAATTATCACATAATTTATATGATAAAGCAAAAGGAAGGCCGTGTCCCTGTAAGGATTCAGGCAATACAAGTCCACACAGAGCATTTCTCCATCTTAGACATCTTTGCACATCTTATTTCATCCACATTCATTAGCTAAGTAACTCAGGGATCTCTGTCTTTTTTGTTGCTGTTTGTATGTTCTATTCTGCTGCCCCAATCTTTAGCTGATACAACAAAAGTATGAGTAAGAAACAGGGCATTTATAACGCACTGTAGACTCCATGGCATTTGGACACTCAGTAATGTGTTCTTGGTACTTTATGAGAATGTGCACAGTGATGGGGTTTTTGCTTAGCCAAGGTTTTCTTCATTCAGCAACATCATGAAAACGTCTTCTCCTTAATAAAATAATAACACAGGAATGAAGATTTCTGATACACAATGAGCCCAGGGGTTGACAAAGGAACTTAATCTTTATGAACTTGGGCTCTCCGGGATCGCGCCGTTGCACTCCAGCCTGAGCAACAAGAGGGAAACTCCGTCTCCAAAAAAAAAAAAACAACCCGGGCTCTCCAGGCCGCGCCCCGAGGCCTCAGGTCGGCCGGCTGCCCCTCCCTCTGCTCTGTTCCTAGCAGGGCTGGAAAGGCCTCTGCCGCTCAGTGGGGACCCAGCAAAGCCAAAAATCAGGTCCGGGGGAAGAGCGAACGGTGCGTGATGGAGGCTCCGAGGGGGAGCGAGAGGCGGAGGTCGCACAGTGTCCTGAGGGGGGAGACTGGAAAAGCAGACACGCAACCGTGGGAAGAAACCCGAAGGAGTAAAGAACTCAGAGCGAAAGTCCAAAATCTCCTCGGCACGCGGGCCTCCCTGCGGGGGCGCGGGCACCGCTGCGCGGGGAGCTCCGGAGCTGCAGAGAAGCTTCCACTCTGCCCGCGCCGCCCTGAGCACAGGCGATGGGCCTCGGAGGGAGTCCGCGGAGCGGGACGCCTGCTGCTTGGACCTCGGCGTGAGACTTCGCGGGACGCAGACAACTTGAATGCGTGTGTCAGACCCGCGACCACTACAAGACAACGTCCAGAGACCCAGCCCCGGAAATGAAGAAAGACACTTCCGGTTCTCAGAGGGCGCCGTTCTTCCCTGAGAACACGGTCCAGGGAGGCTGGATGGCCACCGCGTCCACGGAGAGAGCACCCCAGGAGCTCCAGAAAGAACGTGACCACAACGCGCAGAAACCAAGCTGTGAGGCCAAGGTCCAGCCTTTCCCGCATGGCGCTTTGGCTCCTGGGGTTCTGCTTGCAGCCCACAGGGGCCCTGAAGTGCCAGGGGGGGACCTTGGGCCACCAGGAGCGAGGCAGGCCACGATTTGAGGGCTTAGGTCCAGAGCACCTGCTGCTTTGATGCTGTTTCCCTCGTAGCCGGGTCCTGAATGCCCAGAGACTCGGCAGAACATCAGCTGGTGCTACTCGCCTTAAGGCACTTTTGATTGAGTTCTTGTCAGTTTAGCTACTGTTCATTAGTTTATGCGGAAATTGTTCTTATTGAAGTTTGATGAATGGTGTTAGGTTTGTAAGGTACTGTTTTTCAAATAAAGACACATATATGTGTATACATGTACATATCCATATATATGGTACAGGAAGGAAGCTGGTACAGCACAAAGGAAGCTGGTATAGGAAGCTGGTACAGGAGCCAAGAAATAGGGAAGGAAATAGGTGGGCTATATCGTGTTTCCTGCGTAATCACTATCTCCAGTAAACAGATGTGTATATTAAGAGCCTTGTGTGTGTATATATATATATATCTATATATATATACACACACATATATGTATACATATACATATATACATACACATATATGTATGAAATGAGTGAGCTCTGGTTTATTGATTATCCGATGACTGGCAGTTATTGAATAATCCATCTTCCCCTTGTCTATTTGAAATACTTGCTTTCTCATATTTTAGTTGTCAATGTGTCTTGGATATATTTAGACTTTTGAAAATTATTTTCCAGTGATTTATTCTAGCCCTGCCCCAACAGGACCCGCTGTAATTTTGGTTGTTTTATTATACATTTCAATGTTATTTAGGACAAGTCCCTGTCATTATTCTTCTTTTGTATACATCATATACGTGTATGTACATATGTATATACATATATGTCTATATATACATGTACAGATATATATATATATATATATATATATATAGAGAGAGAGAGAGAGAGAGAGAGAGAGAAACTGACTGACTTGGGCTCTCTAGAGCCACCCTACTTGGATGCAACTCCCAGATCTGCCACTTGCTAGCTGTGTGACCATGAGCGATTTACTTAGTCTCTCTGTATACTGCATGCCATAAAAAGTAGAATTGGAATGGCAAGAGGATCTTCCTCTGAGGACTGAGTTAATACATATAAAGTATGTAGAACATCACCCTTAACATAATAAGCACTCGATAAATCATAGATATTATTATTAATGAGAGCTTAAAGATGGGTAACTAGAGAGACAATCTGGGGAAGGAGCGTAAGTGTGCATCATCTGCAGACATCACAGGGAGCAATTGTATAAAATGCTACAGTTGAATCCTCACAGTTTGAATATTTTAAACTTGAGATACCCAGATTGAGATTCTCATTGTGGTTGGCCAATCCAGAGCATGAGAAACTGAATTTCAATTATTCATATTTTTGCACTCAAAGCTAGCTCTTTCAGAGCTGCTCTCTGGAACTCAGGCAAAACATTACAGTTAAATTCTGAACTCCTTTCCCTTCTTCTCACTGAAGAGAAAATTAACAAGAAGCATGTGGATAAATGTAAAGCAAGCAGAAGAGTCATAACCCTTGGAGAGACTCAAGAGTATAGTTCAGTAGAAAGTCGTCATGTCTGGCCAGGCGTGGTGGCTCATGCCTGTCATCCCAACACTTTGGGAGGCCGAGGCGGATGGATCACCTGAAGTCAGGAGTTTGAGACCAGCCTGACCAACATGGTGAAACCCCGTCTCTACTAAAAATACAAAACTTAGCCGGGTGTGGTGGTGCGCACCTGTTATCCCAGCTACTCAGGAGGCTGAGGCAGGAGAATCACTTAAACCAGGGAGGCGGAGGTTGCAGTGAGCCGAGATTGTGGCACTACACTCCAACCTGGGTGACAGCGAGACTCCGTCTCAAAAAAAAAAAAAAAAAAAAAAGAAAGAAAGAAATTCATCTTTCTTTTTTTGCCACGAGTAGCCACAGGCACAATCGGGGATGGAGAGGAACACAGATGGCATAGAGCATCCAAAAGATGGCATAGAGCATCCAAAAGATGGCATAGAGCATCCAAAAGATGGCAGAGAGCATCCAAAAGGTGGCAGAGAGCATCCAAAAGATGGCAGAGAGCATCCAAAAGATGGGATAGAGCATCCAAAAGATGGCATAGAGCATCCAAAAGATGGCAGAGAGCATCCAAAAGATGGCAGAGAGCATCCAAAAGATGGCACAGAGCATCCAAAAGATGGCATAGAGCATCCAAAAGATGGCAGAGAGCATCCAAAAGATGGCACAGAGCATACAAAAGATGGCACAGAGCATACAAAAGATGGTATGGGGGTTGCTGAGGGGACTCTGGAGTCCCCTGAAATCGCATAGGTCTCCTATAAATTCATCAGTACCTTATATTACAACATAGTGGTCAAGGAAAAAAATGTATGCTGAAAAGTATATTTGAATGTTGCCACAGTAAGTTGCTTTCCTGGACCTAGCCCTGTGACTGGACCCCAGTAACCAGAGAACACCGCACCCAAGTTAAAGAAGTGAGATAGTACAATCAGTCCACCATTCTTGAGCTACCTGCCTAACAGCCTGGCCTATGCAGCTTTTTCTACATCCCTGCACATCCTTCTCACCTACACATTATCTCTGCCAGAAGGGAAATCAGCTTGTTCTTTGCATGCACCCTTTTTTCTCTTATCATTTTTTTTCTTGTAATGCCGCCTATGACTGCTACAAGAGAAAACACGACATGAAGCTGCTGTGTCCATTGCAGGTTCCTTGATTTTGAGCAAAGGTGGAAGGGACCCATGGCTTCTTCACATTCGTCAAAGGAGGGAAAGGAAGCTGTCATTGGAATGTCAGACCTAAATGTAAACAGATTTCACAGAAAATCTTTCATACTTCTCATTTAGGGGAATTAGTTTGGATTGTCTGAATAATAGATATACTAATATTGTTATTGTAAACTGAAATTTTATAGAAATATAAGCCCTACAATTCCAGATGACCCCCAAGAGAAAAATGTGTTGTCCATGGGAAGAAAAACAGATCAATGAACTGGAGGAATGGTGTGACCCAACCACCTTCACTCATAGAAATTACTGTGCTTCATTCAGTACATAGTATATATTTACATTGCAGGAAAACAAGGTCTGGGATGGTTAGTTTTGCTCCAGTAGCCTGGAAAAAGCAGACTTGCCTATACTTGCAGTTCTGGCTATGATAGACTCTGTATGTCTCTAAGCTTGAATGTAATTAGAAATCTTAATATACAGCCCATCGGGTCAGAACCTCGAAAGGGATGGATGGAGACACACCAAGTACCATCATTTTTTTCTGAGTTTTATCTTATATATACTAGTTATTGGTACTTACTTTATATCTTCAGAACTTAGAGTTTTACCCATCACTGAACACTTCATCAAAATGTAAGATGTTATCTTACTCCCTATTCCTAATGCATAGCTCAGTGCTAGGTACATAGTAGTCATTTAACACTGTTTTAATGAGTAGATGAATGAATATGTGGATATAAAATGTGTGTTCTACTTATATAAACATCTCAATGCACAGGTTAAAAACTTTCAAAGTAGGAAAATTTAAACACATTTATTTTCCATTCTATTTTATTTCTAACACTGATATAATATGGCTTCTATAAAAAAGAATACCAAAGGGATGAAAATGTAGTATTATCTCCTTTTCACATAGCTGAACAGCCACTCATTTCTTTTTCATATGAAAACATGAAGACCTAGACCTATTAGTAGGAGCCATATCATGGGTATTTAGCAAACGCCATTTTCATCTGAAGGAGGAAAATTTAGAATTTGATCTCTCAGCTGCCCTCAGCCATGTTAGAATTAAATAAGTGATCATATAGGCAACCTCTAAAGTCCCATGTATATGCAAGACTGAGACAGAGAGACATAGAACCAGATAGGGCAAGAGGTTGAGGCACCTTAGAGGTTATCTAGAGGAGTTTTCTTAGGTCTTAAATATAGAAACTTGGACCCAGAAGGGGCAGACAGACAACATATTTACTCAAAATAATACTGTTATAGCTGTTAGACTAGGAATGATGACCTGGTCTCATCGTAGAAAAAGGCATATGATGGTAAATACATAGTATAATACTAAATGTTTTATATGTCTTAATCGTAACTATATAATAACATGCTCATTAAAACATGACTAGTTACTTTTTACTTTTTTCTATTTTCAAGCATTCTCTTGTCTAGGAGTTAGGGAACATTTTCTGTAAAGGGACAGATAGTAATTTGTTTAAGTAATTGGTAATTTCTTTACTGGCAAAGAGGCCACATACTTTGCCTTTGTAGCGTGAGAGTAGCCATAGACACTATGCAAATGTGTGAGTGTGGCTGTGTTCATGGGCTCCAAAATAAGGCCTGGCTGGATTTGGTTCAATGGCCTCAATTGGACTACCCATGCTTCATGCTTTTAATTAATGTTCATCGATTAAACAAATATTATGTACCAGACATTGTGTTATTTGCTGGGATACAAAGGTGAATAAAAGCTAATTTTCATTTCATTATATCATGCCTTAAACTATAGTCATTGCCTTTTTTTTAATTAAAAGTTATTCGTGAATTATTAGCTCTCTAAGGTAAGAAAAATATTACTTTGTTGGTATCTTTCTAGTTGATGTAACCTGAAGGATAAGCTCCTTCTTCTAACATGCCTTAACCAAGGGAAGAAAGAAATGCAAATGAATTAGGTATGCTTTGAGTTTATATGAATATAACTGACCTTCTTAATATACAGGGCTTAATATTATTGCTTAGCTCTACAAAGGAAGAACAAAACTCAGTGTTTCTGTTGAAATTTGCCTTCAAAGAAAATGGAGTCAGTGAACTACAGAATCCTTGAGATCCTTTGTGGAATATTCATGCTTGGCAAATCCCCCTCGGGTGTACTAATATTGCTCAAATAGAGCTCAAGGGATATTGAGTAAATGCTGCTACAGAGGGGATAAGACTTCAGAAAAGAAGAGTACAAACAGAAACTTACGTTTTTACAAAGAACTAAATTGTGTGAGTGCTAATAAGAATGCAATCTAAGTTTAATCAGGAGTGGCTTGTAGAAGTTAGGTAAGTACAAATCTGAAACATTCTGATAACTGTAACAGAGAATGTTCTACATGCTTGGACTTGGAAAAAAATTCTTATCAAATGAAGTTTTGAGTTTTACAAATATTCAATAAGTATAGACTGATTGAATGTCCTTTGTATCTTTAGGTCAGTGACCTCTTGAGGCTTAAGAGAAAGAAAACATTTTTTTTTTTGCTAAGAGGTGGCCCAGTGGAAATTTAACAATCTAGCTTATAAAGTATTGGTCCTGAGTTCTCCAGAGAAACAGAATTAACATATGAAGAGATTTGTTATGGGAATGGGCTCATGTGATCGCTGAGGCCAAGAAGTTTCATAATCTGCCATCTACAAGCTGAAGAAACAGGAAAGCTGGTGGTGTGATTCAGCCTGAGCCTGAAGCTCTGGGAACTTGTGTATAACTGGGGAGGCTGGCAGTGGAGGATGGAACTGGTATAAATGCCAAAGTTTAAAAATGTGAGAACCAGGAGCTGTGTTATCCAAGAGAAGAAGAAGATGAATGTCCTAGCGCAGAAAGAAAGAGAGATCTTCCTCCACCTTTTTATTCTCTTCAGGCCTTTAAAGATTGGATAATGCCTGCCTACATTTGGGAGGAAGGATTTTTGCCTTCTCAGTCTACTGATTCAAATGCTAACTTCTTTCCAAAACCCTCTGATAGACACAACCAGAAATATTATCTTACCAGCTATCTGAGCAGCCTTAGCCCAGTAAAGTTGGCACATAAAATTAACATCACACACTATGAATGAAAAACCTCAAAATTAAACCCACACTCAGCAAAAATGAAAAGTAGCCTAAGGTAAAACCTGATACTTGTTTATAATTTTCACCACCAACTGTTGATATGGGCAGAACTAATGTATTTTGCTATGGAACATGGCTTTCCTTATATGTGTGAAAATAAGAAAGTTGTCTTTGCTGACCCTTTCTTTCTCTGTGGAATGTTCCCTCCTCTATTCTCTGATAGGAGACTTTTTATTGCATTTCAAGCTTCAGAAGTTATGCCCTTTATTATTTTCTCTCTCTCCTGTATTTTCATCATTTTTTACATACATGTAATGAATCAGTTATGTTCTCTCGTAAATGTCGTGTTCTCATGTAAATATCATGTTCTCTTGTCTATTTCCCTGTCTTCTGCAAGACTCCATCCAGGACGAGGGCCATTTCTTAACATTGCTTGAGTCTGATCATCCACTTAGTATTACTTAAAGCATAGTGATTAGCTCAAAACACGTTTGTTTAATAAACATCAAGGTTGCATCTACTTTCTTGTTGTTACAACTGTTCCCCACTCATCTCTAGTGATTGCTATTTTAAAATTCTGATTCATGTTTAATATCAAAAAGCCTATACATTTTAGTGTAATACTTGGATTCCTAGTATCCCTAGCTTGAGATAACAACAGTATCAAAGGCTACCCTAATTTCAGCAATGCTTTTAATAAATGCATATGCAAAAAGCATTTGTGTAATTTTGAAAAGCTAATAATATATGTAGGTGTATGTGTGATTGTTCAGCCTACAGTAGTCAGTGTACATGTATGTTTCTATAATAAAAACCTGGGAATTAAGCTGTTGCACTTAATGGGGCCTTTGGTACTGTGGATGGGGAAGACTCCCTTATGTCAATGAAGGAGTTACGTCTTTCTGTAGAAATTTTGTCTCTTTCTTTCTCACTACAGATCATCAGGTTGACAGTATTGAATTGATGGCACCCTAATAAGGAATAGCAATTTTCATGTAAATAATTTTATAAAATACTTTCTTTTTGCTGCTTACTACTTACACAAGAGAACAAATCAGTTCTATTACCTAAAAGACATACTAATATTATTTAGTAATTTGTCATTTGGGCTACCTTAAATTGCCAGCAGTTTTGGTAAGTGATATCAGCTTTCTCTCATAAAAATGGCCATTTTTTTTATTATTACAAATAACATGACTCATTTCAGGGAGAAAAAATATAAATTTAAGTCACCTCCTTTCATCAACATTAGGCTTTTCCTAGTCAGGGACCCCATTTAATGTCTGCAAAATTTAAAATTATTTTTATGCAGCCAAAAGACACATGAAAAAATGCTCATCATCACTGGCCATCAGAGAAATGCAAATCAAAACCACAATGAGATACCATCTCACACCAGTTAGAATGGCAATCATTAAAAAGTCAGGAAACAACAGGTGCTGGAGAGGATGTGGAGAAATAGGAACACTTTTACACTGTTGGTGGGACTGTAAACTAGTTCAACCATTGTGGAAGTCGGTGTGGAGATTCCTCAGGGATCTAGAACCAGAAATACCATTTGACCCAGCCATCCCATTACTGGGTATATACCCAAAGGACTATAAATCATGCTGCTATAAAGACACATGCACACGTATGTTTATTGTGGCACTATTCACAATAGCAAAGACTTGGAACCAACCCAAATGTCCCACAGTGATAGACAATGATAGACTGGATTAAGAAAATGTGGTACATATACACCACGGAATACTATGCAGCCATAAAAAAGGATGAGTTCATGTCCTTTGTAGGGACATGGATGAAATTGGAAATCATCATTCTCAGTAAACTATCGCAAGGACAAAAAACCAAACACCGCATGTTCTCACTCATAGATGGAAATTGAACAATGAGAACACATGGACACAGGAAGGGGAACATCACACTCTGGGGACTGTTGTGGGGTGGGGGGAGTGGGGAGGGATAGCATTAGGAGATATACCTAATGCTAAATGACGAGTTAATGGGTGCAGCACACCAGCATGACACATGTATACATATGTAACTAACCTGCACATTGTGCACATGCACCCTAAAACTTAAAGTATAATAATAATAAGAAAAATTATTTTTATCTAATCATAAAATCTACATATGCCAACATACAGATCATAAAGAACAAGTTGTATTTATATTTCAAGGGAAAATTATGTTTACTCTATTACCTATCATAATAATGCTTGTCTGTTGTTGTAAGCCATCCATCATCTTAGAAGTAAATAATTGTTGTGCTGTAGGAAAACACATCAATATAGAGAATGATGATGGTGTGATTATAATAATTATCACACATATCATAGGTAGTTACTACCATTTAATTCTGTTTTAACATATTATAGAGCTAGTAAGGTCACATTAAGGAGAAGACACAAGATGAAAGACCCTTAAAGAATTCTTGTTCACTGGAAATTACAAGAATAAAAGTCTGAAGCAAATTTGGTTGACAAGTCTTTTTCTGGCTAAACTATAGTTATTGATATCTAGTTATTGATATTATGGGTTTAAGAAGGATTAAAATAACTTTCAGTTGGGAAGAATGTTTTAAGTAGTCATCTAAAAGATGAGAAAGTTGAAAAGACTAAAGACTTAGGAGGCTATACCATCTAGATTTGTGTAAGTACGTTCTATGAAGTTTGCACGATGTCTAAATTGCCTAAAGATGCATTCCTCACAATGTAACACTGTTGTTAAGTGTCATGTGACTCTATAATACCTAGGAGATATAGTTTGGATATTCGTCTCCTCCTAACCTCATGTTGAAATGTGATCTCCGATGTTGGAGGTGAGGCCAGTGAGAGGTGTTTGAGTCTGCTTGTTTCTGCCTCACCAGAAGCAGATGCTGGCACTATGCTTCATGTACAACCTGCAGAACCATGAGCCAAATAAACCTCTTTTCTTTATAAATTACCCAGCCTCACGTATTCCTTTATAGAAACACAAAACTGACTAACATAATAGGATTTGGTAATATCATGGTGCCAAGCATCCACTGGGGGTCTTGGAACACATCCCCCTTGGATAAAGGGGGAATTACTATCTCTGTATCTTATACCTGACTTAGATGGCAGGGCTTTCAGGATTTTGCCAGTAAACATAATATGTAAGGGCTGCTGGGTTGTGTTACAGGTATTTTATCAGTTGTGTTGTGTGCGTTTATTCGTACAGAATCCATTGGTTTCTAGTTTCTTGTTTCTGTTATTTAAAAAAAATATATTAAGCATCTACTAAAACTTTCCAAATACTTTTCTTTCTTTTTTCACTTTTTTGGAGGGAAAATAATCATATTTTCTCACATTCTACTGTTGTTTTAATAAGGTACTAGAATTGATTTGCTAAGACTTTGTTTAGAATATTTGCATATTGTAAGTGGGATATACTTGTAATTTTTTTCTTCAGTCCTATATTCTAAGTTTTCCTCATGGTGCTATTATGATTTTGTAAGAAAGAATTGCATATATTTCTTTCTTAATTTATATAATTGATTCCCAACATGGGCTGCATATCAGAATTTTAAAAGCTAGAAATGCAAGAAATTACTAAAGCCAGGGCCCTACCCTAGATCAATTACATGGATGTAGAGTGTCTGTGATTTCAGTTTAATACAGTCTAAGATTTCTTCTCTTTTAACTTTTCAAAAGAAGTAGACAAAAAAGAGCACTTGGAAGAAAACAGGGTTAATGGAAATAATGTCATATTTTCTTTCTGCAAGTTATCCCTTTTTCTGTCTTTCTCTTTCTCCCCCCATTTCCTTCCCATTCTCCTACAAAGAAGTGTTTGGGCAATAAATTAGGTGGCAGTACTCTGCATGAGTGAATAGTTTGCACTGATACTCAGTGCTTACCTATTTGTGTCAATACTTTCTGAGTATGTTCCATCTGTAAAATTTGAAATCACAAGTTCCTTCTCAGCTCCAGGAGATAACAGATGAAATATCAGGCAAGAAATGAGAAGGATGTGATGCTGATTGCTTTCTGGAAGACTCAATTTGTAAGCTGCTGGGAATCCATATCTTTCCCAGTTGACCTTTCTTGTTATACCTTCTGTACATTTTTTTCCTCTAACATAAAAATTATCATGGGGATTCGTAGGAGATTGTCTGATTCTTGAAACTGCATTTGTTACTTTGTGCAATTTATAGCAGCTTTCCACAAGTAATTTATCAGTGCTTGTTGTTTAGTGCCCTGTGACAGATCTACCAGTTCACACTCTCACGAGAGCACTGAGACCCTTCTTCCATATGCAGATTTTCTTTCTTGATTACATTTAATTCTGGTTCTGGGATATTGCTAACAGTGATGTCAAGGAGCATGGCATGGTGTCTCCCCCATGTTCTAAGGCCGTCTCAGCTCTAATAACATCTTTCTGTTGTATTAACCTGCTGTTCAGTGAATTCTTAGCCATCTGCTTCTGGCTTAGGACTGTGATTTGAGTATTGTATCTAGTGGATGCAAAGGGTAAGAAGATAGATGTTAAACATTCTCTTTCTCTGTGTGCTACTTAATTTGCTTGACATATTACAAATTGTAAGTTCCTGTGTCTGTCAACACATCCTCACCACCTCCAGACTAACTTGCACAAGCTTCAGTGTGTTGTTGGCTTAAATCCTTGCTCCCTCCATAGTTCCACCCAGTGCCTAAGACGAGCGAATAGTTTCCAGTTCACATGCTGATTAATAAACATCACATTTGATTAGTCATAGTAAAT
Source organism: Homo sapiens (assembly GCF_000001405.40). NCBI lineage: Eukaryota > Metazoa > Chordata > Mammalia > Primates > Hominidae > Homo > Homo sapiens. The sequence continues at coordinate 114,673,334 of NC_000002.12, forward strand.
GGTTGTGTTAGAAAGAACCCCGAAGCCATGTATTTCCTACTCAGATCTCATCCAACAGGAAAGATTTAGTGGCTATTTTTATTACCTTTTTCTTTTTTCTTTTCTTTTTTTATTTTTTGTTTGTTTGTTAGTTTGAGATGGAGTCTTGCTCTGTCACCTAGGCTAGAGTGCAGTAGCAGTGGTTCAATCTTGGCTCACTGCAACCTCTGCCTCCCAGGTTCAAGCAGTTTTCCTGCCTCAGCCTCCCAAGAAGATGGGTCTACAGATGCACACCACCTCATCTGGCTAATTTTTGTATTTTTAGTAGAGATCGGGTTTCACCATGTTGGCCAGGCTGGTCTCAAACTCCTGACCTCAGGTAATCTGCCTGTCTCGGCCTCCCAAAGTGCTGGAATTCATTACCTTTTTCTAAGTGTTATGAAAAACACTACTTTTCATATATATAACATTTTCTTATTCTATGAAATACACTAATTTACTTATAACAACATTAGATTTTTTTTAAATCTGCACTAAAACTAAATTCATTAGTGAGTTTATTGTGTATTAATACTGCAACTTATGGATACTCGAACCTGAATTTCTTGAATCTGTTACTTTCCACTGTAATGTCTCAGGAAACAAGGGATTTTCATGAATTATTTATACTCTATAAGACTGAAAACAAAAGGTGTCTTGCCTTAGTTTGAATTTAAACTTAAAAATCTTTTCATTTTATGTTTCTAATAATTAAAGTTAGTTATGAGATATATTGGAAAATTTGGAAAACATTGAAGGAAACTTTAAATGGAAGAAAAAAGACTTTACATGATCCTATCCTCATTGTTAAAATATTTATATACATTCTTCCAGGTTTTTGTTATAATACATGTTTTTGTAATGTAATTAAAATTATCCTAAGTAAATAATATATACATATATATCCTATTTGTTTCACTTATCATTATAACGTAAGTATTCTCTAATATTTAAAAACTATCACATTATTTTTAGGGGCTCATAATATTCCATTAAATGATTTTGTTTACTTCATCTAACCATTCCTAATATTGTTTATTTTCATTGATTTCTTGATTTTACCATAATTAGCAATGCCACAATGATATATTTTGGATTATTTTATTTTACCAGAAATTGAATTCTCAAAACGAAGGAAAAAGACATTATTTCAAGGCTGTTACTAAATTAAACCTCTTTTTAAATAAACAACTGAATATTATAAGATATGTCTGTGCAATGTAGCTTTTAAACTTTGTCATTTTCCTAAAAACGTGAGTCACGGAGGATGGTAGCAATGATGACCCCATCCTGGCAGGTAATAAATTTTTAAGTGGCTTTGCACTGGAAAGATGGACTAGATGCGCTATTGAGATCTGTTGTACGATATGTGCTATGAAGAAGAGAAAAATACAGGAAATCTTCAGAGGGTCGTTGATCCCAGTGAAGTACTGCATCAGACCACATGCTGTGTAAATGTGCCCACTGGGATTTCATCTAAAAACGGAGGAACTAAAAATTACCAAAATAGTTTAACTTGAAATTTAGAAAGTTTAGATTACAGTTAAGACTATATATGATTATCAGAAGCTTACTAAAAACATATCTCACTTTTTTAGTATATTTTTCTGACAAAGTTCAAAGTTAGTGTAACCCTTCACTTCATGGGTGACCTGCATTGTGTTCATAAAAAGAGTCTTTTTGGCAGAAATCTTGCAGTATGCCAGCAGTTTTCCCAACGGCCTGTCTTAATGTTTTGAAATTCAAATTTTTCTTCTTTGAACTGTCATTTTATGAACCTCCTCATCAGTTTCCTGATCTCTTCCTCTTGTTAACTGGTCTAACTCTGCCAGGAAGACATTCATGAGTGGCTTTGTATGTGGTTCTTCAGCATCACTTTTATGAAATCCTGGATAATTTGCAGAAAAGTAGTTTCATAATTCGACCCACTTGCACTTGTGTCTTAAAGATCTGATTTTTTAAAAAAATGACAGAATGGAAAGAAATAGATGTCTTTTGTAAAAAGAGAGAAATGTTTGAGTGAGGATTGATTTGATAAATTGTCAGTCAATTAGCAAATATTTTGTATTTTGAGTTCTAACTAATGTTACAACCTCAAGATTGTGGCTAATAAACACGTGGGTAAAAAGGCCATCTATGTGCTCTGCTCCTTCTGCTCAGTCCTGTCTTCCAAACACATGTAAGTGTTTACATTTCACGATAACAAATGAACCACATAATGAAGATAATTTCACACTAACCATGAAGCTTAGCTCTGCAAAGAACAATGGTTCCCAGTATTGGCTTCATATTAGAATTGCCTTGGAAGCTTTTAAAAAATGTCCATGCCCAAGCCTTACTCAGATAAATCAGAACTTCTGAAAGAGAGTCCCAGATACCAGTATTTTTTAATGTTCTTTTTAAAAGGAAAGTATAAATATGTATTTACCATTTTCTGCATCTCCCATCTTTAATAATTTTTTTTTTTTTGATGGGGTCTTGCCCTGTCACCCAGGCTGGAGTTCAGTGGTGTGATCTCAGCTCACTGCAACCTCCACCTCCAGGTTCAAGTGATTCTCCTACCTCAGCCTCCAGAGTAGCTGGGATTACAAGTGTGCACCACCATGCCTGGCTAATTTTTGTATTTTTAGTAGAGACAGGGTTTCACCATGTTGGTCAGGCTGGTCTCAAACTCCTGACCTCAGGTGATCCGCCCACCTCAGCTTCCCAAAGTGCTGGGATTACTGGCATGAGCCACCATGCCCAGCCCATCTCTAAGAATGCTTATTAACTGTATCTGAAGATTTAGTGCCTGAGATTCTGCACTTATAATTAATCCCTATATGACTGTAATATAAGTTATTCTGGGGAACAATTTGAGACAATGCTGATACATGCAGATAAAAAGTAGTAGAAAAAAATGGTGGATTAATCTTATTCTATGGACTAGCAATTCTCAATTATTTCATTTCAGTTTTTACTTTTCATTTCCCAATGAATATCATAAATGCCTATTTTCAACTCTCCATAGGACAGTGGCTACTTCTGTATATTAAAAACGAAAACTAGCATATCAATTGTATCTGTTTTGTGGTGAGCATTATTGGTAGTATAAGGATTTTAATTCAGCTAATCAAACATTGGCACATCGGTGTGTGATACTTTATGTTTTTTTCCAAAATACAGTGTCACAACCATACTTATGGAACAATTGCCATTAAAGTAATGTCTAGACCAGTGCTTCTAAAACTTGGTTGTGCATTCATATTATCTGGGGAGATCGCTGTATGTCAGATTCCGATTCATATGACTGGAACAAGGCTTAAGAAACAGCATTTCTAACAAGCACCTATATTTTGATAATGTTCCTAAATCTTGGACCACAATTTGAGTAGAAAGTCTGCAGCCTACACTATATAAATATACATATATGTATATATGTGTATGTATTAATATGTATTCTTTCCCGCAAGACTAGATCGTGTAGGATAGATTCTTCTCTGGAAATTGAGCCCTTATAACTTCCCCATAATTGAATTCAATTGAAAAATATATTTAACTACTATTTATTAAGGGCCTTTTATGGACAGAGCACTTTAAACATCAAACACGTGATGTTATTTTGTCATACTCACTTAACTTATACTCAAGGAGAAGCAGTAATTTGCCCAAGTCCGCATCATTTGAATTGACAGAACTAAAGTTTATGCTCATACTGGTGTGGCCCCAGAGTCAATAATCTTAGCTACTAAGCAATGTTATCCTCCCCGGCTCATCAGCTTCCTACCGCCTCCTTCAGCCCAGTGTTTTCACTTTCTTTTGTTTATTTCCGATAATGATGAAAGATTGTTTCAGCTTCATCACAGGCCATGTAGTGCAAATTGAAGACGGCTGTCTAGGCAAGGCTCTTAACTATTAACATTGTGGAATACGCACACAAGAAAAATCCACAGTTGTGATTGTACATTTAGCACCTCCACCCATACTCAAGTTATTATTTTATACTTAAAGAATTTGGATTTCCTATAGGGAAAATGACATAGCCATCATCTCCATTTCTGAATGAAAAAGTAGAGGAAATAAATGTCTCATTACTGGGGGGCTGAAATACATCTCATAGCAGCTCCTGTAAAGGAAAAATAACTAACATTTATTGATCTGCTTTTCTATGCTGAGTGTTGTGCTAGCCACTTCACACATAGATCACCCTACTCAGTCCTCACAACGGTCCACTGAATTATTATCTTCCACACGTTACAGATGAAGAAACTGACAAGCAGGGATTAAAGAAAGACTTGCCTGCAGTTAACAGCTGCTAAATGATGGAGGCAATGTTTGCCTTTTCAGCGAATCAATATAGTTAAAGGAATATAGTGTTTGTTTCTCTACACGCTGCAGATAACAATTTTGAATGCATTAGATGAATTTGTAATATATTGTGCTAAAATAGATGTTTTTATTTTAGAACAAAAGAAAACATGTTTAATCTGATGATCACTGCAATAACTCTAGCCTGATTGAGATTCATGAGAGTAGTTATTTATATGAGGAAGATAAACTAACATTTCTCAAAAGGCACACCCAACCACCAATATGTTTTACATGTGATTTATAAAATAAATATTCCACAAAGTGAAAGATATGGAGTGTTTTCATTATTCTTGCATTTTAACATTTGTAATATACTATAACATGATAAATGAATTAGGTTATATTGATTAGGTTTTTGCTGCAGTCAGTAATCATTTTACTTTCTTATCACTTATGCCTGAGAGTAGAAATTAAACAAATGGCTTAATTACAATGAGAGGAAATATCTTTTTCTATTCCAAGTAGTAGCTCTGAAGATAAAAACAGACATATTTCACTGATGTCTAACTTCTAATTGATGATAAAACCATGAGTATGTCATTAAGTCTGTGTTTGTCTTGAGCTATTTCTGGATTAGGTGAGTTTTTCAAATATCTGAGTGGTTGTTTCTTTTTCATTGCTATTGTTTGATTTTCCCTAAATATTGCTTTCACTCTAACCCTATATTTCCATAGGAGTTTTTGTTCTGTGGGAAAAGTTCTATGGGGAAGTTTTATTGTTCTATGGAAAAGTTTGCCACTTTACTAATCCTGCCTTCCCTTGCCTTACCAACTAAAGATGAGTTTACCAAAGTCTGGACTCCGGCACATGTGCTGGTCTTGTCTCTTTTTATTCTCCCTCTCTCTGCCTTTATTTTATTTCTGTTCCTATACTGTGATTATTTATTTACAAAAGTTCTCTATTACATGTAAGCTCTTGAGGGCAACCATTATTTTTTTTTAATCTTTTAAATTCCAGCTATAATACAGGGTTTAGCACTGAATAAGCTCAGTAAACATTGGTGGAATTAATGATTATTAAACGCCCAGGCAGAAAATTAATTGATTGAATATTACTAACAAACTTTCTCTAATTTGAGCTAGACAATATTAAAATGGCAATTAACTTTTCTTCTCTACTTATACTCTCAAATTTATCATCATGATTGTATATTCTCTAAGAAAATTAACTCCATAAAATTAGTCATTTTAAGAGGAATTCCTTACATTTTCATTTGGATCAGACACACGGATGCGTCTCTTTGAAGGAAGTCTTCTTTTCTCAGCAGGTTGTTTCTGACTAGAATCCATTTGTATCCAAACAATTTGAGACCCTCGTTCTGCTTTAGCGCACAGACTTTCCTAGGAGCAGTCGCCATTCCAATATTGTCCACGGAGCTGGAATGTAATTTTCAGACAAGTTCTGATTACACCCCAGTGGTTCATGAAACTCTAATGCATGGCAGTTGTTTGAGAGGATTTTACTAGTGAACACCTCAAACAAGATTTCAAAATTTTATTTTTGTGGGGTAGAGAGTGAAATACAGAGAGGTGGTGCTGAGCTCTGTTGTAATACAAAAAAGCCTCTTGGCTTCTAATGCAGAGAGTACTTCCAGAAAGAATGATAATTTAGTGTGTGTAAAATCATTTCTACCTAGTGTAATACTAGAATAATTGTTTTATAAAAGACCCTGCTGTTATTGTAATGGCACAAACTGGTATGCATTAGGCCCCTCTTGTTTATATTAGAATATTTATTTAGAACTAAATATTAGAGGACTCTTAGGCTAGAGATGCAATCCAGGAGGTGAGTTGCCTGTATTTTTTGCCCAGTTAGCTTTCTAAGAAAGTAGAAAAAAAATCTTTATTGTGTACTAGGAAAAACCTGATGTGGAAGAATAAGGGTCTGAAATCTCATACAGCTGCCCCACATGCAAGTTGTGTGTCCTTAGGTAATTTTCATAATCCCTTTGATAATTAGAACTACAAGAGAAATTTAGATAATCTATCATAAATTACTTATTGAAGATATTTCTGCTGGAATACATTTTTGAGAAGGATTTATTAAATGTCACCTTAGGGCTTTCTCACTGATTACAAGAATGCTTCAAACTAATATTATACAGTCTTAAAATTTTTAAGAATTGAGATGGCAAACTTCTACTACAGTACCCTTATGGAGCAAGGACTGGAGCTTCAGCATAGAAAACCTCTAGCTAAATAAGCTCACCGTATTCAAATGTGTTGACAAAGTGCAGGATATAGGAAACCATTCTGCAAGTCATGACAGGATTCTCCGCAGGTATTTTCCCCTAGGATATTTAAAATAGGATGTAATTGATGGAAATCAATTTGCAGAATCTTATCTCGAACACTTCTGTTGGCACATCTGTACTTTTATAGAATCGTCTCTTGAGGCTTATCTATTTCAGTAAAGTTTCTAAATACTGTAACGTCAGTGTCTAGGCTAAAGATATGATGGAGAGCATCTAAATTTAAAATAAGAGAGAGTGCTAATACGCAGGTATTAATAAAAACTTTTCATGTTCCTGCTAGTGATGTCCCTTATGGGAAACTCATGCAACGTTATTTCATGATGTTTATGATTTTGTAATCACTCTAAACTACAGAGCCATTTTCTCACTTTCTGAATGTGTTTATTATCAAAACAACATTATCTGATCTTATAAGACTGGGTCCTGTATTTTTTTAAGAGCTTTGAGAGTAGATGGCAATAATAGGTTCTCTCACCACTCTGGTTTCACATTGTTCCTTCTGTCTTAGAAGTGTAATTTATTCCCTAGATTCCTACTTTTTAAGAATTCAGTATTTTGCCTTTCTTCTTTAAAAGCTAATTGTGCATCTCTTCACTCTGTACAATGTTTTCAATTGAATAAAAACGTGTTAAAAGGTTAGTACAACCTGATGTTTAGGAGACCTACGAATATAGTGAAATAATTCTTCATAAGTGTAAAGTACAAATGGCCTAATGAATATAGTCCTGAAGAAAATGTAGTAAATTGACTTTTGAAAATAAGTTCACTCTTTTCAAGGTTGTTTTCATAGGCTATTCAGACATGTATTCAGGGAATCAGCCAATCAACCAGATTACAACTGAACTAAAATGATGAAACAAGCATGGTGTCAGGACCTAGAAAAACCATGTGACTAATACGTGGTCCCATAATCAAAGGCACTTATTTAGAAAAGAGATGATTTTGACTATTACCTGATAGAGTCCTCCATGTAACATGTACCTATTCCATGTTTTCTCATTTAAGATTCTCTTTTCATATTGTCCATATTATAAATGATATACCATTTTGTTCTGTATTTAGGTCATAATAATTAGTTTTTAATTAAGCTGATCTTCTCCAAAAATATCCTACCCAATTCTGCTCCAACTATTCCAGTTCTACCCCTTTTGCAAATTCCAACCTAAATCTTGCTTTTTCTGAAGTCTTTTTCAATGTTCAATCATATTAGCCTATCATGTTGCTTACTTTGAATTGCTCTGACATAATTTGTTTTTAAACACCATCATGCCATACAGTGCATAGTCCATTACAGTCTAATTTATGGATACGTTTTGCTTTACCAGTGATTCTCCTGATTCACTTAGATTCTTCTACTACCAAGAGTCTGGAAAGGAAATCCGCAACTCTCAAGCCAGTTTTCAATTCCCTTTGCTTTATCTTGTGAACATGATAAAGTTTCCTCCTTCTCTGATTCTTGATATTTTCTACTCTTAAAATAGCATTTATCATCTATTTCATAGGGACCAGATAGAGCCATAAGTTTACATGAGGAAAAAAAAGAATTGACTTTGTGTTAGCTTCCCAGTTCAGAGATTCTCATTACAACTGTATTCCTGATTGCCAAAAGGCCCTTTAAATGAAATGCCTCCTGTAACAAAGGGAGGCTCTATGTGGGCTGACTTTATTATCCAACAGCAGGGAATATCTGTGCATTGAAAAAAAGAAGAAAATGCTTTGAAAGAATACATTTTACAAAGCCGGTAGTAGGTCAGGGGAGCCTTTGCCTGACTCTACGTTAGAGTTTTTAAATTGCTTTTGGATGAGGACAGCCTATTTTTATTTCTTTGTCATCCAACATTGTTATGATAAATAATTAATTTGCTATATTTTATGTTTCTATCATAATCCATGTTGTGAGATCACTGTGGCATTTTGCTGTAATGATAAGAAGAAATAAATGGTGCTACAATGCTTAGGAAAGATTGTGTAATTTCCAGTGATGGACAGTCTGGGAAACTTAGCAAATGGCTGGCCTGGGTCTCACCTAGTAGAAAAAGCTCAGAAGAGATGAGTTAAAGCGTTGTCAATTGTTCAGTCCCATCCCTTCAATGGAAGTGCTGAAAATTAAGGCACAAGTCCTAAGCCCTGCTGTAAGATTGTACAATTCACAACATTTCCTAGACCCGGCAACATGACTCACAGATTGGTGCTGTCTCTGTCTCTGTCTCTCTCACCACTTGCTCTCTCTCCCCATCCTCTCTCTGAAGGGGAAGACTCCTTCAGAACTGTTTTTCTGTGTAGCATGGATGGAACTGGAGATCATTATGAATTTGAAATTAGCCAAATCCATTCTTAAATACCTCAGACTGACATACATCTTCCAAGGATTCAAGTTCCAGCTGGCATTTGAAAACATGGCTTTAGAGGCTCATTCAACCCTGAGATTCTGTGATTGCATGATATTCTAGTTTACCTTCATCTTTTCCATTTTTTCTTTTAAATGTAATAATGCTTCCAGTGTATATTAGTCACTGACAACTAATGAACTGTAAAACATTTTCTTATGCTTTCCATAGACCCATAGCTAGAGATGTTGACCCAGTGATTAATTCTAAATTGCAATCGATGGGTAATTATTATTATTATTATTATTATTATTAGGCTTTTGAATAATATTGAATATGTCCCTGAAGTTAGAAATTTTTCCCCACTTTCAAAGTGAAAGCCTGGAAAAATAGTTAAGTTGGTTCAAAAGAGCCAAGGATTTTATTCTTTCTTATGATACTATCCTCCCAGGTAAGATTTTATATCTATCTATCTATCTATCTGTCTGTCTATCTATCTATCTATCTATCTATCTATCTATCTATCTATCTAGATATAGAATCACATATAGATATAGATTTAATATCTCCAATTACTTGCAGAAATTCATGGAGTGCTGACGTGCTGAGAGTATGTAAATAGTACACCCTACCGCTGTTTAACCTTGTGGTGAAATCATGTGCACTCTTCAGGTCATGTTCCAGTACTTTAATCAAGTTTTCCATTTGGTAAACTGAAAGACCCTGTATTTCTAATGCTTTGCTAATCACTATAGGAGCAAACATTTATTGAATGTGTCTTATGGACCAGACACTGGTGATGATAAGAACAATTGTATTTATTCTGTTTCCTTGAATCGTCTTGGCCATACCTTATCGAGGTACAATATTTGCTTTCATTTTGCAGATGAGGAAACGTAGATTATGAAATGTTAATCAACTGACTCAATGTATGGTAAATTCTTTCTATCTTACTTTCTCCCATTTAGTTTTTTTCTTTCATTTATTGAACAAATATTTATTTAGTTTCCATTATGTACCAGATGCTGTGCTAAACATGAGGAATATAAGGATGAATAAAACAGAAGTGGTCTTGTCAAAAAGTAAGTGACGGAAATGGAATTCTCACCCAGGCCCACTTTATTCCAAGGATAAACTCTTCACCACCCAGTGTGCCTTCCTCCCTTCCTTCCAGCCTTCCTCCCTTCCTTCCAACCTCCTTTCCTTCCCTTCCCTTCCCTTTCCTTCCCTCTCCCTTCCCTCTCCCTTCCTTCCTTCCTTCCTCCCTCTCTCTCTCCCTCCCTCCCTCCCTCTCTCTCTCTTTTTCTTTTTTTCTTTCTTTCTTGCTTGCTTGCTTTCTCTGTGTGATTCTTCCTATATCACAACAAAGAATGCAATCATGACAGTGAATATGAGAGAAGGTTTTCTTCGTATCTGATTGACTAACTCCCTTCTACTACTTGAGGACAGTGCAGCTCAGCCCTTCTCCCCTCCCGTCTTGGATTTTCTTTCCCCTGCCATCCTAGCTGCAGAAAGCTCAGGGACATCAGCCCATTCAAATGGTGATATCCCATCTTTCAAGATTTAACCCCCTGTATCTTGCAAACCATCTCACTTTCCAAAGCCCCTTATTAAATTGTCCAAACTCGCTGTTTAAGTAAGACATGGCCATTTCCACATGACAGAATATAAACTGCTGATAGTTTTTGTATTGTATTATGGGGTAAAGGGACAAATCTACTGTGACCAGTGATAATACACTCAAAGATTCTCACTGCCTCAGGCACTTTCTGACCACCCTGCTCAGGGACAATCCATGTCTCCATACCCAGTAAGTCATGCACAGCATTCCAGATAGGGAAGATTCTTTGTGTTAATTCCAGTGATGGCTGGCTGTAGTGGGTTTTATTTTTCAGGTAACCCTGAGCCAGGCCCTGTGGGAACTGAAATACAAGTAGACCTTCCTGTGAGTTCCATACAGAGATCTCTCAGGAACTTGCTCTTTTACCTCCCGGCCACTCTATGATAAGTGGAAGTTAAAGGAGTTGGTTTCACTCTACCACTACTTCACTGTGGTGCTCAGTGTGACATGTTCACCTGGTGTTCAGAGGTCTAAAAGAAATGAATTCTGCAGTACAGAGAGAAATTTTAAAAGGGAGAGACAAAAGGGGAAAAAACAGGATGAGGTTAGCATATGAAAGTGTTTTCTTTCCCTCCCTTTGGGCTGGTTTTACAATGCTAGTGTGCTAGTAGAATGGCTGCTTTCTTCAGCACTTTGTTAAAGGTCCCTGGTTGGGTAAGAAACTTGACTGCACTAGGACACATCAAACAACCAGCCAGGCTTTGGTCTTACCCAGGCACTGAAAAGCTGAGCCCTGTGCTCTGCTCTCCCATTTGCCACATTTTGCCGGATGAGTCTGGTATGCTTCAGACAAGCAGTTACACATTTCACGAAGGAAAGAGGTCGGTGGATGGAAAATTACTGTCATTTTTAGTGGGTGAAGGCAAAGAAGACCTACCTTCTCTTCCATTGTGAGATACTGTACAGCACCTTCGATTCATGTGCGTAGGTCTGAATTCTGTTTTCAGGATACTTAGTGTTGTGTTTGTAGAATTGAGGAGATGCTACCTAGGGGAGACCATGGAGATCCACTGAAGTGGCTGCGGCTGATTGTGATTGAATTTTTAAGCATTTACTGAACATTCCTAATTTGTCTGTATGGAGGTTAACAACAATTTCCTACAAACTGAGTCAAAAGGACATATTTTATTTTTGTTTGTACATGAACTTTCTGCATCGTCTGATGAAGACCATTATCCCCTCTTTCCAGATATCCTCATTTTCTTTCTTCTAAATGTCTGGTTGCCCTTTCTGAGAATTTTTCATTGATTCCTCTTTCTCTTCCTAGCTGTGAAATATTATACCAGGTTCCTTTCTCACCCTGCTCACCAACTCACTCCTTCCAACTTGTGTGTTAATTTCCTCACTCCCGTAACTCATGAGAAAAACAACAACAAACAACAAGATTTGAATGTGTTAAGCTGTACCCCATGCTGGGATAGTTATTTTGCCACTGACTCTTAGGAATCACTGCCTGATCCCTGCTACTCTAAATTCCTGTCTCAGTTTTTGTCAATAATTAAATAATTAACTTTTGGTTATAGAAAAACATAGACCTAAGACCTATGTTTACCCCAAAAGGGAACTAACGGCGTCCATTTCTCTCTCTGAAGCCTGAGACAATTTTCCGGAACTCCAGAATTAGCTATGTGCTTGCTAGTGTTTCCCATTTGATATCCTATAATCAAATGTGCAAAATTGAACTCATCTTTTCTTCACCCTAAACTCGCAATTCTGCTTATATTTCCATGTTTAGCAAATGTCACTATTAGCTATACACATGCTCTAATTAAAATATGGAAGTCTTTCCTGATTTGTTTCTTTTCCTAATACATTTTCTACCCAGTGATTGTGCTCCTGGTAATTAGTTTATTGACTTTGGCTCTGTCCTCTCCATCACTTGCCACCTTATTAAGACCCCATTATTCCTTGTCCGTGTGATCACAGAAGTTTCCTATCCGGTCTTCTTGCTTACACTGTTGGATTCTTCTAATGCATTATTCCCACAGCAGCTGCCAGACTTGCTTTTCTAAGGCATAAATATAGCCTATTTATCCCTTGATTTTGTTCTTTAATATTGTTCTCATAAGCAATTATTACAGCTGGCTCTACCAGTACACTGTATTTTCTTCCCTGAGTGCTACTTCCAGTTTCCAGTATAGGACATGAGCATGCTCTTCTGACCTGGAACACATGCAGGCTGCTTGCTTTCTCTACCTCACTAACTGCTAATCATCTTCAGAAGGCAAGGTGATGCAAGGAAAAGAGAATGCACTCTGATTATAGCCTCAGACTGAATTTCCAATCCCAGTTCTAAAACTTCTGAGCTAAGTGACTGAAAAATTACCTAACCTTGTTTAGTATCAATTTTTGTATCTGTTTTTCAGATAATAATAATAATAGTAGCTACTTTAAAAGGTTAGTGGATTGAGGTACATATGTAAAGTTATCTATTGGTTTGACTTCTTCAAGCAGCCACAACTAAGTTCCAGCAAACCAAAACAAACAATTTATTAACAAAACTCTATGATACTTCACAAAATTAAAGAAAAGAATGGCAAAACCAGAATATATCTATAGATGTAAAGAGCTAAAACTGAGGACATCATAACCCTAGGAATCCTAGGGTTTTTATCTCTGCTTCTAAGTTGCTTTTAATTCTTCATCTCCATGGCTCCAAGAGATACCATATACCTAGTTAGCCCCATCAGAAAAACTAGGGGCAATGACTCTGAATGGCCGAGCTTAAGTTATGTGGCTAACATTAGACTCATCCCTATGACAGATAGGATAAGGAGCATTAATTATCTCATTTTGGATCACATGTCTATCTGTGTGGTAGAAGACCTGAGCCAGGAAAAAACGCAATAATTGTAGTCAAGAGCTTCTTTGTCCAATGTACAATACATTCTTCCCATACAAAAAATTACAAGAGTCGTTCTATTTAACATAATTCAAGTATCACACATGCATTCATCCTCTTCCAAGTAGTAGAAAACTTAAAGTCATATCCAACTATTGCAACCAGAACCAAGTTTATAGTATCTCTGGGATGTGCATTCCTTTTAATTATTTGCTCATATGTTGCTCATTACCTTGCAATATATGAACAAAATCTATATGTTTAACCACATCTCAGACATGCATTATACAACAATGTTGAGAAAAACAAGAAAACAGCTATAAAAATTCCCACGTAGGATAGGGTTACAGTGGAATCCCCATATATCTGTTACTGGTTGAAGAAAATAATATATGCATGGACAAGAATAGTAAGGAGCAGACATTGGTTGGCTTGAACCTTTCCAGTTGAGTCACCATTGCTTATTTTCCCCATCTGACCTTTATGGTACTTCTTCTGAGCATTATTCTTTCTGGCTGCACCTGAGGGGGTCTTTAGGAAAGACTCCCTGGGGACTGTACATTTTTCTGTGCTTCTCTAGTGTAGTCACAAGGTGCTAACAGTTACTTTAGAAGTTAGCAGATGTATCTTAGAAACATGTTGGATTTACTTGGGAATTCAATTACATAAAAGTCAAATTGGCCACCTAATTTGGATGTTTTTATGTGGGTAGATCTGGTTTGTTTAAAAATCAAACAACCAGAATTATTATTCAGTTGTAAACTTTAAATCTGAACCCTGACCTTGCAAATTCTAACCTTAATAAGGCTCTTCATGTTTTGCCCATTTCACTAGGACTTATTTTAAAGCTTTCAACCACAGAATCCTAGATTGGATACTAAGAAAGGATGAACAGCTGTTCTGAAGCTGGGAATCCCTGAGAACTGGGCATTTCAGTTGAAGGAGTTATAATCTCTTTCTGATAAGTCACATCCCAAGAAAAGATAATGAGAGCCTGGAGCAAGGCTTCCACCATTTCTGTGGCTGCTGTCATGTGCTAGACTCTGGTCGTTTTCACGGCATAGACTCGAGTTCAGGTACTAGGCCATTCCTACAACCTCACCTGGTGACACACAGAGTCCCGTCTCTTCAGAATGCCCTTTCCTTTCTTGTCTGTTATTCATCTGTCATGAATTCTTCTTCCAGGTAGAACATTAGTTTTTCTGTAATGAAAACATTTCTTCTAATTCTATCTAAAACAAAACATTTCTCCACTTATAGATGATAAATTTAGCACTTTGTCACTCAATATCTTGTGCCACTCTTTGTTCCTATGTGTGAGTCATGCTACATCAAAGAAATTCAAAGGGAAGAACATGTTACACAATTCTATTTTCTATAGCACCCAGTTCAAGGTTGAATATTTATTAATTCACTTTGATCTAGCATATAAAAACTAAAAAATGATTAGTCACGTGGAGAAGAGGGTGGGGCTAGCCTGTGGAAAGTCACAGAGATACAATATACTCATAACAAACCTGCACTTGTATCTCCTGAATCTAAAATATAAAAAACATTTGAAAAAATCTATAATGCAATTCTGTAAAAGTAGAGTAATAATTCTCTTCTATTTTTTCTACCTAGATGTACCTGAGTACATCTCCCTTTTGCTGCCTTGTACAGTGACTCAGGCAGTGGTGATTAATCCAAGAGGGGTGGTGGAAGAGGCTGTGCATTCATGTAGAAATGCAACAAAACCACCAAGCCTGTGTTTGGCTAGAAAAGCTTCTTAGGATGTTCTGATGCTTGGTCCTAGGAGACAGCACTTTTCCCTTCTATACTAAGCTAAATGGCTGGATTAGCATGGAAAACTGAAAGTTAGAACTACAAAGTACCTCCCTTGCATTCTGGAAATGCGGAAGAAAGCAAGCTGTAATCTTGGCATGTGAGGAATCCACAGTCTAAGTGACTGACAAGTGCGCATGTGAGGACAAACCATGATAGAGATGGGCACAGAGTGTTATGGACTAGAATAGAGGAGTTAGGTAAGATTTCCCAGAGGAAGTCATGTGTGGGATGAGTTTAATCAAGGATGCTACATGAATCATTACCATCGTCAACAAAGGAGAAGTTAGGAGGACATATTTTTCATTGATATTTTTACATGGTTAACAGTGATTGGATGTGGGAAGTGTGTGTATGTGTGTATGTGTGTGTGTCTGTGTCTGTCTGTGTCTGCATGTATCCCGAGATGTCATTAACATTCCAGGTTAATACTCATTCATGTATTTATTGCTCAGTCCAGCTTCCCCTCCGTGGTTTGTTTTTTTTTAATTTCTAGTTTTTTTTTCTTCAACTGTTATTTTAAGTTCAGCGGTACATGTGCAGGATGTGCAGGTTTGTTACATAGGTAAACATGTGCCATGGTGTCTTGCTGCACAAATCATCCCATCACCTAGGTATTAAGCCTGTTAGCTCTTCTTCCTAATGCTCTCCCTCTCCCATGCCCCTTACCACCCTGCGACAGACCCCAGAGTGTGTTATTCCCCCCCAACATTCCATGTGTTCCTGTCACTCAGCTCCCACTTAT
This sequence comes from Homo sapiens, assembly GCF_000001405.40. Taxonomy (NCBI): domain Eukaryota; kingdom Metazoa; phylum Chordata; class Mammalia; order Primates; family Hominidae; genus Homo; species Homo sapiens. Next base: position 114,689,315 of record NC_000002.12, read on the forward strand.
AAGTGAGAGCATGTGGCGTTTGGTTTCCTGTTCCTGCATTAGTTTGCTGAGAATAATGGCTTCTAGCTCCATCCATGTCCCTGCAAAGGACATGATCTCATTCATTTTTGTGGCTGTACAGCATTTCCATGGTGTATATGTACCACATATTCCTTATTCAATCTATCATTGATGGGCATTTAGGTTGATTCCCTGTCTTTGATATTGTGAATAGTGCTGCAATGAACATATGTGTACATACATCTTCATATAGTATAATTTATATTCCTTTGTGTACATACTCAGTAATAGGATTGCTGGGTCAAATAGTATTTCTGCCTCTAGGTCTTTGAGGAATTGCTCCACTGTCTTCCACAATGATTGAACTAATTTACACTCCCACCAACAGTGTGAAAGCATTCCTTTTTGTCTGCAACCTCACTAGCATTTGTTGTTTTTTTGGCTTTTTAATAATAACCATTCTGACTAGCATGGTACCTCATTGAGGTTTTGATTTGCGTTTCTCTAATGATCAGTGATGCTGAGCTTTTTTTTTCATATGTTGGTTGGCCGCGTGTATGTCTTCTTTTGAGAAGTGTCTGTTCATGTCCTTTGCCCACTTTTTTTAATGGGGTTGTTTGTTTATTTCTTGTAAATTTGTGTAAGTACCTTGTAGACTCTGGATATTAGTCCTTTGTTAGATGGATAGATTGCAAAATTTTCTCCCATTCTTTAGGTTGTCTGTTCACTCTGATGACAGTTTCTTTTGCTGTGAAGATGCTCTTTAGTTTAATTAGATCCCATTTGTCAATTTTTGTTTTTGTTGCAATTGCTTTTGTTGATATCATTATAAAATCTTTGCCCATGCCTATATACTGAATGGTATTGCCTAGACTTTCTTCTAGGGTTTTTATAGTTTTGAGTTTTACATTTAAGTCTTTTGTATGTCTTGAGTTAATTTTTGTATTCTGTGTAAGGAACTGGTTTAGTTTCAGTTTTCTGCATATCGCTAGCCAGCACTCCCAGCACCATTGATTAAATGGGGAGTCCTTTCCCCATTGCTTATTTTTATTAATTTTGTCAAATATCAGATGGGTGTAGGTGTGCAGTCTTATTTCTGAGTTCTTCATTCTGTTCCATTGTTCTGTGTGTCTGTTCTTGTACCCGTACCATGCTGTTTTGGTTACAGTAGCCTTGTAATAATATAGTTTGAAGCCAGGTAGCATGATGCCTCCAGCTTTGTTCTTTTGCTTAGGATTGTCTTGGCTATTTGGGATCTTTTTGGTTCCATGTGAATATACAAATATTTTTTCTAATTCTGTGAAGAATGTAAATGGTAGTTTAATGGGAAAAGCATTAAATCTATAAATTACTTTGGGTAGTATGTCCATTTTCACAGTATTGATTCTTCCTATCTACGAGCATGGAATGTTTCTCCATTTATTTGTGTCCTGTCTGATTTCCTTGAGCAGTGGTTTGTAGTTCTCCTTGAAGAGTTCCTTCATTTCCTTGTTAGCTGTATTCTTTTTGTAGCAGTTTTGAATGGGAGTTCATTCATGATTTGGCTCTCTGCTTGCCTGTTGTCAGTGCATAGGAATGCTAGCAATTTTTGCACATAGATTTTGTATCCTGAGACTTTGCTGAAGTTGCTTATCAGTTTAAGAAACTTTTGGGCTGAGATGAGGAGGTATTCTAAATATAGGATCATGTCATCTTTAAATAAAGATAATCTGACTTCCTCTCTTCCTATCTGAATACTGTTTATTCCTTTCTCTTGCCTAATTGCCCTGGCCAGAACCAATACCATGTTGAATAAGAGTGGTGAGAAAGGGCATCCTTGCCTTGTACTGGTTTTTCAGGAGAATGCTTTCAGCTTTTGCCCATTAAGTGTGATATTAGCTGTGGGTTTGTTATATATGGCTTTTATTATTTTGATGTATGTTCCTTCAATACCTAGTTTACTGAGAGTTTTAAACATAAAGGGATGTTGAATTTTATTGAAGGCTTTTTCTGTGTCTGTTGAGGTAATCATGTGGTTTTTGTCTATAGTTCTGTTGATGTGAGGAATCACAGTTATTGATTTGTGTACATTTAACTAACCTTGTATCCTGGGGATGAAGCCAACTTGATCATGGTGGAAAAGCTTTTTGATGTGCTGCTGGATTTGGTTTGCCAGTATTTTATTGAGGATTTTTGCATCAGCGTTCATCAAGTATATTGGCCTGAAGTTTTCATTTTTGGTTGTGTCTCTGCCAGGTTTTTGTATCCGGATGATGCTGACCTCATAGAATGAGTTAGGAAGAAGTCATTCAATTTTTTGAGAATCATTTTCAATTTTTTGGAATAGTTTCAGTAGAAGTGGTGGCAGCTCTTCTTTGTACCTCTGGTAGAATTCACCTGTGAATCTGTCTAGTCCTGGGCTTTTTTTGGTTGGTAGACTATTTATTACTGTCTCAATTTCAAACTCATTATTATTGATCTATTCAGGGATTCAGTTTCTTTGTGGTTCAGTTTTGGGAGGATATATGTGTCCAGGAATTTGTCTACCTATTCTAGATTTTCTATTTTATGTGCGTAGAGATGTTTATAGTATTCTCTGATGGTTGTCTGTATTTCTGTGGGGTCAGTGGTGATATCATTTCTTATCATTTCTGATTGTGTTTATTTGATTCTTCTCTCTTTTCTTCTTTATTAGTATAGCTAGTGGTCTATCTATTTTGTTAATTGTCTCCAAAAACCAGCTCCTGGATTCGTTTATTTTTTGAAGGGTTTTTTGTGTTTCTATCTCCTTCAGTTCTGCTTTGATCTTGGTTATTTCTTGTCTTTTCCAGCTGTGGGGTTTGTTTGCTCTTGCTTCTCTAGTTCTTTTAGTCGAGATGTTAGGTTGTTAACTTGAGATCTTTCTAGCTTTTTGATGTGGGCATTTAGTGCTATTAAGTTCCCTCTTAACACTGCTTTAGCTGCATCCCAGAGATTCTGGTACATTGTTTCTTTGTTCTCATTAGTTTCAAAGATCTTGTTGATGTCTGCCTAAATTTCATTGTTTACCCAAGAGTCATTCAGGAGCAGGTTGTTCAATTTCCATTTGATGGTGTGGCTTTGAGTGAATTTCTTGATCTTGAGTTCTAATTTGGTTGTGCTGCTGTCTAAGAGACTGTTTGTTATGATTTTAGTTCTTTTGCATTTGCTGAGGAGTGTTTTACTTCTGATTATGTGATCAATTTTAAAGTGCCATGTGGTGATGAAAAGAATGTATACTCTGTTGTTTGGGGGTGGAGAGCTCTGTAGGTATATATCAGGTCTGCTTGATCCAGAGCTGAGTTCAGGTCCTGAATATCTTTGTTAGTTTTCTGTCTCAATGATCTGTCTAATATTGTCAGTGAGGTATTAAAGTCTTCCACTATTATTGTGTGGGAGTCTAAGTCTCTTTTTAGGTCTCTAAGCACTTGCTTTATGAATCTGGGTGCTCCTGTATTGGGTGCATATATATTTTAGTATAGTTAGCTGTTCTTGCTTAATTGAACCCTTTACAATTATGTAATGCCCTTCTTTGTCTTTTGTGATCTTTTTGGTTTAAAGTCTGTTTTGTCAGAAACTAGGATTGCAACCCCTTCTTCTCTGATTTCTATTTGCTTGGTAAATTTTCCTCCATCCCTTTATTTTAAGTCTATGTGTGTCTTTGCACGTGAGATGGGTCTTTTGAAGACAGCATAGTGATGGGTCTTGGCCATTTATCCAGCTTGCCTTTCTGTGTCTTTTAATTGGGGCATTAAGCCCATTTACATTTAAGATTAGTATTGTTATGGGTGAATTTGATCCTATCATCATGATGCTGGCTGGTCATTTTGCAGAATTGTGTATGTGGTTGCTTCATAGTGTCACTGGTCTGTGTATTTCAGTGTGGTTTTTTAGTGGCTGGTAACAATTTTTTCTTTCAATTTTCAGTGATTCTTTCAGGAGCTCTTACAAGGCAGTCCTGAGGGTGACAAATTCCCTCAGGATTTGCTTGTCTGTAAAGGATCTTATTTCTCTTTCACTTATGAAGCTTAGTTTCACCAGATATGAAGTTCTAGGCTGGAAATTATTTTCTTCAAGAACGTTGAATATTGGCCCCCAATCTCTTCTGGCTTATAGGGTTTCCACTGAGAAGTCCACTGTTAGTCTGATGGCTTTTCCTTTGTAGGTGATCTGGACTTTCTCTCTGGCTGCCCTTAACATTTTTTCTTTCATTTCGATTTTGGAGAATCTGAGGATTATGTGTCCTGGGGTTGATCTTCTCATGGAGTATCCTACTGGAGTTCTCTGAATTTCCTGAATTTAAATGTTGGCCTGTCTTGCTAGGTTTGGGAAGTTCTCCTGGATGATATCCTGAAATATGTTTTCCAACTTTATTCCATTCTCCCCATCTCTTTGAGGTACCCCAATCAGTCGTAGGTTCTGTCTCTTTACATAATCCCATATTTCTTGGAGGTTTCGTTTGCTCTTTTTTATTCTTTTATCTCTATTCTTTTCTGCCTGTCTTATTTCAGAAAGATAGTCTTCAAGCTCTGAGATTCTTTCCCCTACTTGTCTCCATTTTTCTCAGGAGGTATTTTAACAAAATTTAAAGGGATGTACCACACTGTTTACAATTACTGTGTATATTTGTGTTTACGTGTGCACGTGTGTGTACGATGAACCCAAGGAAAGCATATTCTAAAATAAGGACCAATAATATTATTTTCTATGATTTCTTCTTAGTACTGAACCCAATAAAGGAATATCAAGAATGTTTCAGACAGTAGGGTAAGATAGAGATAAATCCTACAATTGCCACTTATAATCTGGGTAACTTTGGGAAAATTACCTTTCTTTGAACTTATTTTATTAATTTTTAGAATGAGAATAATAAAAATACCCTCCTCATAGGACTGTGGTGAAGATTAAGAGAATTAATTAATATAAAACAGCATGGAGCCAAGCATATGGTAAGACCTTAAGGAATTTTATTTCATTAATTATAAAAGACACATTTCTCCCCTACATTTTAACATCTCCGTAGAGAAAATATGTCTTACAATTTATGTTCTTATAGTTGATGAAGCAAGTATTCTTATTTAAATATGATTTATAATCGAAACATAGTTTTTTGTTTTAAAATGTTAGAAATCAACACTATGAACTCAGATACCAATTCTCTCAGTGGGGATAGTTTGCAGTGAAGGAAATAAAATGGAGAAATTTGCAAATTAGGACAAAATTAATATGTGTTCTCTTTGAGTTTATTCATATTTATTCCACAAACATTTGAATGGATAACCATGTGCCAAATTCTGTGTAGGACAAATTTCACAAGATGAATAAAACGTAATATTTGTCTTCAAAGATCTAACACATGTTCATGGAAGACAACAGAACCGTATAAGTACAGCATCAGTTATAAGTACCTAAGCTAATTGTTTACATAGAAGAAAGACCTAATTCATAGGAGAGGAGAGGGTGGGGAAAGACAAAATGAAAGATGTGATTTCTAAATTAAGTCTCAACAGACTGGTAAAGTGAGCCAGGTAAAAGGTGAAGGGAAGTAAGCTCTAGAAGGAGGTAATACAAAAGGACTTGGGAGAAGAAGAGAGAAGAATCTTTCTTGTCCAAGAAACTACATGATATTTAATTTGGATGAAATATTTGCAGAAGGAGTAAAAAATCTCAGCTAGAAGTTAAGAAGGGTCAGCTCACGGAGGACCTTGCCTAGTTATGCTGATGAGCTTGAACTTTAGCAGGAGTTAAATGAAAATACTCTGAAACAGTTTAAAATGGAGGGGGTGATATACTCACAATTTTATTTCCAAACTGTTGTTCAGAGTGAATTAAAGTGGATAGGATCAAAGACAAAGAGGGCAGTTAGGCGCTTATTGTGATCATTATTAATAGTGGTATTGGAGATGTAGTGAAATGGGCGATTATGAAAGTGATAGAATCTATAGGACTTGATGATTAATGGAATGTGAAATAGAGAGAAGTTAAGTTGTAATAACCACATCTCAGTTCAAATGATAAACAAATGCCATGCAGATCTAGAGCGGGGGCCATTTGCCTGAGCCATTGTGCCTAACACAGTGCTGAGTCCACAATAAACCAATGCTAAACAGTTGTACATTGACATATCATCGATTCCTCTGGAAATTCTTTGAGTACTTCACACACAGATGTCCATATTGAATTAATACATAATTATCAAGAGAAAAAATATCCCTGAGTCAACATTCTAGAAATGTTCAAGTGTCTAGATTGGATTTTCTCATTGTCCTTTTCCATAACAACACAGTGACTTGGAACATAACATGACACTAAGAAATAGAAGAATAAAAAGGATCTTGAAGCAATTCCCTTTTATCTTGCTTTATTCTTAACAGCATTTCTCTGGTCTAATTCTTTTATGGTTCCAGGGAGAATTACATTTCAAATTCCATAATTGCACAGGAGAATTGGAGTCTTGTAAAAATTTAGAGTACTTCATTCAAAGGCAATTTTTATTATCAACTGAACCTATGCTGTGATGCAGCCAAAGAAATTGTTTAGAGCATCATTAAAATAACCTTTTTAATATGACTGCTTTCTCTTGAAAAAATGTAGCACCCTCTTATTTAATATTACCATATTACAATGGACTATATATTTGTTGAAAGTCTTATAGTATGGTATTTAGTATATTGAACCAGCACAAAATATACATGAACTTTATCAGTTTTCATTTTCCCTTTACAAACCAAGAACAATATTAAATGACATTTTATGACATTTGATAGGTATTTAAAATTTGTTATTGAGGTTCTTCAGTGAGCCATAAAATACAAGTGTAACAGTATGGCTGTGCTTTCATTATGAGAAATGCAAGCAGGAAGCATTTAAATCAGCACCATTTTCCATCAATGTCTTGCTCCTGATTCTCTGCCAAGTTCATTATCTCTTCTGTCCCTAAATTTGTCCATATGAAAAATTAGGAGAAAAAAGAATAAATTAATACCTGCCTCTAAAATGATCTGAAATCCAGGTATGGAAAATCTTATACAAGTTTAAAAGACTGGTTTATTCACTACTGTCCTCATTTGTTTGAACACACTACAATGTTCTGTGGGATAGTAGCTGAGAGACAAGCAATAGTCCTTTTCACACCTTCCATCCGTAAAGACAATTCTTTTATTTGCAGCTGAAGCTATTATATCCAGAGCCTATGGCTGTTTGGCTCTTTTAACAATGGAAATTTTAAAAGAGAAACAGCAGGTAAAATGTGAAAATGTCCTCTGGGATATTATTTTATTACTACATGTCCCTTATCATTTAGCAAACTAGATGCAATATAAAAAATTAAGTCAGTTTGTTTGGTGCCTGGTTGGCAAAAAATCAAATAACAGTTACTAAAGAAATAATGGTGAGCTAACCTAAACTCTGCGTGTGTGTGTGCGCGCGTGCCATAAAGCCAAGGTGGAGAGGTGAATGAAAAAGTCATTAGAGGAGAGGCAAAAGCCATATCGCTTGAAAAAAGCACCATGGTATCATGGTCGAAGAATGGGCTTTAGACGCTGGCAAGCTTGGGTTTCAATTATGGCATTTTGCAGTGTGCTATTTATTTCCGAGCATTAATTTCTACAATGAAAAAATACATAATTAATATCTCATAGGATTTGAAGGATCAAGTGAGATGACTGAAATAAAGTATGAATCCAGATGTCTGTCATATTAATTCTCTCTTTTAATCATGGGAGCTATTGACAATGCAAAAGGTACTCAGTATAGCACTAGAATGATAGTGTACCTCCCGAGATAATGTGTAAGGTCCTTCACTAACACCTTTTTCATAGGAATATTGTTGAGCTGCCTTCACACAGATAGAATATCTGGGTTACAACCACTTTGCAGAAAAGTTACCAGATATAGCTTTTTGAAATTTTCTGCCTGGGTTAAAATTACAGTCTTGTAGTAACTCTTTGGTGCATATTAGTAACTGCTGAACTGTGTGGTGTTGAGCCAATCACATTGATGGGAAAGGAAATTTAATGCATCAGACAAGGGAAAGTTACCACGGTTAGTTAGTAGACATAGAATGCTCTAAGTTAGTAAATTCATGGTAAGTTATGCAATAGAAGAGATCATAAATAACTAAATAACAGGGAAACTGCAAAAAGACTAGCAGAAGTTGGCTGGGCACAGTGGCTCATGTCTGTAATCCCAGCACTTTGGGAGGCCGAGGAGGGTGGATCATGAGGTCAGCAATTCAAGAACAGCCTGTCCAACATGATGAAACCCCGTCTCTACCAAAAATATAATAAATTAGCCAGGCATGGTGGCAGGCACTTGTAATCCCAGCTACTTGAGAGGCTAAGGCAGGAGAATTGCTTGAACCCAGGAGGCAGAGGTTGCAGTGAGCTGAGATCGCGCAACTGCACTCCAGCCTAGGCAACAGAGTGAGACTCTGTCTCAAAAAAAAAAAAAAAAAAAGACTAGCAGAAGCACATCAGTTATTATTATTCTGTAGGAGGTTCAACCAGAATCTATCTCTTTGCTCTCTATTATCTATAAGTCACCTTCTAGATCTTACAACAGGGGCAGAAGTACACCTCTCTGAAATATCCTTCTTACAACTGTAACTTATAGATTTGGTTTGGTGTCTACATTGCCAACATTACTTAAATGTTTACAATTCCACTGTGACCTGTTGTCACTATTACATTTCAGAGATGTATAAAAGAAATGTCCTCTTCTATGCAGGAATATTTGTATTTCATGTTGGAATTAAAACCCAGGCATGTTTTAGTGTACAGATAGGTACCCTTCTAAAATATTAAATCATTACCCCACAGCATGAATTAACCTTTGTGCCTCTGCTCTTATAACATCATTAACATAATCATGATAGGATATAAAACACTCATAGTTACCCTCACCCCTGCTCTTGGCTCTCTCTGAGGGAAGCCAGCTTCCATATCATAAAAAGAGGCCCATAAGGAAAAAAAATGGAGGCCTCTTGCCTGGAGCTAGGAGAATTAGCTGTCTGGGAAGTGGATGTTTCAGTGTCAGTAAAGCCTTCAGCTGACTGCTGCCCCATCTGCCATCTTGACTGCAACCTCATGAGAGACCACGAGCCAGAACAATCCCAGCCAAGACTCCCCAGGGTGCCTCACCTCAGAAATTGTGTGAGATAAATTTGTCATTTTTAGCTATTAACTTTTAACATTATCTGTTATGCAGCAATAAATAATCAATACAGGAGGGTCAAGGGGTCAAGTGTTTCTTGTTGATACCCAGAACACGTGAGATCAGGGAGTAAGTAACAGACCTTCTAGAACAAGGGTTGATTAAATCTAAGTCAGGAGAACAAGGCTCAATCAGTCAAGGGATCTTGGAAAGCAAGTGAAAGTTTGGAGAGTTGAGAACAAGGCCCTTAGAAGTGACTCATGGTGTGAATAAATTCCAGAGAGCAAGAGCAACTGCCTGCCTGGCTTCTTGCATTTTCACAGCTTGCATTTGGAAAGGGGGGCTTGGTGCATTCAAATGAATAAAAACAAGATGGTCATAACATATTATGAATACTGTCTGTATAGTCAGGCACCTTTCCCAAAGTAATAATTTGAAATAAAGATTCCATTGGTCAGTAACAGGCAATTCCCATTTTTGAGTGCTTTCGTGATGTGTTCAATATTCCCAGTTATTACTTCCCAGGCATTATGCTTTATAGAAAAGTACCTATTTTTTAATGACTGGATAAGCTGGGCCTTACAATCCACTTCAAACCTGTTGTTCTATTTGTCCATGAGTACACAGGCTGCTCTAGGCAGGAGGACATGAAACTACAAACCATTAAATGGTGATAATCTAAAAAACGTTAAGTAATTGTCTTGCAGACGTAAACTCAGAATAACATGCTATATACATCTTGGAGGTACCATGAAGGCATGGCCCAAGCTGTATATATGTATGCGTTTGTATAAATATACATATGCATGCAATCATATATACATATGCGTGTGTGTGTGTGTGTGTTGAGAGAAAGAGAAAGGAGAGATACCTAGCACAAGAACATATTTTGATAATTTAATTCACAGACATAAAAAGGAAATGTGGGCACTTAAGAGACTTTCACTTGAACGATATCGCTCCACAGTGAGGCCTTTGGGGAAATCTCTGCACACACTGCAAACACTGTTATGGTAGAAGGAAGCTTTCTTCTCCCTGTTACTATTAGAGAGTTTGTCACCTATCTTTGAGGCTCTTGGCCCATATCTAAGTATGAGGAAAGAAACCTTAGCAGTCTTTGATAGGCAGAGGATAACATTGTAAACCCTAGAGCTGTGTTTTAAGAGGAAGTTAGAACACCAGTAAGAGGAAGGTTTACATGTTAAGACAAACAGATGAACCAGCTGAGTAAATGTGGGACTTGAAGGTTTCCCAATACTCTCCAGCTCCAAGAAGAATGGACTTAATTAACTGAGAGCTGAGACCACACAGTGTGGGAAGAGCAGAGGAACCAGAAGGGGCAAGGTCAAGGGAGTGAATGGAAAGGAGAGATGCTGCTGGACTCTGTTGAACAAATGGGAGAGTATGTGTCTATTTTTGTAATCTATTAGTTACGATACTCTTAGATACAACAAGGAAAGTCAAATTCGGGTTTGTTGAAAGACATAGGAACTTTACTGGCTACCGTGAAAGGAGAGCCCCGTGGTAGATGGACATTAAGGCTGTACTGATTCTGTGGCTCAAAAGTATCACTAAGAGCCATATTCATTTTCGTGTCTTTGTCCTGCTCCTGCCTGCTATGGAACCAGCTTAATCCTAAAGCCTGGATCCCCATCAGAGTCACAGAATACAAAGCATTTGTATGTTGTATGGAGGAGGAGTAACTGTTCAAATAAAAACTGGGGAAGTCTCCAGGCAGGGGGGAAAGCAACTGTTTTTGTTGGAGAATCAATCACCTCCCCACACCACCCTCCACCTTCTCCTGCCCCTGTCCCAATGGCTGTATCATCCTATGGAGATACCATCTGCATATCCAATAGACAGAGTAAAACAAACAAACTCCTAGGTGTAGATTACTTCCCACCTTTCCAGGTATTAAAGGTATTTTATAGAAATATGTGTGTATGTATATTTTCCTGAAAGAGAGTAAAAATATTTGTCAGGAATTGAAAGAAATCGGTGATCCTAAAATGTCAAAAATCACAAAATTTTAGGTAAAGTTTCAAGATAAATTGGTTCTTACTTCTCTTCTATTGTTTCCCCAATTTACATCCACATCACAAACACAAGAACAACTCAAACCTTTTCCTTTTGTCATCCTACACCATGTCATGCCTCGGGTTATTTGACCACGTCACTTCCTCTGCCTCTTCTGCCTGGTAAGCCTTAACTCTGCCTTTATGACGGAATTCATGTACAGCCTCTTCACTGGAGCTTTTCTTTATTGCTTTCTCTTTGTGAACAGCAGATCCAGCTCTTTTGTACCATAAACGTCCCCTAACAATAAGCACATACTCCACAACATTGGTACTTTTTGTTTGCCTGTCCTACTCCCTAATGAGACTGTGAGGAATTTACACACAGGATTTGTGCCTTTCCTATTCGTCTTTTGGTGAGCTGTGCTGGCTTATGAAGCTGTTGTTCAGTGAACACACAACCATTGATAGGTGTGATTTTCAGCAAAGTGACAATAGAGAACGTGTAGGAGCTTTGTGATGGTGTACTAGTATCATTGTTATTATTATTATTATTCAATTTAAGAGAGGTTTTTCTCCTTGGTTAGGACCTGAAAACCTACAGGGCAATATGATAAAAATAAATCTCTAGATAAATGATGTGATCTTCTTTAATCTTGGGGATTCACACATCATGGCCCTGAAGCAAGCTAGTGAATGTAATTCTTAAGTGCTAACATTTGTGGAGTGCTTTCTATATGCCAGGTGCCATGCTTAATGCTCCACATTCATCATTCCATTTGATCTTTACAAAAATCTCAGGAGATGGGTTCCATTATTATTGGTCCCATTTTATAGATGAGAATGCTAGGATTTGCAGAGAGTATGTACATCATCCATGTCACACTATCTGTTCATTAGATGAGGCAGGATTTGAATTCAGGGCCCTCTAGCTATAATTAAGCCCTTCAGACCAGTTAAAGATTATGCTTTAAGGTGCTCTGTGTGCAAGGCAAAGCGCTATATAATTTATTATAAAATATTCTTTAACTCTTAACCATAATCTTGCAAGGTAGAAATTATTGCTCTCATTTTAAAGGTGGGGAAACTGAGTTTTAAAGAAGATAACTACATTTGCCTAAAAAGTATAATCAGTAATGTTAGTGCCACCCTTTGACAGAAGTTTATTTAATTCCTGAATTCATGTACCTTTCAATCGAAACCCAGGAAAAACGAGTGCCAACTACATCCAAGGAATTGTTGATGGGAATGGGGGGTGGGCAGTCCAGGAAAGCTGAGGCTGTTATGAGAAAATGTCTCTGCCTTGTGGGGACTTATAACACTGTCAAGATGGTAAAATCTGGTATTATAAAACAGGAATAGCATTTGAGGTCATCTATGAAAATAATGTGAAAAGCTAGCTACAAATGAAAAATTTAAATAACAAATCAGCGCAAGCCTAGAGAGATACCTCTGGATAGAAGGTGATTAATTCTCTAGTAAATTAGATGAATAATTATTGATATAGCCACTAGAGGAAGGGGGATTTGGGCTCCAAATTTACTCACTGTCTTTGAAGAAGCTGGTCCTCTGAGCATCTGTAAGTTACCTCACTGCAGTGTAATGTGATTGTCAATGTATTTATAGATCAACCACATTAGACTGTAAGTTACATGAGGGAAGGTGGGGCCATGTATTGTATTTTTGTTCTCAGAATTTGACCTAATTTGTTGTACTTAGTAGGTATTCAGTACAAATATATTGCATGAGTCTACCATCACTTCAACCAGGGGGGCATGGTCAGAAGAACCATCATACAGGAAGCAAGTTTTGAAGTGAGGAAATTTTTTTTTTTTGACAGTTTAAGATGGTATGGGAAGTCCCTTTAGGTGGATGAAATGGTGTGAGCCACTTGATGTTGTTGGGAGAGCATCACAGTGGGCGATCTCTATTCCTAGCATCTGCCTGGTCCACTGGTAGTGGGTGGCCATTGCTCTCTGGAAATGGACCTGCAGAGAGGGCACAGGCACCAGGAGATATCAGAGTGGCATTATATAATTTAAGATATTTAGCCTTGATCTTGAAAGATCACATGCTGCCCTGTTACCTCGTATACTTGGCTCCTTCTCCCTGGTCCATGAGGCCATTTGAAGACACTTAAAATGCCTATTTCATTCCTCACTGCACCTATGGCTTTATATTGCCTTGTCATATTCAACGCTGATGCTGTGGTCTGCACACGTATAAGTCACAAGGATGCCTTCTGGCATTTATCAGGCACAGGTTTCTTGGATCCATCCTGGATTCTGCCTCTTTCCTAAGAACAGAGTATGGCTCTGAAATGGATGCTAACCTCAGACCAACCAGCTGAGTGGATGGAAAGGAGCCAAAGGAAAACCCCAGAAGATAGTCCAGAAAGAAGATGGAGGCTCTTATGTCTGTGTTGTTCACATCAAAATCTTCACTTTCTTTGTACCTTGAACAATTTGGAGTCCACTTTATCTTGAACCTACATCCAAATACCTCTGTATTAGGGTGAGCAGGGTGGGAAGAAGGGGAGGGGATATACATTGGCAGAGAGATGATCTTCTCCTGGAGGTTGTAGTGTGTCACCAAGAAAGTCATTGCATTGCCGGTGAGATTCAAATAATTAAAGTATATGTGAAATCACTTTCAAAAAATTCTATATGGAAAGTTATATGTTGTAATTAAATGGTTTTATTGACATAGAGTTTTACATTAACGAAGCATTCTTTTTCAAAAAAAATAATATATCTAAATCTTTTTCTCAGTTAAGAACTATGCTTCTTGTTCTGGGGAAAACAAACCACTTTTATTTACAGGAGAAACAAATATACTTTTTAAAAATCCAGAAAATTGTAAATAGGCTAGCAGAGCTGCTAAACACGCATAAGATCACAATTGTGATTTTACAATACATCTTAATAAAAAGAGTAAATTACTTTTCATTTTCACAGACATAAGTTTGTTTTTAGGCTTTCCCAAGTGGATTGATACACTTGTTTGAATGTGATTTCCATTTACCTTTATATTAAAATAAATGGAAGTGAAAAGGTCAAGTTTATTCAGAAAATTGTTAGCTATCCTTGGGAAAAACTAATTCAGCATGTGTGATTTTAATCAATTTTCATTCATTGTTAAAGTTCACACAAAGTTTAGCTTGATGTCCATAGGAAATGGAAGTGGTGACTGGTATATCAGGCACGATAAGTATACCAAATCTGAAGTCCTCTAGATAGTATGGTTAATAAAGCATATTTGTCTGGTTCCATAAAATAGAAATGTTGAAACTAGAAGAGCTGCTGGGTTAATAGGAGCATTTTCAATTCTCAATCTTCATTATTCTCAATGCCAAGAGGGAAAATTTGACTCAAACACACTGTTTGGGCTGTAAATCAGAGTAGTTACAGGGTGACTTGGGACCAGCTATGAAAGAAAGAACCCAGAAGTGGGTGATATGAGGAAATATATGCCCCAAAGAAGGGATTTGGGCCTTTTTCCTACTGCCTCCCACAGAGCCGGGCTGTACCACATGCTTTTCCAAATTTTCATTTAGCTCCCTTTATGTGCTAGGGATCATCAGGGCAACAGGGCAAGGCTGGATGATGTTATGGTGTTATAAAGGTTAGGAATAAGGCAATGCTCAGAATGATGTATTTCAGAAAGGACTACATGCCCATAAATGCAATCTAGATAAAGATGGGATTAGGCACTGAAGCTGTAATTGTGCTGGTGATAGACATGCCAGCAATAGCAGTGGTGTTGGTGATAGACAATCAAAGATGGAAAGGATCCGTGTGGCCTGAAATAAGATAGATTGGGGAGAAGGAAGGTCTTAGTCTGATAGTGAAGTAAGGAGAGGGATTGAACAGGCTGATTGAATGATCATTCCAGGCCTCAGTAGGGATGCAGAGATAGGGACGCTATGTGATAGATGTGTGTAGATACTAGCCTATTCTGCTACAGCCAGTAGGAATGTTATGTTTTGACATATTTGATTGACAGATGCAAGTTGTACCAGACTACACAAACCAAATAGTTAATAGTTATCTCAAAAGAGGATGTTGACAGATTTCAACCATTTGCAGGGTCATTATGGCCCAACCTTTGGAAAATTACCATTGGTATCCCTCAATAATATTATTTTGCAATTTGGTTTTTAAACACTCTCTCTCCCTTTTAGGTAAGTGTGTACAGGTGCATATGATAGATTTCAAATGTGAAGTATACCTACAGGGTGAGAAATGTAATGGACAAAATGGGGGGTTATGGACTGAATTGTATCCCCTGAATAATTTATATGTTGAAGCTCTAACCTCTGATATGATTGAATTTGGAGATAGGGTCTTTAAGGAGGTAATTAAGGTTAAATGAGGCTATAGTGGTGGAATCCTAACTCTATAGACTGGTGTCCTTATAAGAAAAGGAAGAGAGAGTGCACATCTATAGGAAAGACTATCTGAGGACACAGTGAGAAGGTAGCCATCTACAAGCCAATGAGGGAGCCCCTCCCCAAAACCAACCCTGCCAATGCCTTGCTCTTGGACTTCCAGCCTCCAGAATCTTGAAAAATGTAATTTATGCTGTTTAAGTCACCCAGTATATGGTATTATGTTATGGTAGCCTGAGCAGACTAGAACAAGGGGCCATGGTCAAATAGTAATTCTACAATGGAAGAAAATTGAAAGCCACATTGAGCTGGACCTCTTCATAGACCCAACTGGAGAGCCATGACTTTGTCAAGAGAATGGAGAAAATTCTTATCCTAATATGACATAATCTTTTAGCCCAGTACCTTTTAAATAGCCTTGTTATACTGGATGTACTATAAATTTATCTTAAATTTATCACTTTTGGGGGAGGATGTTCTAAACTACATTTTTTCATAAGTTTATGAGAACAAAAGGAGTAGAATATGTAGATAAGTATATATTCATAAGATGTATATTATGTATATATACATAAGAATATGTATGTGTATATATTTGTTCCATCTTAACTTTTCCATAAAGAATTTATAACTCACATCTGTCTTAATTTACTTTCCTTGATCACCGTGTCTATTAGTTGCCAAAAGGAAATGGAAAACACCAATATATCTTGTTATGTTTATACTGAGAATATTCTGTCAAATTGGTTGGAAAAAAACTAGAAAATACAAAGTCCTACAGTATCAAGGATTTAATAACTATTGAATGTATAAATGATAAAAATAAAAAGAGACCATGAGGACAAAAAAGGGAGAGGAGAGTATACCAGCTAGGATGCTATCAGTGGCAAGTAATAAAATATCCAGTATAAGCAGACTTAAATAATATAAGGCTATATTGCCCTAATTACCAAGAAGATTGAAACTATGCTTCAGGTGTGGGTTGATCATGGTGGCAATTCCTTATCTATATTATTTGCCCAGGTCCATGTATCAGCTTCATCCTAAGGCTGGCTTCTCTCATGGTAGCAAAGTAGCTCTATTTGTTCCAAGGGTTCATATGAATATTCCACACTGACAGGAGGAGAGAGTGTCATTGTTTAGTAGGTTTATGGAGTTAACTATGCTGCCCCCATGGGCCATTTTTCTACTTTATGCAGACTAGCCTTCTAAAGAACCTAGCATATTTGAGGAGTAACTTAAATTACAGTGCAAGTTCTAAGTCAGTGAAAGAGCTGCCTGGCCATATCTTTTGATTCCAAAGTTCTGTAGGACAGAACCAGCACATTTTACAAATTGGTTTAGAATTATACAAGCCTGTCTGGTGTATTATGGGGAGAGGTGTCCCTGATGGGGCCTAACTGGAAAGAGAGACAATAAGATCTTGTATTGGCACCCAAGTTGCTGAAATAAATGACCAAAACCTTGATTGTTTAAAATAACAGTAATTTACGCTTTCACAGTTCTGGAAGCCAGAATTCAAAAATAAAGGTGTGAACAGGGTTGGTTTCTTCTGAAGACTCTAAAGGAGAATATATTCCATGCCTCTATCTTAGCTTATGGGTGATTTTGGTAACACTTGGCATTTTTTGACTTGCAGACACATCCCTGCAATTTCTGCCTTCATCTTCACATGGCCTTTCCCTCTAGGTCTCTGTCTTCTTTTATATCTCTTATAAGAACATTTCACTGGATTTAAAGCCCATTCTAAATCTAGAACCACATCACCTTGTGATCGTTAACCTAATTATATCTGCAAAGACCCTATTGCAAAGTAATCTCACATTCACAGGTATTGAGGGGTTAGGAATTGGATCTATCTTCTAGTATCCACTGTTCAACCCACTACAGATCTCTTGGAGAAAATTAGCATGAGTGAAGGTCCAGGCAGTGGAGGAGCAGAGTTTCTAGGCACATCTTAATTCTGGCAAAAAGAAGAGTGTCATTTAAAGCAGCATTCTCCCAAGGAGGGGGATGTGAAAATATGTTGGAACTTCTCTTTATAATTTTCTTCATCTAAGGAAATAAGAAATAAATAATTTTTCTAATATTGGGCATATAGATGGATACCATGGCCCTCCCTGGGTCTGTGGGTCATGCAGGTACATGTCAGGTACAAGAGGCATCCTGACTTTGGGAGGGGGATGCCACACAGATGTGGGGCTGACCGTCACACGCTTTTTCATCCTTTTGTTTTCTGTGTTTCAGGATCCATTGCTGTTTACATGGGCCCATTAAATGGAGTTATGACTATTTTCTAGTTTATGTAAGTTGACCTTCACAAGACGAACAATTACCTTTAAATATTGTTTCTGACTAAAGACAATACTAAGAATGCATTAGTAATAGAGAAAAAATAGGAAGAGCTGACACTTCTACACTTAAGTGGACTCTTATCAGCCCAAGTAGGAGGTAAAATTATGGTAATCTAATCAGATATAAGAAGCATTTAGATAACCAAATTTCAAATTATTAGACAGCTAATATTTGTATTATGAATTTATATCCACTGTTGTTAGTTGTTACCATCACTAAAGTCCATGATATGTATCGAGACAGTAGTTATTAAAAGTACATATTTGGGGAATGTGAACTTAAACATATTTTATTAATGGAGCAAAATTTTTAAACTTTGGAGGCCATTGGTTTCATGGAAATAACCGTGCATCACTTGGGGCTCAATAGCTTTACTTGAAAATCCCACTAAAAAGTGAGTCATGAGAGTCTTGCTAGCCCTTTGGGTGACAAGAGAACAGAACCATAGGTTAGCAATGCAAGGTAGGTCAGAAATTAGGTGCCCAGCTTAATTTCTGTTCTGCTTAGCTGCTGTCTGTTCTGCTATCCAATGCCAATCAAGTAGAGCAATGGCCAGAGTAGTGGAGCGACAGATTCTACTTATATGTGATAATTCACCATCTCCAGCCTCTTAAGCAGAATTCTATGCACCAGTGTCAGTTATGGAAAGGGGAACACTGTATACAAATTTCCAATCCCAGGGGGACTCTAAAACCTCACCAGTTTCTACAAAGGTTTCTAAGTGTGGAAGGAGGTTTTTCACAAACCCAGCTGCCAGAATTCTACAAGAGTTCTTGACTCTGGCAGGGACTCAAAGGAGACACGGCTGCTTCAGGGGTCATACCTCTACTACTTGCATTCTTAGCTCCAGTTTGGTAAGAAAGAATAATGATAGGAGTCAGGCAAAGCAACTTTATTATTCAAGGATAGGCAGCTAAAACAAACAAACCTAGAATCCATGCTGAGTCAGTTCCCCGAGTCTCAGGAAAGTTGCCCAGGGCAGGTGGAGCCTTATCTGTTCATGCCCACTTCATACTGCAGCTGAGGGACACCAAAAGCAATCCACTATGGGTTTTACACCCTGGTTGCCCCTGGGTTGCTGAGCACAAGCATTGCAGGATATCCTGTTCCAGGAGGGATGACAAAGCCTGGGCTATTCTAGGTGGTTTCTCCTTATGTCAGGACACTGTATCCTCAGCACATGCTACAGTTTTCCCAAAAACTACAGCAGAAGGGGGAAGAACTGGGTCAGCCAAGGCTCTCTGGGGCCCTGTCTTCCTGCACACATTCTTCCCCTGTTCCCACCACCGGCACTTACTAATTGACACTATAGACAGAAAACTGAGCACCTTGGTCTGGAAGGAGACAGTGCTCCAGAGGAATGTTTTGTAGTTTGGTTGCAACTGTGGCTCAGGTGTACATCACTGTGGTAAAAAAAAGGAGGAAAGAAAAGCAAGAAAACAGAAAAGGAAGAACGTGAAGCTAATGTTGGGTGTCAGAAAAGTCCTAACAGCATTCCTTTAACTCGTTTACTTTTGTTTGTTTTTGTTTTTTGTTTTTTGTTTTTTTTGAGATGGAGTCTCACTCTGTTGCCCAGGCTAGAGTACAGTGGCACAATCTTGGCTCATTGCAACCTCTGACTCCTGGGTTCAAGCGATTCTCCGGCCTCAGCCTTCTGAACAGCTGGGACTACAGGCACACTCCACCTTACCCAGCTAATTTTGTATTTTTTAGTAGAGACAGTGTTTCACTATGTAAACCAGGCTGATCTCGAACTCCTGGCCTCAAGGGACCCACCCGCCTCTGCCTCCCAAAGTGCTGGGATTTCAGGCTTGAGCCACAGCGCCCAGCCCCATTGCTTACTCTTTCACTGCTCTACCTCTTATCACAAGAAGCTGGCCCTTCAAGCCAAGCCAATTCCCAGGCTCCTATGTCAGCTGCTTGCATTTGACCAAAGGGAGGCATTGGCAGGAGATTGGAGGGAAGAAAGACAGGAGGAGCCTGGGTACTTTCTTCCCCTCTCTGAGTCTTAGGTGGCAGCTACAGTGCTACATCTCTTCCGTGATCTACCTATTGACATCCAGGTTCATTTTGATTTCATTGGCCTCTTTCCTCTCTCTCTCCAGCCTAGGTGTGGAAGCAGCCTTCTGCTATTTCTGATCTCTAAGTGACTTCCCTGACTCATTTTTGGCTTGTCAACTTCTTAATTCCCTGTGTAAAAAATGCCCTTAAATTTCCTTTATTTCAATACAATAACTAATTTCTGTTTTCCTGGTTGGACACCAACATATCCTTTAAGGTAGAAGTAGATAGGTGATCATCATTCAAATTTTATATTTTATTACTTAATTGCATGGTGTTTTCCATTTGCCTATGATTTTATTTTTTAGCTAAGATATGTTCTATACCTTTTCCCCTTTGCCTTATGAAACTGCCAAGAACTAATTTCATTTTTGATGTCCTGAAGGGATATTATTAGAAAAGGGATGGAGCTGATTGATAAAGCAAAAATACAAATTTATAATTGGTGAATTGCAGATCGATCTATATGATGGGAATACGTTCTAATAAGATTTTTTTCTCTCATTTCCTCCTTGCAGATGGATCCCTGAAAGCCTATTATCTTTAATATAAAATTCTTATTTATTATCTTTTAAAGGTTTGGAAGGATGAGAGCTTTAAGGGGAAATTGAGTAGAGAATGAGATTAGGAAAGGATTTCATGCAGAGAAAGAAAGATATATAATGCAAACTATGCTATGGTCTTTGCATATGCAAACAAAGCATCTGACCTACTTTCAGGAGGCCACACTCTTTTGAGCTTTTCCAGTAATTCATTCTCTCTTCCCACCAACTCTACCCTGTTAGAATGCAAATAGTTAGGACTGTAATGTGGGGCATGGTATAGAATAGATGTTGACAAACTACTAAGGCCTGTGGGCCAAATCTAGCTCACAGTCTGTTTTTGTAAATAAAGTTTCATTAGCACATACCTATGCTTAATTCAAGTGCTTATTTTCTACAGCTTCTTACATGCCACAAAGGCGGATTTGAGTAGTTGCAATAGAGACAATGAACCTGCAATGTTGAAGGTATTTGCTATGTAGATCTTTATGAAAAACTTTGCTAATCCCTGCTATACAATAAGTTGCTTGCTTTTAAGAGGATTACTATGATCTTTTTGCTTTTCAGGTGAAACATTTCTGGAGCACCTACTGTGTGCTAAGTACTGGCTAGATGCTTTATAGAATAAAAGCACAGGCCGGGCATAGTGGCTCATGCCTGTAATCCCAGCAATCTGGGAGGCCAAGGTGGGTGGATCACTTGAGGTCAGGAATTTGAGACCAGCCTGGCCAACATGGCAAAACCCCACCTCTACTAAAAATACAAAAATTAGCTGGGTGTGGTAGCACATGCCTGTAGTCCCAGCTACTTGGGAGGCTGAGACAGGAGAATCCCATGAACCCAGGAGACGGAGGTTGCAGACAGTTGAGATCATGACACTGCACTCCAGCCTGGGCAACAGAGCAAGACTCCGTCTAAAAAAATAAAAAAAATTAAAAGCACAGATATGAAATGCAATTAAATTTTTCATGTAGTAGGATAAGAATGACACCTGCAAATTTAGGTTAGACAAGGGAATAACATGGATGCTTAGAAGATACAGACAAGGGTTGTTCCAGATGACAAAGAAACTGCTTTCGACTAAGATAGAGAACACAACAGCAGGGGTTAGGATTTTACTTTCTTTTCAAACCAGGAAAGACAAGAGAATGCCATCCTCCTGTGTGTATGGAGAAAACAAAAGCTGAACACAGTTATTTGTGCTTTAAGTTCAGCCTGTTGGACTTCATACACTTTCAAGGAAAGCAGGGCAAGAAAAAAAAAGATTAAGGTCAGGAAAAAGGCAGTTTTTGGATGATCATCAATTCATTTACCCATTTACCCATCAACGTTTGAGTGCCCTTTCTTCCAGGCATGGTATGACATGCTGGGCATAGACAATAATTGTAGCAGAGGAGGTTCCTGCCCCCAGAAAACTTTTATTCTGGTGGGTGGCACAGGGTGAATAGATATAATACATACTTCCAGCTCAGCAGACTAACAAGGATTTTTATCTCAGAAGAAGATTTAGGAGGATCTTTAAATAAAAGTGCAAGGAGAATGTGTTGAAGATTCAGGGGAGTGGAGAGTTTGAGAAAATGGGTTCAGGATCCAGCTGCCTGGGTTACAATGGGTGGCCCTTTAGGGTGTACAGCTCCCCTTTTTGGGAAGTTACTGAGTACCTCTGTGTTTCAGGTTCCTCATCTTTAAACTGGGATGATAATAGAATGTACTCATAAGACTGTTGTAAGCATTAAATGAGGCCATGTCTGCAAAATGCTTAAAGTAGTCAGTGCTTGGCACATAGTAGGAGCTATGATGTTTACTAATAGAAGAACCAACCTGACCCTTTGTTTTTACTCTGAGACTGTCCACGTTTTAATTATTTTTTTTTTGTGATAGTTCCAATAGGATAAGTGAACAAGTCTAAGAAGAGAGAACTGTTTTGTTCTTTTTTATATTTTAAATGAAAGTACTTGAGGGTCATAAAATGAAGCTAGCAAGAAGTTATAATTTAATTAGCATGCCATTGTTTATCTACTTCATCTGGAATAATTAACTTCATGTATACAAGACTGCTGCTTCCAAAGATCTCAAAATATTTTCTTTGAAAAATGCAATTTTCCACTGAAATATGTAGAATAGAAAGTCAAATTATAATAATTATCATCATCAAATATTTATCAAATGGTTATGATATACCAGTCACAGAAAGTGGTCTTACACATTCTGGCTGGGCACGGTGGCTCACAACTGTAATCCCAGCACTATGGGAGGCCAAGGTGGGCGGATCACCTGAGGTCAGGAGTTCGATAACAGCCTAGCCAACATGGTGAAACCCTGTCTCTACTAAAACTACAAAAATCAGCTGGGCGTGATGGTGCATGCCTGTAATCCCAGCTACTCGGGAGGCCAAGGCATGAGAATTGCTTGAACTCAGGAGATGGAGGTTGCAGTGAGCCGAGATCATGCCACTGCACTCCAGCCTGGGCGACACAGTGAGACTGTGTCTCAAAAAAATAAAATAAAATAAAGTAGTCTTATATATTCATTAACTCTTTTCCTTAATTTTGGAAATCCATAAAGCTGATATTTTATCCCCATTTTTCAAATGAGAAAGCTCAGATGGGCAAATAGCTCAGATTCTATTCCTAAATCACACTAGACATGAGGTAGGACTCCTTCCCAGGGCTACCTGACTCCAAAGTGTGTGGTCCTTCCTCTTTCTTATGTGATATGGTCTCAAGGACACATTGAAAGTTGACATTTAGAACACCTACTTCATCTTCTTTCAAAAAGAAAGCATTAGTAGGCAAAATTGTAAAATGTATCCATCATTTTATCAATCATAAAAGCATTACATATTTATTACAGAAATTTTGAAAAGTTTAGAATACTATGAAATAGATATACATCAGCCATTACCCTAGCCACTAGAAATATCCATTTTAATTATTTTATATATTTTCAAAATTTCTTTTTATACAAACACATACACTTCTAAATGGTTTCCTACTACATTATATGGTAAGTCAGACTTCAAATTTAACATGCCATTTAGAGTTGTATAATATTATTTCAAAGTCTACATAGAATATTTGTATGGCTGTAGTACAATAACACTTAAGCAGATACCTTGAGTGCTTCTAAGTTTTTACAATTATAAATAATTTTGTAACCAAATTCTTTTTTTTTTTTTTTTTGAGTTTTGCTCTTGTTACCCAGGCTGGAGTGCAATGGTGTGATCTCAGCTCACTGCAACCTCTGCCTCCTGGGTTCAAGCGATTCTCCTGCCTCAGCCTCCTGAGTAGCTGGGATTACCGGTGTCCACCACCACGCCTGGCTAATTTTTTGTATTTTTAGTAGAGATGGGGTTTCACCAGGTTGGTCAGGCTGGTTTCAAACTTCTGACCTCAGGTTATCCAACCCCTTCAGCTTCCCAAAGTGCTGGGATTACAGGCGTGAGCCACCGTACCCCGCCTAATTTTGTAATAAAATTCTGACGCAGTCTTTCAGTCTTTTATTATTTCCTTAAAATAAAATGACTGGGTTAAAGGGTAAAATTATTTTAGAATTGCTGATATGTATAGACAGACTGTTCTCCAGAAAGAATACAACTAAGTCAATGTCAACTTAGCTAAAGCCCTATCGGAAAATAAAAACATCGATATACTTTCCTCACTTAACCATTAGGCACCTTACTAATTTTCAGGTTATATTTGGCACTGAACTGAACAATACAAAAATACTTTGAGCAGTATGTCACTCACCTTCTAACTTTCAATGATATATGATCCAAGATAAAATCATTCAATCTATGATTCCCACACTCAAGAAATGTTTGCTTGCCCATCATTTTCAAAAAGAAAAATAATAAGGATGGGTGCTAAAAGTACAAATTTGGCTGGGCGCAGTGGCTCATGCCTGTAATCCCAACCCTTAGGGAGGCAGAGGTGGGCGGATCACCTGAGGAGTTTGAGACCAGCCTGGCCAACATGGTGAACCCTTGTCTCTACTAATAATACAAAAATAGCCGGGCGTGGTAGCACATGCCTGTAATCCCAGGTCCTCGGGAAGCTGAGGTATGAGAATCTCTTGAACTCAGGAGGCGGAGGTTGCAGTGAGCCGAGATCGCACCATTGCACTCCAGCCTGGGCTGCAGAGAGAATCCGTCTCAAAAAAAAAAAAGAAAAAAATAAAATAATAAATAAATAATAAAAGTAAAAATTTTAGACTTTGCATGTGTTCCTGAGTGGATTTGTGTTTGTGTGTGTGTGTGTGTGTGTGTGTGTGTGTGTGTTTGCGCGTGCGTGCGCTCATGAGTGTGTCTGTGTGTGTTGGGGAAGGTTGAGGTGTAGTGATGTGGAGTATTCTCGGGAGTTTCCTAAAGTCATGAAATCTATGAACATGACAAGCATGCTGGGTATAAAGGCATCTCCAGCAACATAGTGGCAGCCAAAGTTTTTTATAGGAAAAATAATCTGCTTCCCAAAAAGTAGAAATTAATTTCAAAGCAACATTTTATAATTCTACACTTTATTAAATTAATACTTATACCTTGGAAATAGATAATCAAGTTCTGAACCATGTAGCACTGAAACACTAGTGAGAGCTGATGATGACAGAGGAGGGCCTTTGCCTTCTGTGACAACAAAAGCAGGAACAAAGAGAAGCAGACAAAAGAGTGAGTGATTCAGTCACACTGATGGCTCTAAACGGAGAAAAGCCTAAACAACACTCTTAGGAAGGAAATGAGGATGAGCTTTCTTGGCCCAAAAACCTGGTCTGGCTCCTTGAAAGTTCTTGAACCAAGTTCTAGTTTCTGAAAAGCTCATGGCATATTTAGGGTTTGGTTATTTTTCTGAGACTATTTGTAAGGTTCTCTCTGGGTTTCTTTGAGACCTAGATTATGTTAAATCTCCATTACTTGACACAATCCGAGTAAGTCTATGATTGTTTTTTTTGTTATAAAAATAAACTAATACAGCAAAATGATTTCTGAGGGTTCTGAAGTATCAGACTTTTCCACATCATGTGATATTAGATCATTAGGAAGACTGGACAAATAAACAAAGAAAGAAACAAAAGAACAGCCACTGAGAATGAAAAAGAGAAAAACATTGATCCTGTTTCATAATGGGGTTGCTGTCTCCCTAGAAAGACAAAAGTCGCTTGAAAGAATCCTTTTCAAGTTAAAATCATGAGTGTATTAATATTATGTCACATTTCCTAGTCTCTACCTATCTGAGCTCCTGAGAACCATATAGAGATTTGACAGCAGAAACAAAAAATTACAGGACCATAAATCTTTCTGTTATCTGTGAGCAGGAAACAGGCTCTATGAAAGGATGACAAGAGGCCCTGATCCCACTTGAAATTAAGACAGTAATTAAGCACCAAAATAAAGGTAACAATTGAGAAGAAAATGTCCTCTAGTGGAAAATTCTCATTAATTCAATTTGTATTGATATAAATAATGTTCCTCAACTTTCTTTTGAATGATATATAGTCTTTTAATGGCCAGGTTGTCAGTGGAAGGAAAACTAATACTTTATTCGTTGAAGAGGTTCAAATAAGCAAGGATCATCCTCCATGGTTGAAAATGAAAAAAAATCAATATTGATGTGTTTAAGACACTCTTTTCCACAGTTGTTGAAATAACTTTGAATGTCTCATAAAAGACAAATATTTTATTCTAGGAAAAAATTCTAAGACCTTTTACTACAAATAATCTGAAAAATATTAAGCCTAGGTACCACTATCTGCCTACTGAACCTCCCTGAAATAAAAAAAAAGTACATGTTGAAAATGAAAATTTATTATTAGAATAAAGCTACTGTTAATCAGAATGCAGCTAATCAGAATTTTTAGTTAATTTAAGAAATTAGTTTGTTCCAGTACAAAAAAGCTGGGTACACAGTCACACAGAGACACACACATCCAGACATCACCTCCCACACACAAAAAGATATGGCTGGTATATTGATTAATGGATGACTATTAATATATAACTAAATATTTATATGTATCACTAAATAATATACAAAATGAATCAAAGTACTTTGTCTTATGATATGATCAAGGACATAATAAATATGAGCGAGTGAGCAAAATTAAAAAACAACTCAAGATGCTACCAGATTACCAAATAAGTGGTGTCAATACCTGGTTTTTATACTGGACTTGAAACACATCAAAAATAGTGTGCTAATATTAGCAAAATTTCTAAAGGAAATGATTGTCTTTTTTTTAAAAAAAAAACAAACGCACTTAAGACTTTTAGAAAATCAGTCAATCAGCTGGCCTCCCAAATATTTAGGAAAATAAATTTAAAGTGAAGACATGAATGCTAGGAAATATAAGAAAGAAAATTTAAAAGGAAAAAATAAGAAATTTTAAAAAATGAAATAAATTAGTATTACAGCTAGCCTGCTTAAAATTGCATACCGAAATGTTTGATATAAAGACTAAGTTTTTGGTCATGTATGACTTGGTGAAAGTTTAATGCCTTTAATATAAACAGCAAACACTATTCCATGTGAAGACGTGAACTAAAACACATCCTGTGTCAACCACATATTGGGTTGTCTCTTTCTTAGTCTTCCACATCTAAACCCGAAAACAATAATGTAATACCCTATAGCATCTTTTTTTATCCAATAGAACTTTATCCATATACCAAACTGTACACAGGAAACTGGGCTTCGTAAAATACTTTATGTAGGACAAGAAGGAAAGTAGACCACAACTCAGTTATATAGCAGTTTCACCTAATTGGGCAGTCCTTCTTTGGGTGTTCTAAGCAACATCTTGCTGTATACAAACAAAACTACAATCTTGATTATGTTCTTAACTGGTTGATCTTCCTTGTTCAAAAGATAAAGTAGATAATTTGTAAGATCTCTAAAAACCATAGTATTTTAGAAGTGTAAGGTTGATCTTCCCTGTTCAAAAGAGAATGGGTTAAAGTGGATAGTTTATAAAGTCTCTAAAAATCATAGTATTTTAGAAGTGTAAGGATCCACTATTTGAGGAAGGGTAACCAGTTATTAGCATCATTAACTCCATTTTATACTTGACCCAATATATTGAAGACAGTTGCCTACAATGGCACAACTATCACATTTCTTCAAATATAAGACGTACACAGCTTTAAAACAAAGAAACAAAACTGCCACTTGAGGAGTGGAGAAGACTCGTTACAGAGCCAGTGCTGCCTGTGCCTTTGGAAGTAAGCCTTGCACAGAGGGTTCATTCAATCATCAACGCAGTTAATTTTCCTGGCAGAACCACAGTTATATCTTAACTTAAAATTGTAATGGAAATGTACATTCCCGTTAAGATTTCTTCAAAAACTTCCATTAGGAGACGACTTTGCAATAAAAGGTGACTGCATATGGAGAAGACAGCATGCCACATGCCAGGGAAAACAAAGGCCATAGAAAGTGTCAGATCCTTCAGAGTAGGTCTGCGAATTCTCAGAGACTGTTTTGTGATTGATCTATGTGTCACAAAAGACTCTCACTTAGACACAGAGCATCTACTTGTCAAAAGCATTTTGCTGCTATACCAGAAAAGCTATTTAACTTAATTTTTAGAAATATATCATTAAATCAAAGAAAGACAAATGAAAGTAAAAATTTTACCAACTAGGAAATGAAGAGGAAACCCTGAAATTGTTCAATACAACATTACTTTTAAAGCAGTTGAAAAGGTAAAGATTTATAATTTAGGAGACTCAAAAACAGATTGGCTCCGTAAACCTTTAAAAATAATGTATAAGGTTTGCTAGATTATATTCTTGGAGAATTTTTAGATACTTGATGTTGCTACAGAAAATAAAAATAGTAGCCATGTAATGAATGCCATAATCAGCTAAAGAAACACCCAGTACCTCCCCACCAGTACCTCCCTTCTACTGATGCTATTATTAAATTGATGGTGAGTTTTACATAAAATAGTAATTTAGGATTAGAGAAAACAGTACTTGATGATAAAGCTGGAACTAGAAATTCAGGGCTTCAAATTTCACATCCAGTGAACTGCTAAAGACTTTTATAACTACTCTGTATTTACAAAGAATCTTATATACATATCTCACACTTCTGATGAGACATATTGTAAGAAACTATTGCTATTTTTTAACAAACTTTTGATATTTGCTTAGTTGTATTTATTACTATTCTGATACATAGAACTAGAATTGGAGAAATTATCTCTTTCTATGTTTCTGGAAAGGCTTGTACCATCTCAGAATAGTTTGTTATCTAAAATAATAACAAAAAAAAAACAGGGACTCCATAGTTCAACATAAAAATGAAAGTTAGTGGTTTTCAAATATTACATCTCTCTATAATAGCTATCATTACCTTTTGATTTCCCTTTGTCATTTGTGTAATATATATCTCCAGTCCTATAGCCTTCAATATGATAGCAACTAGCCATATGTGGCTGTATAAATTTAAATAATTGAAAGTAAAAATTTAATTCTAGCTGAGGCAGGAGAATCGCTTGATCCTGGGAGGCGGAGGTTGCAGTGAGCTGAGATCACCCCACTGCACTCCAGCCTGGGCGAGAGTGAGAGACTCTGTTTGAAAAAAAAAAAAAAAAAAAAAAAAATTAGTTCCTCAGTTGTGCTAGCTGCACTTTCAGTCCCTAGTAGTCACATGTGGCTAGAGGCTATTGTATTGGATAGATATAGATTGTTTCCATCATCACAGATAGTTAGTTCTATGGTACTCTTTTATGACATAAGAACCAATGTTTTTGGTCACAGGTAACTTGGTAAGAGAAGTTTGACACCTTTAGTAGCAGTAAACAGTGCCACAGTTTCGTTAAACAAATCTGTTCAAGGATTCTTGGATGCTATTTAAAATGAATGTTAAGGAAAATGACCAGCCTCAGGTTGTAATCAGTAGATGTAGATACATGTATGCTAAATTTGTAAGGTGAGCTAGTCATAGAATTGTATAGCTGTAAAGACCCTAGGAGGTACCATAATTCAACTCGTCTTATTTTATGGTTGTGGAAACTGAGGTGCAGAGAGGCTAAGTGTTCTTTGTAATGTCACAGGGGATTTTGTGACAATAATCATCAGCATTGGTAGTGACACACATTCTCAAATGTTGAAATAAAGAAAACAAAATTAATTCTTGCACTGAAACCATGCAGTGTTCCCATCTGAGCAGATCAAGCCTGGCTTATATGCCTCAAAGAGACCAAATTCAAAGTTCTAGTCTGAGATTGGTTGATGTATTATTTTCATTTGGTTGTTCTTACTATTCCCATGTTTGCCTGATTCAACTAGGAATATCCTGTAAATGTGCCATAAAATACTTGACTTAGCTTTAGCAAAACATTTGACTTTTGTGAGGTTTCAATTTAGCTACACCTGTGGCTGGTTGAGGGCTGAGCATCTACAGAGTACAAGATTGTTAAATCTAGTAAGTTCCAGCCTAGGCATTCCTTCTTCATTTTTCCTCATTTGGCTTGCTACTGAGGTGTCAGGAAATTGTACACTCAAGTCTCACCTTGACATTTAGTAGCATTGTCACCTGGCACAAGATGCGACATATCCATTGCAACCTGCCCACCCACCCCCATTTCTGTGGTAAGTTGCTCTGCCCTTGCTTCTGCAGGAGTAGTGTTCATGTCCGCTGCTTCTCCACCTTCTCTAACCAGGACGAAAGTGGTTTGCATGCAGGTAGATGCTTGATCCACAGACAGCTGATCCATAAGTGGGCCTTTAACATAGGGCATACATGGCCTGGTTCACAAGAATGAGCCAGGTAAACAGTATTTTGAAATTTGCAACTAAGATGTTGTAGGGACCAATTTCCCCTTTGTCTTTTGAAGGGTCACTGAAAATCAAATGACAAAAGGCATATTAATAGGAGAAAAGACATATAAGTTTGATAATGTGAATGGGAAGAAAAATCACAGAGTGATTATCCCACCACACAATGGGGTATAAATGGCTATATATTCTTCTTCTTAGGGAAAGGAGATGAAGAAGTGAAGATCATTTAAAGGGGTTAGCAAATGATTTTTAGGAGCATTCAATAGCAATGGACTTGAAGAACATACAGTGGCCTGGGATAAAATCTATTGGGCCTGCAGAGCAGACAACTGTTTGTGACAAAAGTCTGTCAGGTGTGTTGACAGACTTCAGTCTTTCTTCCTGCGATTTGAGTTTGGTTAATGAAAACTCAGAGGAGGAACCCAGAGTAATTGTGGGGTTTTTTGTTGTTTGTTTTGTTTTGTTTTGTTTTTGGTAGGTTCAGACTTTACACAGATAAGGGAACTTCGGAGAACAGCTTCATTCAGTGCTTTAGGAGAGACAGAGGATTGAGAGACAGGAGGTGGGGAAGATCAGAGAGAACTTGCGAAAATTCTGAAAATTTTGAATGAGGCCCAGTTCCAGTTTGTCAGAAGTTTGGCTTTCTGACGACTTTCTATTGAGCTTGCATGAGCACTAGGTCTCTTTAATATATTTTTGTCTTTTTAGTTAAATAACTTATTTTCTGTAATTTGCAAATTAAACATACATACTGAAACAAGAGCTAGTAGTGACAGTCTTAATAGTTTACTGCCACGGTTGAAGGATAAAATAAAGATATCATCCCCCAGAAATCTGTCAATTCTTCTTAAGGTCTTCAGTTATATTTGGAAAGAATGAAGCTAAATAAAACACATTTTCCTAAAATTATTGGAAACAAAAAAATAGAGTTAAGATAAATATTTGAGTTTTCTGAAATGCTCAATTTGTCTTCTACAATTTCCACCACACATTTAAAAAAATGCTCAGAGAACATGAGCCTGTGGAAAGAACAATTGTCTAAGTACCAGGAAACCTGGGTGTTAGATCCACTTCTGTAGTAGAAATGACTAGTGCTCACCCATATCTGGTTCTCCTCTACTTTCTGGACACATGAAATATACATTTCTTGGACCCTTAATAAGGACCCTATTACACTTCTGGCTGGTAGACTGTGAGCAGAACTTATACATGTCATTTTTGAGCTGCAGCTATAACTGGCCTGGCAACCCATTCACATTCTCCACCTATCACAGTGATTCTGAAAGGTACAGGTAGAGATGATGAAGCTGCAAGATGGAGAATGCAAAGCTGTATAAAGTCATGTCTTGGAAAAGAGCTGCCCTAGAAAACTACCCAAATTGCAGCAGACTTTGCATTAACAAGAAACACTTTTGAGGGCTAAGCCCCTGTGTATTACAGTTTATACGTTACACAGCATAACCTATCCCACCCTGACGAGGTAGACTTCCAGTGCCTAGATAAAGAAGTCACTGCTTTTCCCTATGCTCTGACTTCTTCAAGCATCTAAATGAAGAAATTGGACTTCATTGCCTCCAGTGACTCTTTTAGGGTGTGCATTCATTCTATCATTCTTCTCTGATGCCTGCCCTACTTACTTTGCAGATTTGCTGAGAGGGTGCTTTGAAACACCCATTGCATGGGCCTTCCCATTGCATCCTTATAAACAAAAGATTTTGTCAAAGTTGACCGCTTCCAAAAGAGATCTTGCTATTTCTGAATTAAGCATTTGGAGTGACGTCAATTTTAATTTTTAATTTGGCTATGTGCAAATCTTTATCCTTTTTGGTGGGAAAATTTGAATAGACTTTTCTCTTTGTTTTGCCAGTATTCAAAAGCACAATTTTGAGAGTGCAAAGAAGCATAACTGACTTAGCAAGTCTGTTAGCTCTGCTCTCATTCTTCTTGACCTGCTTCTCTTCATCACCCAATTGTGAATCTTACCTCTTGGTCCTTAGCTACTATCCTGATTCTACAGATCAGCCCTGCCCAAAAGTGCCTGCTGATAGTCACTGCCATGACTTGTAGGCATGCTTCTGTAATAATGTACACATATGGTCTTGACAGGAAAGAATCTGCTAGATCCTTCACACTCAGTATCACATGATTCCAGATACAGACTAAAGATCAAAATATTACCTTGGAAATCACAGGTTAGAAAATAATAGCTGGTTGGTGAGAATATTTAATGGTTTGCATCCAGACAACTTGAGACTCTAGTTCTGAATCTGCCACTTCCTATCTGGGCGACTTTTGGCAAGTTACTTAATTCTGTAAACTTCAGCTCTCTTCTTTGTAGTATGAGTTAACAGCAAGTACATTATAGTGTAGTTGAGAAAATAAAATAAGACAGCTTATGTAAAGGACCCAGAATAATGCTTAGCTCCATAACTAGCTACAAATGCCAGTTTTTTCATTTATCTTATATGAGGGAGGTAAGGGAAGATTATAGATGTTACTGACCAAAGGGAAAGGCCTGGATAGAGGGAATTATAGGAGTAAAGCTATCATAAAGACCCTGAATACGGAGAGGAGAAACCAAGAAGAAAATGTATAATTCTCTTCTAAATAAAAATGGTAATTCTTATAAATTATCTATTTATAATTTTGCCCTAGACTAGCACTACACTATTTTTGTCAAGAATGATGATTAAAATTTCTTCCATTGGCCTCATGCTTTTTACAGATTTTTCCCAGTTGAGTTTCAGGTAGAGAAGATCTGAAGAATAGAGATGGAAAATATCATTCTTTTTTTAAAGAGGAGTTCTAGAGAATCTAAAGTTTTTTTTTGATTGTTCAATAGTTAGTATCCAAACCATTAGAAAAACTCAGATCTTAAAACAGCTAACCAGTCGGGCGCGGTGGCTCACGCCTGTAATCCCAGCACTTTGGGAGGCCGAGGCGGGTGGATCATGAGATCAGGAGTTTGAGACCATCCTGGCTAACACGGCGAAACCCCGTCTCTACTAAAAATACAAAAAATTAGCCGGGCGTGGTGGCGGGAGCCTGTAGTCCCAGCTGCTCAGGAGGCTGAGGCAGGAGAATGGCATGAACCTGGGAGGTGGAGCTTGCAGTGAGCAGAGATTGAGCCACCGCACTCCAGCCTGGGAGACAGAGCTAGGCTCTGTCTCAAAAAAAAAAAAAAAAAAAAAAAAAGCAACTAGCCAATAGACTATTCCCACCTGTAAAGCCTTCTTTTTACTAGGTATGGTGGTGTGTTGGTCATCAAGTACACAGATTAACAAGACAATTCCTGCCCTCAAGGGGATGAAAACTGGGTAAGAAAAAAAAATTTTTTTCAGTCCAGCTTGTTAAATACCATATTGGAGAAAAGCAAAGTTGTCAGTGGAACTCAGACATGGGGCACTTAAGCTATCAAGGATGGAAGTGCTCCGTGCACATTCATGAGATGGAGGTGGGAAGTCAGACAAGTTCTGGCAGGGACATTCCCTAGCTCTGTCCAACTAGTTTAGTATTAGCTGGCTTCTCACATTTGGGTGAGGTTTATGGTCATCGAACTTCCTAGCCTCCATTAGGAAAGGTATGAACAATCAGTCTGTGCTTCTAAGCTTGATTCCTTTGGATTTTAAGTGTTTTCTGTTTCATGAGAACTTTGTTAAAATGCAAATTCCTCATAAATGTTTAGCCTTATCAGTCAGCACCATATTGGGAATGAATAAGCACTGTGGGATGTCTAAAGGAAGGGAGTTAAGAGACAGGCTCCAGCAAGGAGATGATGGTAATTGGAAAGATGTACAACAGTTCCAAAGACAAACTATATTAACTTCTCTTTGTGGACCAAGGTTAGGCAAGACTTCTGTCGACCAGTTCTTGGAATCTTTGGCTCACTTCAACCGTAACTTCTCTATAATAAAAAGTAAGAAAAGTAAAGAGTTCATTGGCTCAGAGCAAGTTAATCAGAAAGGATTAAAGCACATCAATCTATTTTCATGTTTGATAGTAGCCCTCATTGAGGCTTGTGGGACAATGATCAGGTCCTTATTGAGCCCAGCAGAGAAGGAGGACCCAATCTTGCTTTATTTCTCCCCCTACCCTCTTTAGTGCTATTTTTTTTCTAAAATTGCCCTTTCCTTTGTTCAGTTCTTCATCTTCTTTGACAAGGAATTCAAAAACTCTCAGAAATTTTAATAAATAATTTACAGTAAATATTTATGACTTAATATGTCATATCTAAATAAATAAATTGTTAATGACTAAATCAACACAACAATAATGTTAGTAATTGAATGTTGGAAGTCACAGACTTCAGCCCATAGGTAAATCTCCCCTCTGCACACCCATATAAAAGGATAGGCCCAACAAAAGTAATGAAACTGGGCATTATAATGGGATCTTGGCCATGAGACACGAGGAAAAGAAAATATATTTTTTAAATGGGTTGATGGATGTTTCTATTTATACCAAGTCACTGATGTTGGAAAGCCAAATGAGAAAAGAGAAGAAAGTTTTTATCTAAGAAATGTGAGCCCCTTTAAATTATCAGGCCCAGAGAGGCTTTAAAATGTGACAACAGTCACATCTTACTTCCCCTCTATGCTAAACGATTACCTCTTGAAGCCACTTGCTCCATAGGCTCTAGATTAACTGATGCCAAGTAGCCATAAAATGCCACACACTGGACACCATAACTTATAACCTATAGTTCAATAACGTATAATCAATCACTAATCAATGTTATCGCTGTATTGTCCAACAGACCGCCAGGATGGCTAAATAGTATAAAGGAGAGCTTTATTGGCAATATCAGTTTGCAAACCAGGAAGAGACAGTCTCTGGCATGTACCTAAAGTGCTTTCTCTTCAAAGAGGTAAAAGGCAGGTTGATTTTTATACCTCACAGTCTGTATTACACAATAGACTCATACATACTCAGCCGGTTTGGGGGGTATGAGGAGAGTCAAGCACATGCACAAGGGGTAAACATATATGTAACATACTTCCCATGTTCACTTTGAGGTAGAGTTTTAGCATTAAAACAAGCTGGAATTTGGCTCTTTACATCAAAGGTGAACTTTAAGGCACAAAGACAGTTTGTGTGCAGCCTCTGAAAGCTGACTGAAGCTGGATTAAAGTCTGGAGTTGCTTAAGAGGAAAGAATGTTTGAAGGCCACTCCCCTGTCCAATCAGAGTTGTAGTGATCTGGGTTATAAATAAGAGGTAGAAAGGGAGTAACAATTTGCTTGATAGCTCCTATTGTTAGGAAGTTTAGCAAGAGTGTGGGGTTTTTTTGTTTGAAGCTGTAAGAATTTAGGAAGTTGCTATGCCAGCTGAGCTCTGAATTCTGCGCCCATAGATAATATTTATTTTCTTAACCTTGGGGTCTGTCTTAGTTGATAAAGGAGCATCTATTTTGGTTTCTCAGATCACATCTGTAAACCAACAAAAATTCCTGTCAAACAACTTCGTATCAGCCCACTCTTTTTTTCCCTTTTCCCTTTGAAAACCTGCTTGTAACAAGCCAAATGCAGCACTTCCCAGGGCAACTTGGAAATGTGTCCCAGCCATTGTCCTCACTTTGGCTAAAGTAAACTCTTCCATTAAAATTATATCTGATGCCTCAGCTTCTTTCTTTAGGTGGACATAAGTCATTTCGAACTCCTCTCTATCCACCGCACTACGCATATTCACATTTTTTCCATGTTTTTCCAATTTTGAGTCTGATATGCTTCTTGAATCAGTTTTTCACCACTTTCCATCACCTACCACCTCTGCTCTGCATCAAATTGTCTTCTGCTCAAATCAGTAGACTATTTCCTTACATGACCTTCTTACCTTTAGCCTTGGCTCCCTTAGATCCATCTTCCCCAAAGTTTCCAGGTTTCAAAGGCAACATCCGATGATGCAAATTCTCTTTCAATAGCTCCACATCTTCTTTGGATGATGCTCAGAGCTTCTCTCCAGTGCATCTGAAGCTTTTCATATAACGATGATGAAGACGGCTGATTTTTACTGAGCATTACTATGTTCCAGATACATTGGATCAGATCTTTTCATGGACATTACTTACTCTCTCAAAATAGTCCCCTAGAATAGATGTGATTATCCTCCTTATGTCTCTTTTACAGAAGAAGAAACCACTTTCAGAGTTTATTTGCCAGGCTAGGAAGTATTGGAGAAGAGATTTGGTCCAATGCCAGTCATTAAGTCTTCCCCTGAATATGTGCTCACAACTAGTATATTACACTTCCCTGCATCTCCTAAACCGAAATGACAAACCAAAACATTTTAGAGACCCAATGTGTAAGAATAATTGAATGGAAGTGATTTCAGCAAAAGTTCTTCTATAGGCTGGGTGCAGTGGCTCAAGCCTGTAATCCCAGCACTTTGGGAGGCCGAGGCGGGCAGATCACGAGGTCAGGAGATCGAGACCATCCTGGCTAACATGGTGAAACCCCGTCTCTACTAAAAATACAAAAAAAAATTTAGCTGGGCATAGTGGTGGGCGCCTGTAGTCCCAGCTACTCTGGAGGCTGAGGCAGGAGAATGGCGTGAACCCGGGAGGCGGAGCTTGCAGTGAGCCGAGATTGCACCACTGCACTCCAGCCTGGGAAACAGAGCGAGACTACGTCTAAAAAAAAAAAAAAAAAAAGTTCTTCCATAATTCAGTTGGGAAGAGCTAAACTAGCCAGCCATATGGTTCAGATGAACCAGTGATCTCCTCAAATTGATGTCCAGTGCCTCACTCCCCAAGGTAAATAGCAATGAGGAATGGTTCTACTGACCTCCTTAACTTGTCATAAAATTCACACTTTTATTCGTTGTGGAATGACACTTTTAATATTTCTTTTGTAGAAGAAATCCAGGTTTCCAAAAAGCCACTGACAAACATTTCAAGTTAGGCCTGGTGGCACTGCACTTAAATCAGTAGTTGAATTTAATCATATTCATTTTTGCACTGAAATATTTGTTTCTGTAACTATTGAAAAATTTCACTTTGCTGTTTTTTTCTCTAAATGATCTTTTATTTCAATTATGGAAAAATAGAAAATAAAGCTTCTGAAACCTATATCTGTCAGAAATAATCATGGAAATCATTGGGCATGTCAATAGCCATGTTTTAACATCAACTGAATGCCCTTTAAGCAGGCCACCTGTAGTTTGAATTGTGCAGGAAAAAGAAAATTGCAAGGATAAGCTCATTTTTTCCTGGGAATATTTCATAGAAAGTTGTGCTCAAAGATCAAAGTATGATTAGAATTTTTAATATTAAGCTCTGGGAATGGAAATTCTCTTTTTATCATACATAAATATAGTTTGAATTATGCATAGTCTATCTTCATGCATGCTTTCAGAAGGACATTTCTCAGAGAGAGGAAGATGCACATGGCTTTCTAGGTTTTCCACCTGGAAAAGGAAGAAATTCAAATGTTTGGATCCCAATTTTCCCAGCATCATCCTTTTCATGTCCTTAAAATCTCACTCAGAGAAGCTATTTCTTTTTCACTCCTGATAGCAACAGCGTGCTGTTGGCCTGGAGCTTGATTTGCTGTAGAGGCAGTAGGCTGGGGCTTCTCTGGGGAACACTGATTAAGCAGGAATTCTGGGAGCAGGCGATGGCTGGCAGAGTGGTGGAAGTGAGCCTGTGAGGGCAGCAGCAGCACACAGAAGCTCAGTGTGCTTCTGGTGACAAGGTCTTCAGAGACTCTTCCTCGAGGCTGGTTTGCAGCTGGGAACATCAATCTCTCTCCTGACCAGGGGCTTATTAACATTCTGAGTATCACTTTCAATTAAATTTCTCCAATGCTCATTTAGTTTCTAGTTAATAAGGCAGGACTGGATGTCATGTATGATCCAGCAGGTTGTTTTTAAAGGATAAAAATAAAAGGAGCCCTGGGATAAGTTAAAGCGTGAGGCACTGTTCCTGGGCCAACATGTTGCCCAAACCACTGGCCTCCATTGGCTTTGCAGGTGGTCTCAGGGCATGTTTTTTAATGTACTTTTCCCTAATGGAGGATTTCAATCAGATATTCACTCTTAGGAAAACCAACACATTGTTCCCCGATGGCTGCACAAATTCAACCAGCTTTTTTAGTTCAAATTATTGTGTGTTTTGTGTAGTAAAGAACTCCTATAAACAAAGAATGGAAGTAGTTTCTAGGAGGTACCACAAATAGAATTCGCCAGCCTCTGAACAGCTTTTTTGAGGTGATAACGCTAATAATGAAAATAATAGCAGTGAGAGTCACTACTTATTCAGTGTCTATTATCTGTCTATCACTGCGGTCAGCACATCACTTAAAAACCCTCATTTAATTATTACAACAATGCTAAGAGGATTAATGTCCAATTTTGGATGGGGAAACTGAGATACAGAGCTTAATATCCCCATGATCAAAGGGCTCATTTGTGCTAATAGAGAAGTGGTAACTGTGTAAATAATAATCAGTGTTTCATCTTCAGGCTTTTCCTTCTTCTCTTTTCCATCTACTTGAAAGACTTAGAACAGTGTAGAATAGTCTCAGCTTCAAAACAGGTCTCCACAGACTTCTTGGCGAACAGACCACTAAGGTAGAAGGGTGATAAAGTGGGAGGCAGGCAGGGAGAAGGAACATAGCCCCCTTTCCTATGGGAGGAGCCAGGAGGAGAAGATGCATACAATCAGCACTTTCTGCTCTAGGTCAAGATGCCCTGCTTATTCTTCTAACCTGGGACAGCAGAGACTTGTCAAGGGCTCCAAGATTTTGGAGTTAAACCCTAATCTGGGCCCTACTATGCCCTTTTCTAGTTATGTGACCCTGGGAAACTGACATTATTCTGAGCCTCGGGTGTTTGTAAAGGCATGACTCTCCCACCCTCTGGTTAAAAACCTTAATCCTAGGTGACAGGAGTAGGTACATGAACCAGGATTGGTCATTCATAGTGTCTGTCCCATTCTCTTGGACACATAAATGACTCAGAAATGGACTTTTGACTTCTGCAAGCCAGGTCTGTCCAGAGAAGCGGACTGCATTTGGAGAGGGTTCACTAGATAAGTAAGATTTTCAACCAGCCTTTGACCCTACTCTACAGGGTAAAATTACAGAATTTGATTAGATTACATTCTCTCTACGTCCAATGAGCTCTAATCGTCTATTATTCCATCTGAAGGAAAATACACATACAGTGTCTCATTCCGTATAGTTGGATTATATAAAATTACACGTATGGGGGTGGTGCTTGAGGCAAAATCTGTTAGGTAGTAATGAATAACTAAAACAAAGAAATGCTTTAAAAGGAGTTTTGCAAAATGGCTCTCTGCACTAGAGTTTGGAGGTCTCTTTTGAAATAATGTTTGAAAACCAACCCACTCACAAGAAACTTTGTAATTTTTGGTGTTTTTCTTTGGCATGTGATTCCAGACCCATAATGGGAGGGAGGTTTAACGGAGACAGGGTTTATAAAATGCTGAGCGGCTGTGATTAGAGCACAACGGCTTTGTATAGAAATGTGCTAACAAGAAACAATAAGTGGCATTTGAAATAAGAGGCCCAAGGGAGAATAGGAATTCATGAAGAAAAGAATGTTAAAATAAATACTTGCTGAGTACCTAATGCATTCAACCAAAAGCAAAACTTTTAATACACATTTCCAGTTGAAAATCAGAAGGTGGCAGCACTGCTTACTGAATAGTTTCAGATGAAGCCTCCAGGGAAACCTGGAGACAGAATAAGCCATTTTGTAGGTTATAAGCGCAGCTAATTTATAGCTAAAAATGAAATGACTATGGCTCATATGCACCCCTGAAACCTCTGAGCCTCTTCGGGGATTTGGCATATTGACTCTGTCATGGGTGGGTTTCACCTCCAAGGATGCAGTGAACTCAGAAACATGCCAAAATGAAGAGCAAGGCCCTGGCCAAATTTCTTTCCATCTGAAATGAAAA
Organism: Homo sapiens; assembly: GCF_000001405.40. Classification (NCBI taxonomy): domain Eukaryota; kingdom Metazoa; phylum Chordata; class Mammalia; order Primates; family Hominidae; genus Homo; species Homo sapiens. The sequence continues at coordinate 114,729,527 of NC_000002.12, forward strand.
AGGAAAAGCCCAAAGTTTGGTCCCCACAACTGAAACATCAAAGTCCCCTGGGAATTTGTCAGCAATACTAGTTTTCCAGCCTCCCCTCAGATCTACTGAATCAGAAGTTTTGAGAGTGAGGTCCAGAAATGTGGATTTTCTAAACTTTCCAGCTGATTCCAGTGCTGGCTTACATCTGAGAACCATAAGGAGAGGTATAGAGACTATTGTTGTGATCTGTGTTTCAAAATGTGGAACACGTCCTCAAACAATATCTTGCTATGGATATGTGGACTAACTTCGTGGTCCTATTTATAGCCTCAGTCATATTGAACAGAAAGAGTGGGCAAAAACAGACGACTTGCAAGAAAGTAATTCCTTAAAAATGGACCAGAACAGGCAGTAATTGATGAAAGCACAAACTAGAGGTTTTCCCCACAACATATTGAATTTCTGCCTACTTGTCAATAGCTCAGAAATCTTCAGAAAAATAACTTGTTTTGCTGTGTGTCGTTCTATCAGACAAATTTACAAGTTATTAAAGAGAAATAAAACTTTGAAAATTATTTTTAAGCATTCTCTGAATAAATGCATAATAAAAATATTATTTGTTCTTACTGTCCAAACAGAAAAAAAAAATGCTGGAGGTGAGAAGTCAATTACACTTAAAAAGCATAAAGACTCTTAGAAGTAATTTTGCCACTTTAATAGGCATTGACTAAAGCCTAGTCCAGAATAATTCATGCCTGTTTTATTAATTAACTTTGTGGTTATACAGTGGAGAGTAGATAATAGGGCCATCATGTCCATTAAATGAAAGAACAAGACCACAGAGGGCAAGACCACAGACAAACCACCCAAAGTGGTGGCTGGCTATTCTCAGAGGCCTTCAGGAGGGACAGTACTTTGGTGTGGTCATGAATTTCCAAGGTTTTATTTTAATTTGGCAGATTTATAAAGTTCATTTTTGCCTGGCATGCAGAGTTGATCAGTTTTGCAGAGATAGTCTTTGTAAAGAAACCCACAATAGAGTCATATCAATATTATCTACCATGGGTTTTGTTTTTTGTTTTTTTGTTTGGTTCGTTGTTTGTTTGTTTGTTTGTCTGAGACAGTCTTGCTCTGTCATCCAGGCTGGAGTGCAGTGGCAGGATCTTGGCTCACTGCAACCTCCACCTCCTGGATTCAAGCGATTCTCCTGCCTCCGCCTCCCGAGTAGCTGGGACTACCGACATGCACCACCAGGCCTGGCTAATTTTTGTATTTTTAATAGAGACAGGGTTTCACCCTGTTAGGCTGGTCTTGAGCTCCTGATCTCAGGCAATCCAACTGCCTTGGCCTCACAAAGTGCTGGGATTACAGGCCTGAGCAACTGCACCTGGTCCAGCTTTTTTTTTTCTTTTTTTTTTTTTTAAACTTGCTGTGAGCCACGGAAGAGCCAGCCAGAAAGTCTGCTAGCTGATCCACACATAGCCTTGGCAAATCTAAATGGAGGGTCAAATCTGGATTGGGAATGGATGTGAAGAACACAATATCGGGTCACAAAAAAATTATCTGGGGCATCTTAATACACTAATTCATTCATCTCCACTGTGGATAGAGACCTGTCTCTCTATTTGGGTTTGGAATTCACAGCCTCGTTACTCCTGGACGGTATGTACTCAGCTTCTCTGACTGATTTGTCCATGCTCTGTGCCAAACCTCCCCTCTCACTTGAGGCTTTTTTTTTTTTGAAGTATGTTAATATCATTTATTGAGATTTAGTTATATGTCATTAAATTTCCAAGAATGCCTGGTCATGGGCAATATTTTGTCTTTATTGTCCTTGATTAACAGCACTGTACTTCTACTCCTGCTAATAATAGTGTCATATTTTTCTTTTAATTTGGTTTCAAGGTCTCTCTCAGGAGAGCAGCTGTAAACTCTAGCCCTGCCCTGACAGTGCTCTTGGGGAGGTGGTTGTGGGTGTTTACAGTGTACCTTCCGTGGGATACTTCTTTGTTCTGGTGGAAAACCTGATGCCTAAGTGTCCAACGTGTGACCAGATATCCCTCTCACAGGAAACTTACTTACACTGGCAGATGCTTAAGGTCTTGTGTGACCTATGTCCAATTTATTCCTACAAAGATAGCCATTCTGTAGGAGAACTGACTGGGAAATAGGTTCAGGTGTGTTGGTCATAGGAGGTGGCACAACAAAACACATGAAATAGCAGAAGCAGTATATTACTCACAGGTCCCAGAGAAGAGGAGCACCAATGAGCACCAATGAGAAGGTTGTGGGGACACCATGCGCAGCCAACAGGTTGGGATTTCTAATTGGTGGACTTAGAGCAAGCAGACAAGGGTCACATGCATTCATGTTATAACTTAGGAGTGATCACTACAGCCTCTGAGCACATTCCATGTGGAGTATGGGACTCAGTAGGATGAGCCTGGTCAATTGTTATCTATTTTTCCCATATGAAAGTGGATACTAGGAGGTGATTTTATAGGGAAGATATCACGTCTGGATGGAATACAAGAAGAAACTGGGAGGAGGAAGACAGCTGGAAACTGGGTCAAAGGTGACTAAGCTCTGCTTCTGGTGTGACAGTTAATGCTATATGTACTAAAAATGAATGCCGAGGCAACATAAAATTACAAGTATTCCCTATACATAGCTATCATGAGAGCTCCTAGGTGCCAGAGCCTGGGAATATTAGACTGCTTAGTTCTAGACCTCCTGAAGTTTACATTGCAGTTAAGAAAACAGGAAACTGGACACACGACTACAATTTAGTCATATGGAGCATGCAAAGAGGGGAGAAGTTGTGGATGCCAGCGCATAAGAGGGAGAGTGGTCCTTAATTTTGAGGTCAGAGAAAGCTTCCTCTGGCAGGTGCTAAACTCCAAACATTAGCAGAAAACAAGAGCTTTTACAGACCAAATGAGTTCACATGGCTTTGGCACACACTGTGTGGGGATTGGGGGAGAGAGTAAAATGGGGAAAGATCATGCTAGAGACATAAGCTTGTGTGAGATCAAGAAGGATTTAAATTAAGTTGCCGAAGAGTATTTTATGTTGGTGGTAATTGTGAGACAAGTAATAGTTTTGAGCAGAAAAGTGACTACACGTAATTTGCATTTTAGAAAACTCATTCTTATGGAGAAATTATACTATGGATTGAAAAAGGGTAATGTTTGAGGGAGGAATGCCTTGGGTTTTCTTGTTTTATTTGTTTTTCAATATAGATGGCTAATAATGGCCGATAGTATACTCTTACTATATGCCAAGCATTTTACTTGCATGTTCTCATTTAATTTTTATAATGATGCTGTAACATAGATTGCACTAGGAATTATCCTAATGGCACAGAGAAGAAAAGAAATAGCAATAGGAAGTTTATGTAACTCCCCCAAGGTCACAAAACTGGTATGAGTTAGAGCTGAGATAGAAACTCTATCTGACGTCAGAGTCTATGCTCTATTTCACTGCACCCACTGCTGCCTTCAAGCTAGAGAGAAGATAAGCTGAATTAGGGAGCTGCATCCAGAAAGTAAAGAAGAGGACACATTGGGAGCTATTGCAGAGCGAGAAAGGGCAGGTCTTGACGACTGCTTGGAGGTAGGTGGTGCGAGAAGGGAGCTGGTAAGAAGAAGTCTTAAGTTTGGCTCAAGATCATTACTAATTTTGCTCCCAACTTCAGTAACTTCCTCTATATCCTTGGACAGTCTTTTCACTTATTTCCTGGTCCCATCTCTTTTGCTTCACAGTAGCAATCCAAAAATTCCTGCTTTCTTCTGCAGACACCATGCTACTCCATCCCTCCTCAGCATCAATGGATGATTACACCTTCTGATTGTTTTGGATCTTTGGCTGGGAATGGTGGTGATGTTCTTCTTTGTGCCAGGTCTAAATTAAAGAATTGGCTCTTTATCACAACATTTAGAACATACTATGAAAAGAAAGAAATCAATGAAAAACAGGACCTCTTTATTTCCTACTCATAATAATATCAAGTAAGAACATCTATTTCCAGAAGTAGTTTTTCAGCCTTTTGCTAGAGAGAGTTTGTTCTTTTGTTTAAAATGCCTGAGCTGATAAGGTTCCCAGCCTCAGGAGGGACAGATAGAGAGGAGAAAAGTTATTTTCCCAGAAATGGCAGGATGCATTCTGACCCCTTCCTTTATGTTTTAGATGACTGATAGTGACAACATCTAATAGCAACTTTTATTTTCTCATTTAGGGCCAGTAAGGCTAGCTTTTGCTGTTTTCAAATGTAATTATTATAGAGTATTGAATATAACGATCCAGAGAAAGATCCAGATGTTTCTATTTTCTTCCGTAGAAATAACTCATCTATTAGATATAATAGACAGTGCCTTGTGGTACAGCAGTTTAGGAATATCATTTTACTAAGCTCATCTCTTCCTAGATGCAGGAAAGTGAGGACTAAGCTCTGATTTTTTTATTTGCCCAAATTTCTATCTAAGGGGTCTAGGGACTAATGACCTACAAACCATAAATTCTCATCAGATAGGTTTTATTTAACCCTATATATCATGGCTTACTTTCCAATCTGACCCTGGCATAACACTATGAGACAAGGAAGAAAATAAAAATATTTAACTCCAAAATAGATTTCCTTGCCATACCTTGAAATTGGCCTGCAAAGTCTTTTATGGGAAAAACCCACATTCTATAGAGAATTCCCTTTTGTTTTCCTTCCTTCCTTCCCAGATCCAAGAGATAATCAACTAAGAGTCAGGCACCCTTTTAGGTCCCATAAGAAATATTTTGCAACCTGCTCTCTCTCTCTCTGAAGTCTGCTACCTGAGAGCTCCCTCTGCACAATAAAACTTGGTCTCCACAACCTTTATCTTGACCTGAACATTCCTTTCTATCAATCACAGGTCTTTAAACAAACTCAACCAATTGTCCACCAGAATATGTTTAAATTTACCTATAGCCTGGAAACCCCCACTTTGAGAAGTCCCGCCTTTCTGAACAAAACCAATGTATTTCTTAAGTGTATTTGATTGATGTTTCATGCCTCCCTGAAATATATAAAACCAAACTGTGCTCTGACCACCTTGGACACATGTTCTTAGGACTCCCCTAGGGCTGTGTCACAGGCCATGGTCACTCATATTTGGCTCAGAATAAATTTCTAAAAATATTTTACAGAGTTTGACTCTTTTTGTCGGCAAAAGATTATCACAGAAAAGTGTCTGAAATGGTCTCTTAAAATAGTCTGTCTCTCAGTTCTAGTTGTTATTTGCAACAGATGGAAATACTAGTCTTTGTGGCATGGTTCAAGTATGAGTTTGCTAGAACTGCCATAGAAAACTACCACAGACTAGATGAGTTAAATAACAGAAATTTATTTTCTCAAAGTTCTGGATGTTGGAAGTCCAAGACCAAGGTGTTGGCAGGTCTGGTTTCTTCTGAGGCCTCTCTCCTTAGCTCATAGCTGGCCACCTTCTCCCTCATGTTCTCACATGCCCTTTTCTCTGTATGTATTCCTGATATCTCTTCCTTTCTTATATGGGTACCGATCAGATTGCATTAGGGCCCACCTTAATGATCTCATTAACCTCATCACCTTTCTGAAAGCCCTATCTCCAAATACAGTCAAATTCTAAAGCACTAGGGCTTAGGATTTCAACATACGAATTTTAGGGAGACACAATTCAAAGCACATAATTGTATTTACTTTGCTGTTATCCAAAAGCAATAGCAACAGTGAGAAAAAGCAGAAAAAGAGCTCTGGCCTAGAAAAAATATAGAAGTATTACAAGAACACCACCCAGTCTGATAACATTTCCAAGCTTTGGCACCAGCGAATTTTTACTGCTTGCAAAAAGGCAGGCGTGAATTTCTTCTGTTGGGGTAGCCCTATTTTGGTTTCCCTAAAAAAAGCAAGAGTTTCAAAGTTTCAAGACTCTAGAAAATGTAAAAATCTTTCAGATGGTTTTTACTGCCATTCTTTCTCTGTTTCAAGAGCTAATAAACACACTGTTATTATCATATTAGTTTTATCCTTCCACTTATGAGATTTTCTTTCTTTTCCTTTTTTCTAATGACCAAGCAAATCCCCTTTCTATGAGCATAATGAAGGATTTTGCTTACAATCAGGCGTCACCCTCAAAGAGGTGAAATATCTTGGCTCTTTGATAATCTTTCATGATCACTTCCAAGAGGAACTTTGCAGGCATTTGAGTTGCCAGACGTAAAATTTGGCTTTCTGAAAAAGAAGCACATGTAACTAGCTCATAAGCTGCAGTTTGTTAATTATTTTTTTCTAAATAAAGAAAAAATATCATTGACCAGAGTGATGAGTAGGAGACTTTAGGACTCTAAAGAGGGATTTTCTCAATGTTCACTCTCACTTCAACCCTCCCCCTACGCAGAAACTTCTCTACATCTACTTGTATATTTGTTTCTTCACTACTACCATCTAAGTATAGTAGAAACTACTACTAAGAAGCTACTAAGCTACACTTAGCTTCTACTATACTTAGATGCTAGTAGTGAAGAAATAAATATACAAGTAGATCTAGAGAAGTTTCTGTGTAGGGGGAGGATTGAAGTGAAAATGAGCCTTGGAAGAAGCATCTAAGTCATTTCCAACTCTTCTTCCACTACTGTGAGGAATCCATGTCCTCCTTTCTCTGGGCCTTTGCATTTCCAACTATCCCCTCTCTAAGTAATGCCATGCTCCTCCCTCCACTGCTTTCCTCTTCTTTAACTCTGTGCGTGCTCATGCCTCCTCCCAGATATATGATATTATGATACATCTACCTACATTCGAGTTCAATTCTGAGTTTCTCAAGTGCAAAGATATGTCATATCTTTGTGTTTCCACTGCCTAGCATGATTCCTCGCTTATTGTTATTTCTTGATAAGCATCTGATGAATGAAGGAATGAATGGATGGATTTACATGCATACAGGGCAAAACAACAGAAGTTGATTAGTCAAGTAAACATATTTTAATGATGGCAATAATTGTTTATTGTTTAGAAAAATAAAATAAAACATTCAATTTCATAAAAGACAGAATCTATAAAATCAGAAAAATTTATAGTTAATTATCTGGATAGTAAATTTTCTGAAAATAGGCAATGTTGATAATTTAGGTAAAGCTTACTGTCTCCTTCATTTTTCTGAAACAGAAATAGAGGTTTGAATGATTTTCAAAGATGATCCAACTTTCCTCTTGCTCTTGGCTATGTTCTATACAGTGCAAATTGAGAAGATAAAACCTAAACATTTCATTGTAGTTTGTCTGTGTTCATGATCACCTGGATGTTTTGCATGGTATAGATGTACTCAGGCCTTAAGAGACTCTCTCAGAATATTCAGGATTCTACTTAGTAACCCTAGGCTTGCTAGCTATTTAGTGGGTTAGTTTTTTAACTGCTAAATATTTTCTGAGCCCTTACTAAATGTACAGTAATTGTGTCAAGTATTAGGAAGAACATAGAAACATGTATAAATGTACCTTCTGTAATTGTTGCCATCTACGGTATTATCCAAGACAATAGACACTAAATTAAAACGAAATAGTAGAGAGGAAATGCTTATGATCTTTAGGAATTGTTGCTAATTGAAAAAACAAACAAAAGAAATTCTTAACGTTGGCATGTTTAGTGGTAATTAGGACCTGTTTTTATTGCATGCTGGATATTAGTTGTTATGTGCTTATTCTCAGCTCATTGGAATACAAGCAGACACATCTCCAAAAAGCAGAATAATCTCAGGAAGACGTTGCCCTCTCCTGAGCTAGGTAGAAGGTCTTGAGCTGTAGCCTGAACTGGTGTCTGATTGAAGAATGCGTGCAGGTGCCTCCTCCATCAGTCTGGTCCCAGAAGACATCTTGCAGTTTACTACAAGTTTTTAAGAAAGATGCAGCGGTCTGTGAAAAGGCTAACATTTCTGCAGGAGAGAGAAATCTGCCTGACAGATAAACATCCCTCCAGCCTTTCCTAAGCCCTATTTGTAAAGAAAGCTTGATGGAAAGGGAATTCTGTACAACTTCAAGGAAAAACAGTGGAGAGATTGAATCAATAGGAAGCATCCTCCTTACTCCCATTTCAGGAAATCCAGAGATCAGTGTGCTCTTATTTCAAAAGGCTGTCATCCAACAGAGTCACATGGTGATCTGAAATCACCAAAGCCCCAGAGGATGGCACAGGGCAATGCAAAAAGCATGAGGCTGAGAGTCAAGTGACATGGGTTCTGTTCTCAGTTCTGTCAAGGTTTAGCTACATGACCTTGGGCAAGCCACATAAGCCTGCTTCCTCAGCTATAGGACCCAGATTGTTTTACCTTTGTCTGGCAAAGCTTTTACGAGAATGGAATGAGGTATAATATGTAAGTGGACCTGTATTATTCAATTCTTACATTGCTATGAAGAACTACCTGAGACTGGGTGATTTGTAAAGAAAAGAGGTTTAATGCGTTCACGGTTCTGCAGGTTGTAGAGGAAGTATGGCTGGGAAGCCTTAGGAAACTTACAATCATGACGGAAGGTGAAGGGGAAGCAGGCATAGTCTTCACATGGCCAGAGCAGGAGAGATAAAAAGAGAAGAGGGGAGTGCTACACACTTTGAAACAACCAGATCTCATGAGAATTCACTATCACAAGAACAGCAAAAAGGAAGTCTGCTCCTGTGATTCAATCACCTCCCACCAGGCCCCTCTTTCAACACATGGGGATTACAGTTGGACCTGAGATTTGAGTGGGAACATGGAGCCAAATCATATCAGTACTCAACTCAGTGCTTGGCATATGGTAAGAACAAAACCACAACCATAGCTAGAGGCCTTTCTCGGGCATGAGCAGGCTGTCTGGTTGGAGGATTTCAGGGAGCCTGAGTGCACTTTACCCATTATTCCTTCTCTCACTGCTATGGGACACCTTCCAGATACATAGCTTCTCAGCTGATTGCTTCAGTGACTTAATAATGGATAAACTGCTTCTTCTATCTCTAGTGGAAAAAATAAAGCCTGGGACACAGAGTGGCTCAAAGGGGAGCACTAGCCTGTGTGGGGAGCACTAGCCTGTGTGAGGAGCACCGGCCTGTGTGAGAATCCCTGCTCAACTCCTGCTCAGCTCTATGAACTTTGGGTGCATTCATTGTTTAAAGCCTCAGTTTCCTTATCTGTAAAACAAGGGGGCTAGAAATATGGGGTAGAACATTTGAGGTGGACTAAGATGGAAAAGGAGAATAGTAACTTCCCACTGACCTGTGGCCCTTTCAGTGGCTGCTCTGCCCAAGAGCCATATACTCATGACTTCTGATGGGGACAAAGACCTAAAGCGCTTGTGGTAATTGTCCTGGAATCCTTCCGCAATTCTATTCTTTCTCCTCTTCAGTCGTTTATTTCTTCCAGATATGTGGGGAGAGCTTAGGGTGCCTCATGGAAGCCCAGAAGCCCACCCCTGAAATGTCTCCCCTATCCTAATTCAAGACAGGTATGGCCTGCAGTTCCCAGCACTAGAAATAGAGTTTCCCTTCAACTCATCCCCTATTTACTCTGCCCATTTCCTAGTTTGAGGTTTCAGGATCTGAGTTTGCTATCAGGATTGAAACATCAAAGTACCTTAGTTTTTTGTCACATTTGCTAAATGGTTGTCATTCTACAAAATGTTTTGTACATGTTAGGAAAATGATAATCTAAATAAGGGAATTACCATGGAGGAGTTTCTTTGAGAGATTTACGTGCAGGGGATTTTCTAACACCTCTTTCAACCCCTTTTCCACCTATCCATAAGCCCTCTTAGGAACAAGGCAAGCCATCATTTGTCAATTCATATAAATATGATTAATTGTATGAATGACGACTGAAAGCTAAGGTCAATTTCTGATGTAGAATCTATGTTCTTGGAACGGTGGCTCACACCTGTAATCCCAGCACTGTGGGAGGCCAAGATGGGCAGATCACCTAAGGTCAGGAGTTCAAGACAAGCCTTCCCAACATAGCAAAACCCCATCTCTACTAAAAATACAAAAAGTAACCAAGTGTAGTGGCACGCACCTGTAATCCCAGCTACTTGGGAGGCTGAGACAGGAGAATCGCTTGAACCTGGGAGGTAGAGGTTGCAGTGAGCCAAGACTGAGCCACTGCACTCCAGCCTGGGTGACAGAGCAAGACTCCATCACACACACAAAAAAAAGAGAGAAAGATATCTGTCAGTTTTACCTGCCAGGCATTCATTTACATTCTTCTGGTGGCAACGTTTAGATTTTCCTTTAGGGAACTTCTCCATTGCATGCAATCTCATTGTTATTTTCAAACTAAGAGCCCCTCATTCTTAAGGAGTGGAAGGTAACCCAGTCTAACTCAATCAGACTATCTCTTCTCAATACATGTGTTTTCAGCAAAGTGGCTCAAAAGTGTAAACTATCACCAGGTCATTCATTCATCATAAAAACTGTGGAAGTCAGTGTTGCAATTCCTCTGGGATCTAGAACTAGAAATGCCATTTGACCCAGCCATCCCATTACTAGGTATATACCCAAAGGACTATAAATCATGCTGCTATAAAGACACATGCACACGTATGTTTATTGCAGCACTATTCACAATAGCAAAGACTTGGAACCAACCCAAATGTCCAACAATGATAGACTGGATTAAGAAAATGTGGCACATATACACCATGGAATACTATGCAGCCATAAAAAATGATGAGTTCATGTCCTTTGTAGGGACATGGATGAAATTGGAAACCATCATTCTCAGTAAACTATTGTAAGGACAAAAAACCAAACACCGCATGTTCTCACTCACAGGTGGGAATTGAACAATGAGAACACATGGACACAGGAAGGGGAACATCACACTCTGGGGACTGTTGTGGGGTGGGGGGAGGGGGGAGGGATAGCATTAGGAGATATACCTAATGCTAAATGACGAGTTAATGGGTGCAGCACACCAGCATGGCACATGTATACATATGTAACTAACCTGCACATTGTGCACATGTACCCTAAAACTTAAAGTAATAATAAAATAAAAATTAAAAAAAAACTTAAATGTACTTCTATTCTTGCTCCCTAGATATTCAGAGATATCTTGTTTCTATCCTTCGTATGATCAGGTTGTTCAATAATTCCTCCAATTCTGTGGGCTATCCCCTTCCAATAAGTTTATTTTTCACTCTAAGCCAGATGCATTTCAAGTGCCTGCAACCAACTAACCAGACTAAGTGAAAAATGAAAGGAAAATATAGCATATTTTTGAAGGTCTGATGTTGGAGGCAGAAACAGACTATGGACAAGTGATTAGGTTGCTTTCCAAAAGTTTGGTCCTATTTCAGTCGTTTAAATTTGGGGTCCATTTTCTTCATGGGATAGTTTCTGTAGTATATACTGTACCTGAAATATAGACTTCATGATACCATAGTTTAGAGTAATTTTGAATAATGATTATTGTGAAATCTGTTGAGAGTTCCAAATTTAAAAAACATTACTGGGTTCCAAATTAAATAGTTTATTTCCTGTGGGATATGTGGATAACAGGTACTTTATATTTGTGGCATTTATGTTATTAAAATAATTTTACAAGGTAATTTTATCTTCATTTTTCTGTTATAAAGAACTTGAAGCTCAAATAGGGAAGAATCATTGAGCTTATAGAAGATTTGGATGGGAACCCAGCTGTCCTTTGTTACAAAGCCTGCACTCCTACATCTGTCTACCAAAGCTACTTACCAGGCATGCATAACCTTTCTGTACCTTATCCCAGAACCAAAGGAGAATATCTGCCTATCAGAAGAAAGATAAATAATGTGAGTTTCTTTCCACTATTATTCTTGCAGTTCAGGGTAATTTCTGTGCAGCAGCAAAGACTAAGAGAGCCACATAAGAGGAGAGCTGGATGGGTGCTAATGATGGAGAGAGTGTCAAGGAGAAAGGAGGTGTTGGGAGTAGGTGCTCTGGCTTAAAATTCTTGGAGGAGAGTTCACTCCTATCCTCTCCTTGTTTCTCATCTTGGCCTATAGGAACAGGAAGAGAAAGCAGTCCGGAGTCTAGCCCCCTATTATATGTTCAATTGTGTTCCCCAAAAAGATTTTTTGAAATTCTAACACTTGGTACCTATAAATATGACCTTATTTGGAAATAAGGTCTTTGCAGATGCACTCAAGTTCAGATGAGGTCATTAGGGAGTCTCTAATCCAATGTGATTGGTGTTCTTATAAGAAGAGGAGAACACCACGTGAACATAGAAACACACAGGGAGAATATGATCACATGAAGATGGAGGCAGATGCTGGAGTTACGCTGTCACAAGCCACGGGGTGCCCAGGACCACCAGAAACTGAAAGAGGCAAGAAAGGATTCTTTTCTGGAGACTTCAGAGAGAACATGGCTATGTAGATAACTTGATTTTAAGCTTCTTTCCTTTAGAAATGTCAGAGAATAAATATGTTACTTTAAGCCACCAGTTTGTGGTACTTTGTTCCAGCAGGGGATTTACCTAACACCACAAGGAGTCAACAAACCAGTTGCCTAAAGAGCCAACATCTCAAAAATTTTACCTTTCATAAGTGCAGATGTACAAAAAAGGTATCTCTTCTTTACTGAGAAAATTTTAACATTTTTACATATGTGCACAATACTTACACAAAAAGTCAACATTGTATTAATTTACTTTCATGGAGTCACATTTGCAAAGAAACATATAAAACTAGAATTCTCTAACAGCCTTTCCATAATTTATACCTCCAGTACAGGAAATGATGCAAAGATGAAATACATAGCACAGCAAATTGCAAAAACTAATGTTGACTAATGTTAAAATAGTGAAAAAAAATTAAAAAGGAAAAAGAAAAGGAGAAGAAGAAAAAACTAAAAAATATTTGGCATATGAAAAGTATAATGCAGGAATAGATTATGAGCAATGGCACGTAGATAGTTCCTAAGAGCTGGCTGATTTCACAATCATTAACTATATTTTGAAATCTTGCATCACAATTAATAGCTGCTTTTTTTTCTTTTAATACATGCTTTCCTTGGAGAATACATTCACATTCATTTTTTATGTGGCACTGCTTTTTTGAAATTCTTCTTTGATTCAGCATATACTAATATGAGCATTCCCTATTACATTTTCCCATCTTTTGCACCTTGTTTCTATGTTGTTTTGGGTATGCAGAAATCCATTTTGCATGCACTCAAATACAGACCACACATTTGAAAGAAACAATACTGGTGATCGAACAGCAACACTGTGTGTTTAAGTGTTTTCTTATCCCACCATGTACATAATCATTTTTGAACCAGTCCATCAGCAACTTTGCTGGCTTCTTCAGGCAAATGCAACTTTAATACATTAAAATCTCCTGGAAGTCATCAGCTAGAAGAAATGCCAATGCAGGCAAACGAGGCATTTTTAAACTGAAGTTTTAGTCCTTGCCATATCGTGTGGACAATGCACACATTTGAATTTTTTGACAAATGCATTGAGCTAAATGGAAGAAAAAAATTTTAGTAACACCTTGAAATTCACTTTTAGAAGTCTTAATCACACCTAATTCCAAATCCATCACTATGGTTCAGAGAATCAACTGAAATCCATTTTCTTCTGCGTAAAGACAAAAGCAAGGTAATAGCTCTGCCTAACATGAAGCAATATTCCTGTGACTGTGATTTTTGGAATTCAGATGTTAGAGATTTTAGATTTTAGGGATTTTGATCTTTAGGGATTTTGGTCTTTCAGGCTTTCAACATTTATAATTATGGTGTTCAAGAGTACATCTTTTGGGATTATGATTCAAATCCTGATTCCCCAACTGTCTTCGGGAAGAAGGCAATATCATGTTGTGAGTTTATGGATGAATGGAAAAGGACCACAGCAAAGTTGAATTTGCTTGAAGTTTCTTTTTTTTTCTTTCATATCCATACCCTTGCATGGAAATAGAAAAAAAAAAAAGTAGCTCGTAAAGTTAAGAATATGGATAAAGGCAGGTAAAATGGAATTTTTAAATTTTGAGAAATCACAGATACAATTATTACAACCTCTATAAGTGAAAATAAGCAATATTCCCAAATCTACAAAATGTGAATCCTGTAAAAGTGTATCAAGAGCTCAGCATCCTTAGCCTCTCTGTTGATTTTGAGTGTCAACGCTGCAGCCCACTGATTGTGTGTTCTCTTTGTGACTGTTTTCTCACCTATAAAATAAAGATTGTATAATGAACTGAGTTTGCTCATCTGTAAAAGGTGAGGTTGTAAGGATTAAATGATTTAATACTTATAAAATGTAAAACAAGAAGTTTCATAGAGCCACATGGGAAGTGCTTAATACGTGTTAGCTATTGATAGTGGTATGTCCTATAAATAAGATTGCCTGTCTTGTCTTGGTGGTGGATGTGATCGGGTTCAAAAATAAATTGGGTTTTGGTCTTGTCCTCAGGTAGTTTGCTAATAAGCAACTTTATTACAAGATCGAAGGTTATAAGTATTCTAAGCAAAACCCCAATTTCTAGGCCACAGATACTGAAAAGGATACTTCCCAGCAATGGTGGCATTTGAAGTGGACTTGAAGCAAACTGATATTTAACCAAGCAGAGTTCTGATTACATGGAGGGATTGGCACAATCAAAGCACAGAACAGTGTAAAGTTCCTGATTCGGTTGAGTAGAGGACACAGTGATTGGACATGCAACATAGCTGGACAGATCTGATGATGGCATGCCCTGCTGAGGATTCTGAACCTTATTTCTATGGGCAACAAGGAGTCATAGAAGATGTTTGAGCAAAGAGTAATAGGATTATAGCTTCAGCTGTAAAAAGGCACACACAAAATCAGTTTATCTAAGGAGACTATTGGAAGTGTGGGAAGTTAGAGAAGAAAAGGCCAATTTGGAAGCTATTTTCAACAATCGAATAAGAGACAAAAATCAGTGAAGACTGAACGGTAGTTGAATTTGTCATTGGGAGGAGTTAATGATTTGTATCAGAAGTTAGGATGGCCTGTGCTAACATTAGAACATGAAGATCAGAGAGGGAGTGATTCTGAGCAGGAAGTAGAAGAGAATGCTAAATAAAGTGAGCTATCTACACTGACAAATAAGTTTGAAATAGAGGCAGTTATGCGGAGAATGCAGGCTACAAAATGGTGTTACATGTAGAAGAGGGATAGGCGAGCTATGACCTGGTGGAATCTTGGTTGATGCCTGTGTTTGTACAGTTCTTTGGCTGCTTTTGCACTATAAGGGCAGAGATGAGAACCTGTAACAGTGACCATATGGCCACAATGCCTAATTTGTTTTTTTTTAGACGGAGTCTCACTCTGTCGCCCAAGCTGGAGTGTAGTGGCACAATCTCGGCCCACTGCAACCTCCACATCCCAGGTTCAAGCGATTCTCCTGCCTCGGCCTCCTGAGTAACTGGGACTACAGGTGCCCATTACCACGTCTGGCCAATTTTTGTATTTTTAGTAGAGACGGGGTTTCACCATATTGGCCAGGCTGGTCTCGAACTCCTGACCTTGTGATCTGCCCATTTTGGCCTCCCAAAGTGCTTGGATGACAGGCGTGAGCCACCGTGCCTGGCCACAATGCCTGCAATATTAATTACTGGGCCGTTTACAAAAATTGTTGCTGATCCCTGATCAAGAATATCTTGATAATTGAAGTAATATTTGAACTCAAATTAGCTAATATAACTGCCTTGTTATTCCTTTTGAAGTGTTTTGAAAACAGCTTCAGAGGTTTCAAAGACTTTACTAGAAGCTTGGGAACTAGCAAGCTTCTAAAAGAAACATGTGGATGGAGGAGGTACCTGCCTCATGCCAGAGTTTACTACTTTATTGACAAAAGGTCACCACACAAACATATGCAAACAATAGATTTTGTTTATTTAATCTATCAAACATATGCAATGATAGATTTTGTTGTATTTCTCCAGGAAGAAGAAAATAAAAGGAACATATTATCAGATTATTTTAATTCAAGGTCAGAATTTTTTTAATTAAAATTGGATTCTAGTCTGCAAGTGAGTGCACAGAGAGCAAAAAGAAATACATGGTATGATGGCTGCCCTCTAGAAATTTTTAATTTTCCACAAACAAATATCCATATATAAAAATAAATGAAAATAATATAAGGAAATGCTGACTGTACTGAAGGAGAAGTAATGTGATAATTGATTTCCATTTCTTTCCTGCTTTCCGTCTGTTTATAGAGTCACGGACAAAGACAAGTGTCTACAGAAACTAAATGTTTTGAACATCAGGACACTTTAAATACAAATCCAGAGAAGGGGCTTCTCTTTAAATATCACAAGAACTGGCAAAAGTTGGCTTGCAGACCTCCCAAGTCAGGAGGCCTCTGGAACTGGCCGTGTGAGCCTCTGTTCACGTAGTCCCCACTGTCCTTTCTCATCTCATGCTGAGTCAGCTTTCCTAATTTTTATTTCCCATTGGTCTTTCAAAGCAATTGACTTGTAATCCTTGCTTTGGAAGTGCTATCAACTTCATCATGGTTAACAGCAGCAGAGAAGGGAGCCCCTAACAATGTGCCTTGCTGTTAGTTTCTTGACTACTTTTGTGCCATTTCCCACTGCACTTTCATTTTGTCTCTCCTTTTCTTTATTTCCATCACTAGTTTTCCACCAGCAGGAAATTGCCAGAAAAGAATTACACAGCTGACCCTCTTTCCTAGTCCCTGTTTCCTTTTATTCACCTCTCTTTCATCCTATTCCCTCTTGTTTCAATCCTTACCCAAATGTCTTTTGAAATGCCAATAGAAATAACCATAGTGACACTTTGCTCAATAGATGTCCCAGTGGTTCAAAGAGCAATCCTCTTTGGCCTCACCCACTGGGTTCTATTTCTGCTGAGCCAAGTACATTTAATTCACTCGTTCATTTGCTCTGACCCTGTTATCAGTCTTATTTTTTCTTTCCTTCCTCTGCTCCCAGATCAGAAAAATCAATACATTTGTTAACAATGTAAAAAAATTAAAAATCAGTCAAAGAAATCAGGGAACTAAAGTTTCAAATAGGTAAGTGACTTGCCCATAGCTGCGGAATTCAGTCTTGCATGATCAGTCCTCAGGAGATGGAAGTCTGGACTTGATGTCTCTGGAGCCTAGGGTGATTGCAGGGATGGAACATAGGGCTATGAAAGGTTGACCTGAGAATGATGCTAGAAAAAGTGAGCTTCTTTCTTCCTTTGCATTTGATGAGCAAACCCCAAAGGAGAGCCAGGAAACAGATTGTTGTTTAGAACTCTGAATAAGGAATCAAAGCAAGCTGCTCTAGGAGTTTTCCAATGACAAAATGGAAATGGAAACCTGAATGAGTAATCACAAGGAACAAGATGCTATTATCTTTCTTCAGCTGCCTCATGCCCCCTCTTCACTTAAGCATAAAATGGATAAAAATCAGAAAAACAAAACCTGTCAATGAAACATTGTTTCTGAAACTCAGGTTGAAACATAAAAGAGACTTCCCTAGGCTAGTCACTATATATACACTGATATATACATATATGTGTATACATTCTTAGAATACTCTCTAAATATCACTTAGTTCTGAATGATGTACTGTGTCATCTTAGACTAAAGGTCAAGTGAAGGAGAGTTCTCTGTTTCTCTCATTAAGTAACTCATATATAGATAAGAGAAGAATTGAGGGAGAATGATGAGTCTGCCCTTTCCCATCCCCGGTTCTCCACATTTAGATGTTAGTCACACACACAGTATTATTCCTTTAGGATGCTTCTTACCTGATAACTTTCCTTTAAGAATAATAAACTGTTGTCCTTCACTATTAAAAATGGGACTTTGGTCTGTCTTCCTTTTTATCAGTCTTTTATCCTTTGTAAGTGTGATAACTATAAGATCCTTTATTTAAGGGCCGTTGAAAGGATTTTTAGACACAAATACTATACTTTTGAATATAAATATACCAAAGTCACCTCCAATGTACATTTTCCATCACTTAGCTGCATTCAACTGTGTTGATATAGAAGCATTTGTCATATACAGCATTAGCATACACATGTATGTATGGCATTTTAAAATGATAAAATATATAGAAATACAAAAAATGTATGAGCACAGTTTAACACATGGCTGTAAGGGGAAAACCTGAAACCATTCCTAAGTCAGAAATTAGAACTTTTCAGAAAAATATGAAATGCTTCATGAGTTTCCCATTCTTCACAGTTTGTTCTTTCTTCTCTGGATCATTCCAGTTGGAGATCATGGGCTTCTGTATTTTTAGTATTATTCTTGGTTACTACAGTCCCACTTGGTTATTTCATTCAATTCCTAAAAATACTTATTTGAACTTTGCACTTCTGTTCTAAATTTTCTAGGGAACTTTTTTTTCTCATGTAAACACTAGATCATCTCATTTAGTTAATGCATTCCTCGGAGAATGTGCTCTAAACCAGTGCCACTCAAATTACGGTCTATCAGTGCCAAGCTGTAAACTGTTGGTTACTGGCCCCCCATGAAATTGAGTGTAGAGACTGAGAGTAAGCTCTTAAAATATTTATAGCAATTTTTCAAAGAAATTTTATGACTTGAATCCAGTAATAAAAAAATAGAAACTTGCACATTTTATCTGTCATTTTTATTTTATTTTTCTAGACATTTATTTTTATTCCATTTTACAGAAGTATATATCCATGAAAAACTGGAAGTAAAACAAAATTAAACAAAAATCTGTTTTCGTTTTTGTTTTTTTGTTTTACCAGAATAGTTTGAGAAGTGCTAGTGTAGGGAGCAGAAACTGCTTGCAGGCTGCATTTCCCTTTATGGACCCGTGAGAAACATGCATCTTGAGCATCCAAATTTGTTCACGTAGGACAAAGGGAATTTTCTTTTTTTTTTTTATTTTTTTTTATTTTATTTATTTATTTATTTATTTATTTATTTATTTATTTTAAATTTTTTTTTTATTATACTTTAAGTTTTAGGGTACATGTGCACATTGTGCAGGTTAGTTACATATGTTTACATGTGCCATGCTGGTGCACTGCACCCACTAACTCGTCATCTAGCATTAGGTATATCTCCCAATGCTATCCCTCCCCCCTCCCCCGACCCCACCACAGTCCCCAGAGTGTGATATTCCCCTTCCTGTGTCCATGTGATCTCATTGTTCAATTCCCACCTATGAGTGAGAATATGCGGTGTTTGGTTTTTTGTTCTTGCGATAGTTTACTGAGAATGATGGTTTCCAATTTCATCCATGTCCCTACAAAGGACATGAACTCATCATTTTTTATGGCTGCATAGTATTCCATGGTGTATATGTGCCACATTTTCTTAATCCAGTCTATCATTGTTGGACATTTGGGTTGGTTCCAAGTCTTTGCTATTGTGAATAATGCCGCAATAAACATACGTGTGCATGTGTCTTTATAGCAGCATGATTTATAGTCATTTGGGTATATACCCAGTAATGGGATGGCTGCGTCAAATGGTATTTCTAGTTCTAGATCCCTGAGGAATCGCCACACTGACTTCCACAATGGTTGAACTAGTTTACAGTCCCACCAACAGTGTAAAAGTGTTCCTATTTCTCCACATCCTCTCCAGCACCTGTTGTTTCCTGACTTTTGAATGATTGCCATTCTAACTGGTGTGAGATGATATCTCATAGTGGTTTTGATTTGCATTTCTCTGATGGCCAGTGATGATGAGCATTTTTTCATGTGTTTTTTGGCTGCATAAATGTCTTCTTTTGAGAAGTGTCTGTTCATGTCCTTCGCCCACTTTTTGATGGGGTTGTTTGTTTTTTTCTTGTAAATTTGTTTGAGTTCATTGTAGATTCTGGATATTAGCCCTTAGGACAAAGGGAATTTTCTAACATGAGCTGAAGATCTGGAGTTCCCAGCCATGTCTTTTATAAAGACTCAACTTCCAGAACAGAATGGGTTGCTTTACTTCTATGTTTTCACCAGCACCTTTCTTGCCCAATGACTGCCAGTCCTGTGCCATGTACCTCTTTTCTTACCCATCAATAATGGTTAAAAATTATTAGATTTAGAAAAGGTATATAAACAAAGACACTTATTCTAGCACTGCTTTTATTTTATTTTATTTTATTTTATTTTATTTTATTTTATTTTATTTTATTTTTTGAGACAGAGTCTCACTCTGTCGCCCAGGCTAGAGTGCAGCGGCACGATCTTGGTTCACTGCAACCTCTGCCTCCTATCCTCTTGCCTTGGTCTCACAACAAGCCGGGATTACAGGCATGAGCCACCACACGCAGTCCAAGCACTGCTTTTAAATATCAAAAAATACATGAACGCCAAAGAGAAAAGCGTTAGTACACTAAATGATGCTGCATACAATGATGGCACAACTGCAATCATTCCAAATTATGTTGTAAATTTGTCCTAGATCCTCCACATAATGCTGTGTTAAGGAAATAATTTAGGCTACAAAGGAGTATATTTAGTGTGATAAGTTTTTGTAAAGAAAATATATGTGTTCAGATGCAGAGAAACATGGGCATAAAAATGTTCTCAATAATTATCCTTTAGTGGTAGAAATATGTGTATTTTCTAAGTTTTTTCCCTTGTGCTTTTCTGTGTTTTGTATCAAATACTTTTTTATATGTTTGTTTAAAGTACATAAAAGAAATGGGAAAGAATAGGAGAACTGTGAAAAAAATGGAGAGTCAAGTAATCCAAGGCAAAAATGTCATGAAGGCAAAGTATGTTGAAGGCTGAGTGGAGGACAGGAAACAACTCCATGCAATGGCACCAGAATTTTGGAAGTTGTTAAAAAAAAAATAAGATAAAAAACTGGTCTCACCCCAGACCAGATTAATCAGTATTTTAGAGGGGAGGGAACAGACATCAATATATTTTTTTTTTTTTGAGATGGAGTCTTGCTGTGTCGCCCAGGCTGGAGTGCAGTGGCACAATCTTGGCTCACTGCAAACTCTGCCTCCCAGGTTCACACCATTCTCCTGCCTCAGCCTCCCGAGTAGCTGGGACCACAGGCGCCTGCCACCACGCCCAGCTAATTTTTTGTACTTTTAGTAGAGACGGGGTTTCACCGTGTTAGCCAAGAGGGTCTCGATCTCCTAACCTCGTGATCCGCCCGCCTCAGCCTCCCAAAGTGCTGGGAATACAGGCGTGAGCCACCGCTCCCAGCCACATCAATACTTTTAACACTTCCTCAAGGAGCCCAGTGTTCCTCCAGGTTTGAGAGTCGTTGGGTAGATGCCAGCCAGCCTATTCTACCAAATTAGTCCATGCTGGCTGGCTGGCTTTCAGGAATAGGAGTTACATTATTCCAAACAGAAGGCTAACAATAAAAATAACAGGATTCGTCTCTCACAAAGCATTTTATCCCCTCAGCATTGGTGGCCTAAAGCTGAGGATTATTTGTATGTGATTACAAGTTTTGGAGACACCAGTTGAAATTATCTAAACATTCTGAATATTAAAACCTAAGTATTTAATGTGATAAAACTATGATCTGGAAGTTGAATGGAGTGATTGCTTTGCGGGTATACAGAGCTGCATCTAAGTCAACCCTCTTGAAAATGTTAATTAGCACCAAACAAAGAACAATGGAAGATGTCTGCTTTTTTCCTTGGAGACCAAGATAGGGACAAGTCGTTTTGCATGTGCGCAGAATGTGGAAATGGCAAAGAGGTTTAAATAACGAATTTTAATAAGTTTCATCCCACTGGGAGAGACACTTCTGATTATCTGTGACCTATACAAATTATCATGATTCTCCCCACTGGCCTACCATAATTTTAATAAGTAATCAAACTAAGCTTGAAGGTTCTGCAAAATGCCAAATATATACAAGTGCTTTTGCTAGTTACAAAGCTAGTACTTGCTACCTGACCTTTTTACAATTTCTCCAACTACTTATTCACACCCCAGCCACAGGTTTAAATGCTCAGCGTTCATTTGGTCCTTATTGATCCTAGGCTGCTACCTGTTTGGGCTGAGAAATGACCTTCTGTGGACATCTAGGGAGTCTTGCCCTGCTGTGAGAAGAATTTCAAAAGAAGTTTGGCCAGAAATTTAATGCAGATCTGAAAAGGTTGCTAGCGAAGCTACATGTAGTGGAATGAGATACAATAAGTCCCTAGTGATGGTCCAGGCCCAGGCAAGTACCTAAGCACAATGGCGTTCACCAATGAGCTAGCAGAAGGTTAACGAGGGCAGAGCATATAGAAACAGGTGCTTCGGGCTCCTGGGAGATTTCTTTACCTCTCTCCAGGTTTCAATCTATTTCCTCACTCCAGCCTCACTCTCCAAATTGTAACTTACATGTTGGGAGCTTAAGCTGAAAACCTCATTAAAATCTTGTTCTCTTCTCCTGCCCCGTGATTTGGCTTTTGCATCCTTGACTCTACACCAGTACTTTTTAAACTTTAATGTGCTTACCAGTCGCCCGGGATTTTATTAAAGTGCAGATTGTGAATAGGTCAGTAGATCTGGCATGGGGCCTAAGACATGAATTTCTAAGAAGCTCCCAGGTGATGCTTCTGCTATTGTGCCAGACCACAGCATGTGCAGCATGGCCCCAGTTACTAGTTCCTACCCCCAGAATTTATGAGGCAGTTGTCTGGGGTGGGGCCAGGAATTTGCATTTCTACTTAGTTCCCAAATGATGCCAATGGTCAGGGTCTACACACTGAGAACCACTGCCTTAGCCTGCTGCTCCCAACTGATTTGAGCTGTCACTACTCAGAAGGGCAGGTTGCTGCCCCTTCCCCTGCCATGTGCTGGTTCCCCCTACTCTCTTGGCAGTTTTTTCAGGGATGGGAGTCGAAAGATAATCATCTTCTTACTCTTCAGGTATCTGTAAGATAGAAAAAGAAATCCTGCCAAAGTTGAAGAACGTCTCCCAACCTTTTAGACACTGAAATTCTATAGAAATAGAGAAGAAAAAATGAAACAAAGCAAAAGAAAATGACCCAACTACTCAGATTAGAGCCTCGAATTAAAAACTGACAGACAGGCTGCTTTACATCATCCTGAAATTACTTGTGCCTGGTCTCAGACTAAGGCTCCTGCCTATAGCTGTACAGTAAAGATATCAGTTTGTTACTCACCGCCAAGAGCCTGAGGAGGCAGGACTCAAGGTTCTGTTCATAGCAGAGCTTCTCACTGTGCTCACACTTGTGCAGGCATCAGACTGTCCTGCAGGGCTGTTAAAATGACTCTTGGTCCAGGGTGGGGCCAGAGAACTTGTGTTTCTAAAACGTTCTGTTACTCATAGGACTGGTACCAGACCACACTTAGAGAACCACTCAAATTGAATGACACCCCTGTTTTACTTGCTTCCGTTTTCCACCAATTAAGAAATGGCAGTCACAGGAAAGGAAAGTAAAATCATAGGTTTGCTGATGAAGCTGAAATGGGGAAATATGGTATAGGCAGAGATTGTCAATGGATTTCTTAAGGCTGAACCCCAGAGTTAGACATACATGTGCACCCACTCACGGGCAGCACTGGATCCTGTGAGCATCCCTTGATGGGGACCTGCCCATGGAAAATGTAAGACATGGAGAAACAGAGTGGGGACACACACTTCCTGCAGGCAGCTAGCTCCTGAAGAGAATGAGGAGGGGAAGGGGAGGAGGTGGGCAAGCTCAGTTCCTTCTGTCAAACCCAACAATCAGGTAAAACACTCCACACTCCCAAATAATGCAGGAAATGAGGGACTCAAGAAAGATCAGGTAGGATGAGCTAGGCTAATGGATGTCCCTCCCTTAGAAACAGGAATAGTCAATCAATAGCCCTCCTCCCAAAGAAACTAATGTCCAAGCTTGCCAACCCCCTCCCACACCAAATACCAGGCTTTTTGCCCCAATGAGTTTAATCAGTAACTAAATTGAGTTCAAATTCTATCCCAGCTTAGACTGGTTATTTAGCCCGTATGAGCCTTAGTGTTATGCCTACAACATTGGGATAATGTAAGTCTTATCTCCAGTGATCGCTGTGAGGATTAAACAAGCTATCACTTTGTATCTAGGAGGGACTCTCCATATAACAATTTTCCTTCCTTCTCTGTCTTCCTTCATCTCTTAGCCTTGTGACTTGATATGATAAAATATGTTATATTGTACTTGCTCTTAGAAAACCTGCAATCTCGAGAAAAAGTATAGAAATATGAAAATGGGCTGGGCGCGGTGGCTCACGCCTGTAATCCCAGCACTTTGGGAGGCCGAGGTGGGCAGATCACGAGGTCAGGAGATTGAGACCATCCTGGCTAACACGGTGAAACCCCATCTATACTTAAAATACAAAAAATTAGCCAGGCGTGGTGGCGGGCGACTGTACTCCCAGCTGCTTCAGAGGCTGAGGCAGGAGAATGGCATGAACCCGGGAGGGGGAGCTTGCAGTGAGCCCAGATGGCGCCACTGAACTCCAGCCTGGGTGACAGAGTGAGACTCCTTCTCAAAAAAAAAAAAAAAAAAAAAAAAGAAAAGAAATATGAAAATGTTAAATACAGCATAAGGCAATGTTTTGAAACTATGAAGAGAAAATAGTGTGAAGACTAAAGCAGATGATATGTAAAATGCTTAGTGATTAGTAGTTGCTTAGTTTAACATTTTTCTAAAAATCGCAGTTCAAACTGGAAGATTGGGAAAGAAGCTAGAGTTTTCTATAGTGGCTCCATAGGAAATCTGTGGCTTTGGTTGGCTTCAGGAGGAAAGCCAACTGCTAATCATGGGACAGGGTAAGGATAGTTGAGGGATGGGGAACAGCATGGGCCGAGGCTTAGTACAAGGGACCCGAGAGACAGGCGGACACACCTGGATGGGTGGTCACTTGTTCTGTTCACAATCAGTTCTTGTCCTGAGCCAATCACCAGACTTAAAAGGTCCCCACGCTGTAGTCTTTTATATCATTGCCCATTCAGTTCGCAGGCATTGAGAGCATAACTAGTAGCAATTTCTCTGCCTTTTATGTATAATGATTCGATTGATTTGAATGTCAGGGCATGTCTCTAAGTCTAGAGGGTAAGCAGTCCATCCTGTGAGGGAGCATAGTTATTTTTCTTTCTTTAAGTCAATGACTCTCTTTGATGGTGGCTGCACATTCAAATCACCTGGGAGCATTAAAAATAGTAGCAAAGCTCTACCTTTTATCAATAAACTTCAAATCTCAAAGGGTGGAGGCTGGCATATATATTTTCTTAAGAGCTCTTCAGATGATTCTAGCATGCGGCCTAGGTCAGGAAAGTCTGTGGCCAAGGCAGCCTGTTCACTCGTGTGGAAATGGCATTTCTAAGCATTGATTTTTCTCAGGAACAATTAGGAAGCAATTAACAAACAATTAACCAGACTGTTAGTATGCTATAGATAAGCACCAAACCTGCATGGGATTTTGAAATAAAATAACCAAGAAAAGCATGTTTTTCAAATGTAAACTGGGATACTGTTTTACATGCTAAATAAATGGCCTGGCAAACAAAGGGGCTATATTTATATAAATGGTTAACTTTTAGTCATGTTTCTAAATCACACGTTATTTTGCAATAAAATAAAGATTATGAAGACAGAACAACTTAATAAAAACATGTACTTGACTATTTGAGTTGAGTAAGATCATATTTATCTTTTCTTATGACTAATAGCTAGTTGGATATTTTGTTTCTGAAGTGGTAAGCTGTTTAAACAAGTATAAAGGAGAAATCTTATTTGGTTAGCAGGACCAGGAAGTGAATCTATGTTAGTGTCCAGTTTCCATTCATTAACTTATTCATTCAATAAATATTTATTGAATTTCCTCCATTGTGTACCTAGCATTAGACTAGAAAGTGGTTACACTGTTTGTTTTGTTGCTGTTGTTATTTTTAGAGACAGGGTCTCACTCTGTTACCCAGGCTGGAGTGCAATGGCACAATCATGGCTTACTGCAAACTCATCCTCCTGGGCTCAAGTGATCCTCCCCGCTTCACCCTCCAGAGTACCTGAGACTAAGGTGTGTGCCACCATATCCGGCAACTATCAGTATTGTTGACTAAAGCAGGTTTGGTTTCTGAACTTCTGTTTTAGGTACTTATAATCTAATGGAAGAAAGATGATAATAAATGATGAGTTGTGCTAAGTGCAATGAAGAAAGCAAACAGGATATAGCAATTGAGGAAAACTGTGTGTGTGTTTTGTGAGGTGTTCTACTGTGATAGAATCTGAAGATCCTATCCACTCTTCTGAACCAAGAATGCAGAATAAAGTGGAGCCAACTTTCAGACTTAGAGCACTGTAAGGCAGAAGGCCCAGGCAAAGAAGAATTTAGCCTGTGAGAGGCTCTGAAAGATAAATGTGCTAAAATAGGGAGTAGTCACACACATGCATTCATGATAATTATTTTTTTCCTCAGTTTGTTCTTTTGCATATCTTTATTTTTCCTTTTAAGACCAATTGAAGTCAATATTTATTGAGTATTTTCTATGTGTCAGTAGTTAAAATAGTCTGAGACAGTGCTAGGAAGAAATTAAAAAAAAAAAAAAAAAGAAATTAAAACCTGATGGGAGAAACAACCCTGACCTAAGAGAGGCAGATTGTACTTGCTCTTAAAAAAAGTGCAATCTTGAGAACAAGTATAGAAATATGAAAATGTTAAATACAATATAAGGCAATGTTTTGAAACTATAAAGAGAAATTAGTGTGAAGACTAAAGGAGATGATATGTAAAATGCTTAGTGATTTGTAGTTGCTTAGTTTAACATTTTTCTAAAAATCATAGTTCAAACTGGAAGAGTGGGAAAGGTAGAGGTGTCTCTAAGAAAGACATGCATACAAGTTATGAAAGTGTGTGCAGTCAGAAAAAGGCAAAGGAGGGTGTCTAGCTTTCCCTGGGGGATCTGCAACATCAGGCAGGAATTTTTCCATGAGAAGGCCCTCATAGACCCCAGGGAATCATGGAGATGATCCAAGGATGTTTGGTTGGCAACAGTTAAGCTGGTGAGGAGGAACACATTAATTAGTTATGCCTAGATAAGAAAACTGGAGAGTCAACTCAAGTCAGCTTTCCAAATCAGTCATCCAATCCGAATGCTTCTAAAATAATGAACAATTAAAAGTAATTTCACACTGGTTCTCAGTTCTAGCTGCACGTTAGAGTTACCTAGGCATCTTCCTAAAGCACTGGGGTCTAAACCCCACTGCAGACAAATGACACAGTCTCTGTAGGGCAGGTCCAAGAAGAGCATGGGACGTACATTTACGAAAGATGATGAACTACTGCCTCATCCTCATAGGACCTCAGTCTTCATAAGTAGTGCCAATTCAATATGGCAAGACCACAGTCTCTCCCTTAATCTCTACTTTTTTTTTTCCTGTCTGAGTAAATTTACTCAAAGAACCAGTTCAAATATTACCTCTAAAATGAAACATTTATTTATACTCCTAGGAAAAATTATTTCTTAGCAAAAGAGTTAAGGAAGCCCCGTTGAGGTATTTTGTACATTGATTTTCCTGTGATTACATATGAGGTTACACAGTCCTCAAGGGTTTGATTGCATTAAAATACATAGCACCTAGCCTAACGCTCACAACATATCAAGTCTTGAATATAGGAAGGAAGGAAGGAAGGAGAGGGAGAAAGAAATGAAGAAAGGAAGGAGGAGAGGGAGTAAAGGAAGGAAGGAGGAAGGGAGGCAGACAGAAGGGAAAAAAGGAAGGGAGAGAGGGGTGGGGAGGGAGAGAGGTGGGAGAAAAGAAGAAAGAGGGATGGAAGGGAGGGAGAAAAATGGGCAGGAGGAAGGGTGGGGAAGAGGGAGGAAGGAAGGAAAGAAAGGGAAGAGGGAGAAAGGAAGGAAAGAATGGGGGCGAGAGAAAGGAAGGAAGAGGGAAGGGAGAAAGGAGGGAAGGAAAGAAGGAAGAGAAGTAGGGAGAGGGGGAGGGAGGAGGGAGAAGTAAAAGAAGGAAAGGAGGGAGGGAGAGAGAGAGAGGGAAGGAAGGAAGGAAAGAAGGAAGGAAGGAAAAAAGATTCATTAATAAGAATGATTCAATTAGTTTGCATACCAGGCTGTGCCTTTGGCAGCTGAGGGTGTTCAGGTACCAGAGACCTAAGAGAAAGGGTACAAAAAGGAAAGATAGAAGTGCCAGGGAGACTACTTGTATGAGGGCTTCAGCAGCATTTTTAACTTACCATTTGATGTTTTTAGCTTTAGAATACTTTCCTCAAATATATATAACAGAAATTAGTAGCCTTAAGTGTGGTCCCCTGACCAACAGCATCTTGGGATTTGTTAGAAATGCAAATTCTCACAACCTGCCCCAGACCTACCACACCAGCAACTCTGGGGTTAGGGCCCAGCATTCTGATTTTGCAAGCGTTTCCACGTGTTTCCGATGTGTCCTCAAGCTTGAGAACCGCTGGTGTAGATAAAAGTCGACTTACTTTGGTTGAAACACAGCTAGTAAATAGCTGTCAATTCCTACTCCCTTTCCATGCAAATACACACAAATACAGTCCTGTGGAGTCTGTCTCCATAGAGTCCCCAAGTCCTCACACAACGAAGTTGAATAAGCTGGTCTTGCAAGTGTGAGCCTCCCTCTATGTTATACACAGTCTCAGTGTTGCCTGACTCCAGAGTTCCCGTGGTTCTCCACATGTGAACTTCAAGAGGAATTATTTCTCTTGATGACTTTTAGATTCAGACTTTTGCTAATTCACACAATCCCAAATCTGATGATTGCCAGAACTTTGTCTGATTAAAAAAGAAAAAGTCAGTTAAAGCAGTTTTCAGTTTGGTATATGCAGCCTACCCAACTCTGTTCACTTTCTACCAAACAATCCTTCCCTAATATTGTAACCTTCAAGAGTGGTCCCAAAGCCATCCACACTTCTGTAGGCACCATTGACATAGCATATGCTGAGCAGATTCCCAAGCTGCCATTTCACCCAATCATATTTTAGACAGTTGAAGTCTTTATTTGAGAAGCATTCCGATCTGAGGGTTTTTTCCCTCGTCTACTTAAAATTTCATAGCTGTGTTAATTTATCACCCCTCCTCATTGCGTAGCTTCTGAGTAAGTTATACAGTAATGGTGAATGATAAATCAGAGGGCCAGGCCTATATTACTCATGACATTGTAATAGTATTAATCTGAGATAGCTTTTAATTGTCCGTTCTACAGTCTTTAATGCTAAGAAGATATAGAGGTTTCCATTATTCTAATTGTATTTCAAATAAATGTATGGGCTCAAATTTTTCCTCTCTGTTAAAAAAAAGGCTAAATTAGAGATGTCTTGCATATAAAATGAATTATTTTACAGCAAAACTTTGATTAATCACACTGAAAAATAGCAGAAATCTCAACTGTATGTATGTTGTCTGCACTTAGTTTGTCAGAAAATGACAAAAAGGGTCAGAAAATAAGGTTTCATCGTGAAATTAAAAAACGAAATTTCAAAAAACTTTCAAAGCAACCCCCTATGCCTTTCATATCTGTAATCTAGTTAAGTGAAAATGGATGTTCAGATAACCTGTGGTCCTTTTAGCTATCAAGCAAAAAGTGGATTATTTTCAAAGGCTTCATTTGCAAGATAAGAAATGGATTAATGCATTTTCAAAGTACTTTCAACAAGACTATTGAGACAAATTAGGTTAATTTTGAAGTTATTGAAAAGACCACTTTCCAAGTATTCCAGTCAATCAAACTTTAATTACAGTAACTACATATATTGATCATACTTAGAAGAAAAAGGCAGTTACCCAGAAAAGTGAAATTTCCTGGTAATTGATGCTTTCCATATGAAGCACCAAAACATTTGGATATGAACTATTGTGGTTGTAGTTAAACCATTTGCAGTCTGACTAAACAGAGAACAGTGACTGTCTTTAGATATTCCTCATGGCATTTGTATCAGTTGGCATCATTCATACGAGCACAGTGAATAAAGCAGGAACTGGTCTATAAAGCATTCTTATCTTTCAGACAGTGGAACTCAGTATATTTACTTTCTTCTACATTAAGGAGTCCAAGACGGGTGCTGTAAATCTTTTTTTTTTTTCTTTTAATAAACTCTTTAGTTTTATCTTCCCCTCCTGCTGTCTCTTGGTGGCCACTGCTAAACTAAGGTCTCTAGCAAGAATTTCTATGGAGTTCTTTGGGTCCATGTCTGAAAGTGGCCCTCTGTCTATCTTACTTCACAACCAGAAGGTTGTGGGGACAAGGCAAGTACTTTGGACCAGAAAAGCAGATCACAGAAGATTTATAAGTGTTTAGGCAGCAGTAGGTCAGATGCCAGAGGAATAAATTGAGATCAAGAGTGCAAAATGAGAATTCCCAAGTATATGCGATTAGACAGAGCCTGGAAAATTGCCAGGAACTGGTGGGGGTGGGCAGTGATGGGGGTGGGTCAGCACAAGATGATGTCCAAGTGCCAGGCCAAATAGCAAGTAAGAGATCTCTGGAAATTGAAGCAGACGGACAAATTTGAAATAAAATAAAATAAACAGAATTTGGAATCAGTTATATGGAAAAGACACAGAGAAGCAATTGATATTTTAGCTTCAATATTTCTTACTTCTTAAATCGTCAAGTCACCCACTTCTCACCACCTGCACCATTACCACCCTAATCTGAGCTATCATATCTCTTCCATAAACGCTAATCCTGTAGAAGTCCCTCCAGCTGGTCTCCACAGGCAGGCGATGCCATTGCTGGCCCACCCAGATCCTCTTTACCAGGCAGGTGCGTCCATCCCCCAGCAGCTATGAGCATTGGCTGCTAATAGTCCCCAGCAGCTATGAGCATTGGCTGCTAATAGTCCCCAGTGGCATCCTTCCTCTGAGAACCGTCCTAGCATATAGGAAAATACCTGGGAGAGTAGCGCACCCTCCCTTTGGCGTGCATCCCCCAGCCAATTAATTAACAGAAATCCAAAGGCTGGCTCCTCAACTTGAGGTGAGATAAACCTGTGGTACCATGCAGACTCCAGGTATACCTGTAGGATCAGGTACAGTGAAAACAGATGTCAGTTAAAGCAGGTCTTCATTGAACAAACTTCTAACCTGGAAGTACAAGTATTTCATTTTCCTCAATTCCTTACTGTTTTTTATCTATATATTAAATATATATATATATATTTTCCTAGGCCCTCTCCCACTTGGACAAGTACCTATCTCTCAAACCCTGCTTCTGGGAAGCCTTATATAAGATGCACTGTCTTCACATTTGCTGCCCTGTAGCATAAGTAAATACAGTTATTTAACTTAGGATAATGCCATATGATTTGCCAAAATTGTATTTTGAATTTTGTTCTAGACAGAAGAAATTTTATATCATTAAGATGAGTGAAATTCCTATTAAAAAGGATAAAAGCGCAACTCGATTTCTGACTTCATAAAGATTGAATATTGTTTCTTACTCATTCTACTTGGAAATAGTCAAGAAACTCTCTGAAAGTAGAATATTTCAAAAAATTCTGAGAAAATTAAGATATTTAGAAACAAAAAGGATAGCTGTTTTGAAAAATAAGTAAAGTAAGGGAAATCAAAAAATTTTTCTTGACTACTTTGACTTTACTGGGTATATCACATACATTAATAGATTCTGATAGCACTTCAGTTTTTTGTTGTTTTCTCCGTGTTGCAGCTAAAACATTGGGGCTCAGTTGACTTAAGAAATTTGCCCAATGTCGTATAACTAGCCAGTTTTAAGTTTGTCCTAAGGTATCTGACTCCAAACCCTTTGTGCTTTTCTTTCTGCCAGTGTACAGTATTCCAATGAGTGCTAATTAAGCATTTAAATAGCAAGAAAAGCAAATAAAAAAAAGATGGCGTACTTTCAGTAATTTAAGTAAATCTGGGAAATACTATATATTATATCCCTGTTGGGAGATAATTCTCCCTGGATCTCATATGTTTCTATAAAGTCTGAGTCTTATGAGCAAAAGCATTTATAGTCAATTTAAGACTGTATAAGGAGGCATTCCAGAATAGTAGAGGCACTTTTCTCCCCTCTTAAAGAGACTCGCTCGTATGCTTGTATTCCTGGGTACTACAGATAATATCTCTCTCTGTAGGGCAAGATAGATGGGTTTGCTAGCTGTGTTGTAATAAGATTGGGAATTTCCTAAGCTCAGTGTTCTCAGATGTAACCTAGACCCCTTTGTGCACAGCATCCTTTGGGTCCTCTGCATATCACCCCCAGGGGACTTGAGGAGCAGCGGGGAACCAGTGAAAGCGCAGAGCTCAGGATGCCTCCTGTGATGAAAATAACAAACTGTCTAAATCTATTTGAGCTCACTGGCTCCTTACCAGCCAAATCTGTGGAAGTATGGAAACCACTGCAGACACTTCCCACCATATTACTGCTAAGAAACTGCTTTACCATTTGACAATCCTCCTCCTAGGAATTCCAAATTCCAAGTGAGGGCTCTGAGAAGACTTCAGATAAGGAAACCCATTGATTTTTCATTTTACCTAATGTAACTTGTTTTCCTCTCTTGGATATTAATAGGAAATGCAGCTCCACAGAGACAGAAAGCCAGGCAGCCAAGCCAGTGTGGGGTCTCTGAAATAACACTGTGCTAGCTGCTACTTTCCCTGTCTCATTTGAAGATTCACTCTCCCCCGTCTAAGCACACCCAGAAGAAATTCATGAAGCAGATGCTACGCCTCTGAGTCACTGCTTTTATTTGCTTCTCCTGTATCCACCACCTTCTTAGCTTTAATTACATGGTTTGGCACATTCTTAAGGTAAGGATAAATTCATAACAGAGATTTTCTCCTCTTAAAGAGCAGCTCTGGAGGAAGCCTTAAGCATTAGATCAAGAATCCACTTAGATGTCTATGCCTCTTCTACATCTTTTCTTCTGCTTACTCTAATTGCTATGCAGTCCTATCTAACCTCTAAAAGAGTCTGACTTTCTTCT